>NW_003315917.2:1238692-1612928 GCF_000001405.40 Homo sapiens
GATCACGAGGTCAGGAGTTCCAGACCAGCCTGGCCAGTATGGTGAAACCCCGTCTCTACTAAAAATACAAAAATTAGCCAGGTGTGGTGGTGCGTACCTGTAGTCTCAGCTACTCAGCTACTCAGGAGGCTGAGGCAGAAGAAACACTTGAACCCAGGAGGCAGACGCTGCAGTGAGCTGACATGGCACCACTGCACTCCAGCCTGGGTAACAGAGCAAAACTCTGTCTCAAAAAATAAATAAATAAATAAATAAAAATAAAAATAAAAAATAATAATCAAGGCACTAATCCCCAACATGAAGACAGACTATCATCTACCAAAAGCTCCACCTCCTACTATCATTACACTGGGGGTTAGGATTTCACAAATTCAGTGCATCATAGTCTGCTTCTAGAATGTTTAATCATTTGGCTGGATATCAGATAGGATGCCTCGGTTCTTCATGTGAGCTTTCTAGAAAAGATAGTTTGGAATTATTTGCATGGTGGCTGGGCTCGTAAAGAGTTGAAGGAGAGAAAGAGAGAGAAACACCAGTAAGGAGCAAATTAGTTCACTCAAAATTAAAACCCTAGCCTTTGTGACCTTGTCTCAGAAGGTAACATTCCAATCCTGTGGTGTTTTATTTCTTAGATGGGAGTCACTCAGCTTAGCCTGCCTTCAAGGGGAGGAGTATGAAGCTCCACTTCTTAAACTGAGAAGAATCAACAAATATGTAGATATATATATATTTTTAATAGTATTACAGCTCATGAACCCATTTAAACCCATTTTAGAACTTTAAAGAAATATTTTAAAACGGAATTTTCAATTAAGCAGAAGAAATTGCCAGCTGTGGAACAGTGAACTTTATCGCTGAAATCACACACATATATACACACACACAGTGCAAACTCATACATGATCAAATCTATAATCTTATTACACAAAGTTTTGTGAGAGGAAAAATGCTTGACTTTTCAAAAGGGCTCATTTATTAAAAATAAAATGACCATTGTGTTCATTTTAGCTGCAACCTTTAAGCAATCAATGACTATATACTTGCTGTAATCATCCTTTAAAATTAGAATTATTGAAAAGCTTTATCACTGATGAATGAAAGAAAGTAATATTGATTTGTGGCCAAGAGAGATAATCTCAGGCAATAAACAGGTGCAGTCTTTGAAGGAATCATTTTATTTTATTACTTTCTGACATTATTGAAGCCAATTTTAAATAAATTCATCATGTTTTTAAATTTAATCACGTATTATTTTATCATACATTAGGTAAAGTTTCAATCTAAGTAACTCCTGGATAAAAAATGAAGTATATCAATTTACAATTACAAATACCCAAATTGTACAGGCATGCATTTTTCAATGACATTTATAAATTGTGTTTTGTTGTTTGTGCCTTGTGTTTGTTTTATTAATCAAATTAATTTATACAGATATATGTATGGAAATGAGACAGATATAACCAGTTCTCTATAAGTAAGCATTATCTAATGGAGTCTTTCCTTTCACTAATGATCATCAGGACAGCTAGGGAAGTGAGTTGAAATTTTCAGGCCATTAGGTTAATAGTTCTAGTAATTCTAGTAATGTTTCGACAGTCATAATATAAATGATACTATGTGGCTTGAATTAATGCATTTTCTTATGTAACAAATAATAAGACAATTTTTAAAAGTGGTAATTACTATTTTTAAATATGACAATTAAAAATAATGAAAGAAAAGAGGTTGTACATTGAGTAGCCATAACATTATCTTTAAACATATTTATTCTTCATTTCCTAACTTTTCCCACCTTTTGGCTAAATCGTATGTTCTTTCTCTAACCTCACTTCTGTTTTATTACTCTCTGGGAAAGATTTTTATATAAAACGTCTAAGCAATCAAACCTAACACAGGATGAATTTCTACACATTACTATACCCTCTGGTCACTATTTTTTTCTTCTCTTTATTGCCCATTTCCCTGATCTTGAAACATTCCAATTATTTGCCTTCCATGACATTCTACTCTTACTTTTACTTTTCTGTCTCTGATTACTCATTTCCAGTTCCTTTTGTCATCTCCTTGTCTTCCTACACCTGCCAATTAAATTTGAATTTCCTCTGCATTTCATCTTATGTCTCCTTTTCTTCTGCCAAATTCTCTCCTTAGACAAATACAGTCATTCCCATGGTTTTATATCCCACTTATATTCAAGGGCTCTAGAATGTATAGCGCCAGGCCAAATCTATCTTAAGAACTTACTTTACTTAACCAATTACAACTGCATCTGCTCAGGATCATGTAACCCACATCAGCATTTGGCTCTTCTGTAGACCCATTTTTTCTTTTCCTGGAAGTCTATTTTGACACCTACTTTCTGTCACTACCCACGTTTTAGCATTTAGCCTTGTCAATTTACTCTCATCCATATGTAACTCTATCCATTTTCTTCTCTCTATTATGAACAGCAGTTTGAGCCATCATGACCAATTTTGCAGTATCCCTTCTTAAATTAGCCTCCTGTTTCGCATTGGACATTTTCACCCCCCAGCAATTCCACCGATTTCATTCTCGGAAAAATATAAATGAAGAGTTACATTTTTCAATAGCCATAATCATTAAATTTCCATGTGTAAGAAAATGTTCAGAACAGTATCAGTGCATTTATAATAAAATTTTAAAACTTGACCCACAAATCTCTACTTGTCCTTCTAGTTTTATTTCATTTGTCTCTCGTCAATCTCTACATTCTGATCACCACAATCTTTTAATTCATCTGAAAGCTAAGCTCTCTCTTAATTTACATTCTCTATACTTGCAATTTTGTCTACCTAGAAGTGTCTTCTTCCATCTTTGGATTGTTATTGCAAATCCATTGAATAGTTCTCATCTGAATTGTTTCTTCCTTGGGATGACTTATAAACACTTCATCCTACAGCCAAATCAGAAGACCAATATCAAAATCTTTCATCACATCCTAAATTTGCTTATATGTAATTATATGGCAAGAATCTCTTTGTCTTTATAATCATGATTCACTTATCTATGTTTTTTAAAAACTCTTCTAGGTGGTGATGCTAAGCTCCGTAATGTTGGGCTTGTTACCTGTCTCAACTATCTTCCACACCTACCACAGTACCTGCTACATAGATGTATTCAATATATATTTTTAGAATTAGTAAATGATGAGCAAGCGTGTACTTTTGTTCTCTTTCATTACAGTGTTAGAAATGCTATTACAGCATTAGAAAAGATAATCAGAAAGAAAATTTAATAGATCATCAGAAAAAAATCCCAAGACTTTTAGGCAAATGAGCCTACAAACACAGGTGGAATGGACTTGCAATTTACCAAGAAATAGGTTTGTCATACTTAGAAACCAACTGTATAAACATGTTTTTATCTATTAATAACTCCATTTTCCAAAACGCTCTACTTTATATGAGACAATTCTTGATGGAAATACCATTTGCTTCTAGGCTCGTTGCTTAAACATAAAGTTAAAAATCTTTGTATGACACATAAAATTGTGGTGACTGCTTAACTTTGCAACTATAGCGCTCCTGAAATGCTCATTTAACCAGTCTGTGTTCCAGACCTACAGAACTTAGATGGTGCTAACATTGCGCAAAAATTGTGTATTTCTTCTACAACTAACTTCTGATAAAAAGGGGGCAGAGAAGGTTAACTCTCTCCCCCTTTAGCTTTATTTGCTTAGTGAATTTCTACAAAACATAATTTAAGTGCTATATTTTTCCAAGGTTTTAATAAGGAAATAAAAACCGCAATAGGTATCTTAAGCAGAAAGTGCATTTCATACATATACAATAGGAAGGGCTAAAATAACTAAAGTAGCTGTGGCATGGAGGAAGGTTTTGAGTTCTTGAATTCAAAGGCACGCAATCATTTCTGCAATCCTGGGTCAAAAAGATGCTCCTGCTATTAAAACTTTAAGCCTCTTATGCCCATGAAACTGGGGATTAGGCACAAGGATATTGAATCCTACCACTTCCACTACTTCTGAACTATTGTCCCCATGATTTCACTTGCCAGAATCAACAATAGCAAGACAGGCTTTGATCTCTTCCATTTTTCTAAGTCTGATTCATATGCAAACAATCGGTAAGTGGTCTAAGCTGCATTCATAAAGCTAGCTCAAGGGAAGCTGCATTGCTTGTTTTGTTTTAATTTTCTAACCTCTTCAAAGAGTGGAACGAAAGTTGAGGAAACCTGTCCAACAGTCTACCACACACCTTCCATGAAAGGTTCCCCAACACCTCCAACAAAATAATGTAAACACATGCTGGAACCTATATTACTCTCGCACCATAACACTTCCCACACTTCCCACAATACTTTTTCTCTTCATGGGAATATCCTTCCAAAACATGCTGATATCTCCTAAGCATTATTCATCTGTCGAATTTTCCCACCTATTGTAAGGTCTTCCAATTGTTAGGTTCTTAATAAATATATTTTAAATTATTAAAATTCTGAACTAATGGGTAATCAACTGTACAACCCGAATTGCTGATTTGCATACAGCTGAAGTCCCTCCTCAAAACTTCTGTAATACATGAAACTTAGGCAAATGGTTGGGTCATTACCATATATTACTTTATATTTTTATTTATCAGTATATGTGATTACAGTTATGCTTATGTTAATTGATATGTATATGTTAACTTTTATACATATGTACATTGTATTATTTTGTTACATAGCACAGCATTTTGTACTCAAAAAGTGACCAATAATAATAAGCTACATACTTTGGGAAGCATTGCAGGCTAGTCGTACAGTTTTGTTTTGTTTTTTTCCCTGCAGCCTGACAACCTTTTCAGTCATTCACTAAACCTCTCTCAGCTTCAGTTTCTTCATCTGCAACATATAGCAAATAATAAAACTTAACTCAGATGGTTCTAGTGTGAAATAATACAGAGTAAATGTGCCACCAAATACAAACCAATGGCTTGATTGACATAACTCACTGCTAATTTTCTTGAAATGATTCAAAGTATTTTCCAGACAAGCACACACTGAGGGAATTCGTCACCACCAAACGAGTCCTATGAGAAATACTCAAAGGTGTCCCAAACACAAAAATGAAAGGTCAACATTCATCATCATCATCAAAACACATGAAAGTAGCAAACTCATAGGTCTTGTAAAACAGTCACACAAAGTAGGACGAGCAATCAAATAGCAACACAACAGATTTCCACCAAACCACAAAGACAAAGAGACACACAGAAAGAAAAACAAAAAACAACAACAAAATAACCCCAAGGAACTTATAAAACAAGTAGAAAACAAACAGCAATATGGCAGAAAGAAAACCTCATGTATTAACATTAACCTTGAATGTAAATGAATTAAACATTCCACTTAAAATATATAGATTGATAGATATTGGGCCAGGTGCAGTTGCTCACACCTGTAATCCCAGCACTTTGGGAGGCCGAGGTGGGTGGATCACGAGGTCAGGAGTTCGAGGCCAGGCTGGCCAACATAGTGAAACCCTATCTCCATTAAAAATACAAAAATTAGCCAGGCGTGGTGGCCGGCACCTGTAATCCCATCTACTTGGGAGGCTGAAGCAGGAGAATCGCTTGAACCTGCAAGACGGAGTTTGCAGTGAGCCAAGATTGCGCCACTGCACTCCACTCTGGATGACAGAGTGAAACTCCATCTAAAAGTAAAAAAAAAAAAAAAAAGAAAGGTAGATTGATGGAACGAACTAAAAAATGATCCAAAAATATTATGCTTACAAGAAACATATAGACACATACAGACTGAAAAGTAAAGACACATACAGATTTAAAGTAAATGGGTGAAAAAAGATACTCCATGTAACGGAGACTAAAAGCAAGCAGGAATAGCTATACTTATATCAAGTAAAACAGAACTTAAATCTAAAACAGTATAACAATGACAAAGGAAGTCATTACATAATGATAAAGGGATCAATTCAGCAAGAGGATATAACAATTCTAAACACATATGCATCCAACACTAGACCACCAAGATTCATCAAATAAATATTACTAGACATAAAAAAGGAATAGACAGCAATACGATAATACTGGGGGACTTTACCATCTCACTCACAGCATTAAATGTTATCATCAAGACAGAAAACAAATAAACCTAAGACTTAAATTCAACCTTAGATGAAATAGACCTAACTGACATTTACAGAAAATACTACCCAGCAACTACAGAATATACATTCTTAATAAAACCGCAATTTCACCCAACAATCCCACTACTGGAGATCTACCCAAAGGAGAACAGATAATTGTATGAAAAAGGTATCTGCACCCATATGTTTATCACAGCACTATTCACAATAGCAATGTGTCCCTCAGTGGATGATTACATTAATAAATCTGGCATATATGCGCTATAGAATACTATTCAGCTATACAAAAGAATAAAATCATGTCTTTTGTAACAACATGGATGTAACTGGTCATTATTTTAAGTGAAACAAATCAGACACAGAAAGACAAATACTGCATGTTCTCACTTATAACTGGAAGCTAAATAATGTATACACATGGACATAGAATGTGGAATGATAGACAACAGAGACTTGGAAATTTCAGGAGGGTGGGAGGAGGGGATGATGAGAAATTATGTAATGAGTACAATGTACATTTTTCAGGTGATGTATATTCTAAAACCCTTACTTCAACACTACGTACTTTATGGAGGTAATAAGATTATATTTGTATCCCACAAATTTACGTAAATAAAAAATTGCCTTCTGTACTTACTTTAGCCCAGTTATTGTTAGGTTCAACATTCAGCACTTTACTTAAATTTTCTATAGCTTTCTGGACCTTTTTTTGATATTTATATATAGTAGTGTGGCACAGAAGTGCTAATATTTACCAAAATAAAAGTTATATTTTTAATTAAAAATTAATTAAAAGGTTGTAGAATCTCAGGATGGAATGCAGACTGTTACAAATTTATCTAGCTCTATTATGAACCATACAAAATAACTTCAGTGAGGGACTTAAGGGAAAGGGTGCTAGTCAAAGTGATATTGAAAATGAGTGCAGTCTCTTAAGATGAAAGGCAAAAGAAACTTGTACGAAGGCATTTAATTTAGTTGATAAAGATGTTCTTCTACTAAGGGCAGGTTATCAATTCTGGTACAGCTATATACATATACTGGAAGTGAACAATTAACTAAATAGATGTCACAAAATAAGAGTCAGGATTTTTATTGTTGGAGTGGGGGTTTAGAGATACAGGAAGGCATTGATGCTTGCGGGACTAGGTTAGAGGTAGTGACATCAGTAAGAACCCATGTTTAGCTTAATATAGACATAGATGGTGATATGGTTTACATTTTGTCCCCTCTCAAACCTCTCGTCCAATTGTAATCGCCAGTGTTGAAGGAGGGGTCTAGTGGGAGGGGATTGGATTATGGGGGCAGATTTCCTCCTTGCTGTTCTTGTGATAATGACTTAGTTCTCACACAATCTGGTTGTTTAAAAGTGTGTAGCATCTCCCCCTTAGTTCTCTTCCTCCTTCTCCAGCCATGTAAGATGTGCCTGCTTCCTCTTTGCCTTCTGCTATGACTGTACGTTTTCTGAGGCTTCCCCATCCTTGCTTCCTGTACAGCCTGTGCAACTGTGAGGCAATTAAAGCTCTTTTCTTTATAAATTACCTAGGATCAGGTAGTTCTTTATAACAATGGGATAATGGACTAATATAGATGTTTACATATAGAAATATTTAAAGATATGTGTCTACATATGTGTAAGAATATACACATTGTTTCTTTGCTCTCTCATCTTAGAGAGCTATGAAAAAATTGATATTCCCTTAGCTACAGGCACAGCTAGCACTTAAATATTGATTTCATATATAGAAAGCAGGGCGTCTTTGAAAGTGGCTGATTCTAAGAATGGGGAAGAAAATACACAAGATGAGCCTGGGACATCCTCTAGTGCCAGAAATTATGAAAATACTAACAAAAATCTATTTGTGAGATATGTCAAACAAGCACAGGGGCCAAGTGAAAGGTCTTTCAATTTCTAGAATAATTTTAGCAACACAATACATTAATTGGTATTATATTTGGATTATACCCAAAAATGTAATTTTCCTTAGTCCATATTGATATCAATAAATGACTGAATAAACAAATGAATGAGATAAAAGAGGTAAATCTCCTCTGCAAATAATTTACATATGTATTCCAACTAAAGGAAGTCAGCTCTTAAAGACATCTTAAGCAATACTGCAACTGAATTAGCTTTCCAAAGATACTGTCACAATTCATCTATTCCAAGACCTATACATTTCATATTTTAATATCTCCTGAAAATATAATGCATTTTACAATTCAGTGGTATGTCTTAGTTTAATTAGCCACAATGCGAATTACTTGCTTAACGGGACATAAAATAGTGCATTATACAATCTATGGGCTCTTGGACTCAAGAAAATACGATAGAAAGGAGTTTATGTTAGAGTCTGCGCACTGACTAAAGATCAGAGCAGAAAGCAGATTCTAGGAACAGTCACATTTGTGGCAGTCACTGGTCTCGGCATGCAACAAAATTCAAAGTAAATAGTGGTAAGGTGGGAAATGGACAAAGCTATGTAGCTAGAATCAGAAGTCCTTGAAATCAAAACATCAAGATTCAAACTATTTAGGGGCAGTGGGGCTGACGTGGTGACCGTGGGCCTGATCAGATAAAACCTTTACAAAGAAACAGTAGCTCTCAGACTCACCTCCTGAGACAGAGTTGTTCTGAGGGGAAAATGGGTAAGTTTCCACAGTAACATACAGTACTTAAACATACAGTAAGATACAGTACTTAAAGCCCTGACCTGTCCAGTTCCCAACACATCTTTCTTGATGGGCACCTAAATGTCACCTTTTGGTTTTATTTTTGTGTTTTTCTCATCTAAGCTCGGAGAGCAAAGCCTGACAGGGTGAGCCCCCAAAGTGTGTTCATGTCTTAAGAGTGTCCAGAAGCCACCTAGGGAGTGTGCAAGTTTTTCATTTTCATGCCAGGGACAATGTCTCTCTTTATTGAGCTAATGGCAAGGTATGGGCCTCAGAATATGTACAGTTTGAACATATTTGCATCTTCCCTTTAATTAACTGTGAAATCTGTGAGGCTAATGAGAAGAAAATTGATGGGTAGTCGGTGGAAGAATTTTTTTTTCATTGTCATATCTTCAACTTTCCTGGGGTATAATAAGAGATGCACAGTCAATTCAGTATACTTGAAATGTGTGATGTGGTCAAATTTGAGATAGATATATATATATATGTATATACTTTTGGAAATATCACTACATTCACAACCATCATTATGAAAAGTTTTCTTGTGCACCTCAGTAATCAGTCTCTCCCTCCATGCTGTCTCCAGGCAGCCATTTGATTTTCCATCAGGTAACATGAGTGAGAAGAAAATGTCTGTTGCAAGCTATTGAAATTTTGTGGTTGTTCACTTTTTAGAAACTCTTTGGAATTTTCTTTCTCATATCTTTATTAACATATAAAGTGTCTGTCTGGCATACTTTCAGATAATGTAAATAATATACTCAGCAATTGTTTTGTGCTGGGCTTCCATTTAATCTTTCAAGATCATATGGATTTTTATAGCTTTATATGTTGTGTTTGGCATCTTAAGCTCACTATCTACCTACTGACTCTTAAATCCCAAACTCTAAAGAGGTTCTGAAGATTCCAAAGATGCTATTCACATCCGGTAAGTTTAGGGCAGGAAAACTGGTAAACCTCCTATAACATGAGGCTAGAGCCCACAACAAAATTATCAGGTCCAAAAATGTCAATAGTATTGAAGGTGAGACAATTTCTAGGGAGATATTACACCTTGATATTCTCATTTAATATGCTGGTAATGTAATCCAGCATTTTTCCAAAAATGAGAATAGCCTGGTGGCCTTAAATGTCATTGTTTTACTCTTACTTACATTGGACTAAAGAATGAGTTCAAATGCAGCTGAATAATTTGGATATTTAAAGCAATAACATTTTTCACTAACGCGCATAGGCTTAATGCCTGGGTGACAAAATAATCTGTATACCTATTTACCTATAGGTTTACCTATATAACAAACCTGCACATATACCCCTGAACTGAAAATAAAAGTTAATAAATAAAGTAATTACATTTGTTTAGAAATAAAATAAATTTAGAAATGGAAAATATTGTTGAAAATATTCTAAGAATTTTAAATTTATACATTAAAATAAAAATAATCTGAATATTATTACCAACAGAAAATCTTTGTCTTGATCTCAAATTCCAAGTAGAATACCTTTAGACTATCTCTAGCAATAGCTAACAGAATAAGATTTACAAATCTTGATAGATCATTTTTCATGCCTGTGTCATTTTAAAATGAATTGATGGCTGTTAAAACTTAATTTAATTTGAGTCTCTTCCGGATCATATACATAGTTTTACAGACAGCCATGTTCAATGAAATTATAATATGTAACACAAGAAATATGCCAGATGTAAAGTAAGAATCTCTTTTAAACGCTCTGATATTCAAAAATCTTTATCAGATTTCCTAAACTAACGATTTTAAACAAAACCTTTTAGTTAAGAAAGCATTGGTCTCAATAGTAAATCTGCCAATATGAATTGCTGCATTTTATTTTTGAACTTTCTAAAGGCCATCTGCCAGAGTAATTAGATATAAAATCCTGCATGCAATCTAATATTAGATGAAAAGTTTAAACTACCAATGATACAATATTGATGCACAGAGGAATGAATTGATTTTTTATGTTATTCTCAAATTGAAAGTCAATCTTTTTATAAAATAAATTTATAAATAAATCCAAATATGATATTTTAGCTCACTTTTGACAGTAGGTTTTCAGTTTCTGATGTTAACAATGGCATAATTATGATTTGCTGAATGACTTTAAAGTGATCGGATAAGGAAACAATTAGGGTTTGCAGTAGCTGGAGAAAGAAAAAAAAGAAATATTTAGATATTGCATACTCAATATGGCACATACTACGTCACAGGCTTTAATATCAGTTGACTACTCTCTTTAGAAGGAGTACGGTTTGACCTAGACCAGTTTATTTATTCATTTTTGTAATAATTTTTCCTCATTCTCTTTGACACATTGGTTAACCTAAAATTACTGTGTTGCTTAGGACATTGACTAAAAATCGTAGTCTTTCAGTTTGTGGCTGCTCACAGGATTTTTTTTTTTTTTTTGCTTTGGCTTACTAAATAATCTTTTATTGGAGTTAAAACAACAAAGCTAGTAAAGATATATAAATCAATGCCAAAAAAAAGGAGACAGGCCTACTTATATGCCATTATCTTCTGTTATTGCCGTTGGATAGAAGACAGACATTATCATTTTTAATCAATTGTATACTTCATAAATATGATACAACAGATATTTTTACTTCCAAGATTATACATAGAGTTTTTATGATTCCTTTGTGAGTGTGAACTATATAGCTGTCCCTAAAACATAATTGAGAACAGAAAGGTTTTATTTTTAATTATATAATTTTCTTGCCCAAGTTATATGGATTCATAGGTTACAGAATGTATAACAATATACATTTTTTGCATTTTTAAATTTACTGTATAATTTATTTCTGAAACCAAATTTGATATACAACTATGTAAACCATTAAATATGATCTGGATTAAAATAATCTTAACAGACAAATCCAAAAACACTGCATTTTATTATTTCTATTTCTAATGTTACCTCCAGGTTTAGACTCCCCTAAGTAATTGACTCTACCTATTATGTTTGTGTTTTGAAACATCACTCTATATTGTAACAAAAAGAAAAATGACACAATTAGTTTCCTATATGTACACAAAAATTTTCAGTTTTAAATAAGGAAATATAGTTTTGAAATTTAAAAAAGTAAATGTTATAATATTTTCTCAAATAATTTACTACTCATATTCCCATTGCTTAGTTTCATTAATTTTTACACTCACATTTTACATATCCAAGATATATTTCCAGCTTTATTTTCAGAATGAACTGCTAGGATCTTAGATGAGTTTATTATTTTGCACGAGGTGCCACTGCTTGACACCTGATTGTGTGTATACCCCCCCCTTTTTTTTTTATATACTTTTAAGTTTTAGGGTACATGTGCACAATGTGCAGGTTAGTTACATATGTATACATGTGCCATGCTGGTGTGCTGCACCCACTAACTCGTCATCTAGCATTAGGTATATCTCCGAGTGCTATCCCTCCCCCCTCCCCCCACCCCATAACAGTCCCCAGAGTGTGATGTTCCCCTTCCTGTGTCCATGTGTTCTCATTGTTCAATTCCCACCTATGAGTGAGAACATCCGGTGTTTGGTTTTTTGTCCTTGCGATAGTTTACTGAGAATGATGATTTCCAATTTCATCCATGTCCCTATAAAGGACATGAACTCATCATTTTTTATGGCTGCATAGTATTGCATGGTGTATATGTGCCACATTTTCTTAATCCAGTCTATCACTGTTGGACATTTGGATTGGTTCCAAGTCTTTGCTGCCCAAGGTAATTTATAGATCCAATGCCATCCCCATCAAGCTACCAATGACTTTCTTCACAGAATTGGAAATAACTACTTTAAAGTTCGTATGGAACCAAAAAAGAGCCCGCATTGCCAAGTCAATCCTAAGCCAAAAGAACAAAGCTGGAGGCATCACGCTACCTGACTTCAAACTATACTACAAGGCTACAGTAACCAAAACAGCACGGTACTGGTACCAAAACAGAGATATAGATCAATGGAACAGAACAGAGCCCTCAGAAATAACGCCGCATATCTACAACTATCTCATCTTTGACAAACCTGAGAAAAATAAGCAATGGGGAAAGGATTCCCTATTTAATAAATGGTGCTGGGAAAACTGGCTAGCCATATGGAGAAAGCTGAAACTGGATCCCTTCCTTACACCTTATACAAAAATTAATTCAAGATGGATTAAAGACTTAAACGTTAGACCTAAAACCATAAAAACCCTAGAAGAAAACCTACGCATTACCATTCAGGACACAGGCGTGGGCAAGGACTTCATGTCTAAAACACCAAAAGCAATGGCAACAAAAGCCAAAATTGACAAATGGGATCTAATTAAACTAAAGAGCTTCTGCACAGCAAAAGAAACTACCATCACAGTGAACAGGCAACCTACAGAATGGGAGAAAATTTTCGCAACCTACTCATCTGACAAAGGGCTAATATCCAGAATCTACAATGAACTCAAACAAATTTACAAGAAAAAAACAAACAACCCCATCAAAAAGTGGGCGAAGGACATGAACAGACACTTCGCAAAAGAAGACATTTATGCAGCCAAAAAACACATGAAAAAATGCTCACCATCACTGGCCATCAGAGAAATGCAAATCAAAACCACGATGAGATACCATCTCACACCAGTTAGAATGGCAATCATTAAAAAGCCAGGAAACAACAGGTGCTGGAGAGGATGTGGAGAAATAGGAACACTTTTATACTGTTGGTGGGACGGTAAACTAGTTCAACCATTGTCGAAGTCAGTGTGGCGATTCCTCAGGGATCTAGAACTAGAAATACCATTTGACCCAGCCATCCCATTACTGGGTATATACCCAAAGGATTATAAATCATGCTGCTATAAAGACACATGCACACGTATGTTTATTGCGGCACTATTCACAATACCCCATTCTTTAGACTTTTAAAATCAATACCCACTCTTCCCCACGAACAAGAGAAAGTAAAAACAACTAACAGTGGATTTCTGTATCACGATGACTCATTTTCAATAGAACACTACCATAGGTCAAATGGATGAATGCATAAATAATGAATGGATTAATATCTTTTACATAATCATGTGCCACATAACAACGTTTACATCAATAAGAGACAGCATGTAAAACAATGGCTCATTAAGATTATAATAGGGTTGAAAAATTGCTATCACCATTATAGATTGATCACTCTATGAAGTTTGCACAGTAAGATAATCACCTAGCCACACACTTCTCAGAACATATCCTCATTGCTAAGTGACACAAGGCTGTATTTCATTTAATGATTGCGTAAATAGTTGTTGAGAAAAATCTGCACTCTAAGTACCAGGATAAAAGAGATTAATAATAAATTAATGATTAAATGCACCATGATCAATCTTATCATTGAGGTCTATATGCTACATTTGGATTACATCGTAAAGGCAGAGGTTAATCATCGCAACTTACACAACAGGATACAGAGTGGATCAGCAGATAATTACATAATAGAATACAGTTTGAAACCTGCAAGATGCATTAGAATTAATTAGAATCAAACCATATGTGTGACTTTGGTTTAAATGTGCAAAACCTATTAATATAGATATAGCCAGGACATTTCTATTGTGTGTGTGTATATATATATATATATATATATATATAGTGTGTGTATATATATATACACACACACACATATACATGTATATATACATACATACATATATATATTTTATATATATATATATATATATATATATATATTTTGTGTGTGTGTGTGTGTGTGTGTGTGATGGAGTTTCGCTCTTGCTGCCCAGGCTGGAGTGCAATGGCATGGTTTCAGCTCACTGCAACCTCCGCTTCCAAGGTTCAAGCAATTCTCCTGCCTCAGCCTCCCAAGTGGCTGGAATTACAGGGGCCAACCACCACACCAGGCATATCTTTGTATTTTTAGTAGAAACTGCTTTCACCATGTTGGCCAGGCTGGTCTCGAACTCCTGACCTCAAGTGATCTACCCCCTCGGCCTCCCAAAGTGCTGGGATTACAGGTGTGACTCACTGTACCCAGTTTGTCTTTATAAATCTTATAGAAATATTTAACTTTTAAAATCAACCACACACAATTAAGACTTTGATAAAAGTAATTAAGAAGTAAAGCAATGGAAAAAGCAATTTTTAAAAACATATATGAATGATTGAAAGCCAGGAGTAAAATTAAGAATTGTATTAAAATATCACTATTAAAATTAGCTACATAAATATTTAATTAATGCAGCTAAATTGTTAACAAAATTTACAGAAGAAAAGTATGTTAACATTACTGAATCATCTTAAAATCTTATTAAAATTTAAAGTTCTTCTCAACTGAAATTATATCACAGAAAAAAATAATGTCACCTTAAAAAGTTTAGGATTAGAAATACATAATTATTTTTAAATATAGTCTTTATATATTAATTATATTTCATTAATGTCTTATTTCTTGAATAAACTTTTTTCATGATACTATTTAAGTGCCACATTCTACAATAATATGGAAAACAATTCTACAAAATGTGGCATACAGTAATTGATAGGTAGTATAGCACACCTTTTATCTCTTTATAGCAAAAACATAATGTGTAAATTAATATAACACTAAGTCCCATATTGTCATTTTTTGTCAAAGAGCTATCTCCTTGAAAACCATCATCCTCAGATGCATCTCTAACTTCAAAAAGACCTTAGAAACTGTAACAATTGTAAATGCGTTATAACTTAAAGAGATATTATCTTCACATTAGAGGCTAACAGGCTTATACCTACTGATAGCTGACAAGTATTATAGGAATCCTGGCAGGCAAATTGTTGCATAAAAATTATGTAATTTACTAACTGTAAAATAACCTTTAGAGTTTAGAATCAGTCAGATAAGTAGAACAGACAATTGTTATCAAAGCCATATAAATGGCTATTAAAATTATTTTTTGCTACCCTCATTTTATCTCTGAAGAGACATCTTGTTAAAAAATGAATAACAGACACATATAAATACCTAATTACAAGCAGAGTTAAGATTAAAATTCAGCCTCATTAGGGGTGGGATAGAAATCAGTACACTAAAGAATATTTTGGTGCAGGTAGTTTGTTTCAAATGATTCAACCTTCAACATTACTTCACTTAAATTTTAGCAAACTTTCTGCTATAATTTAAGCATACAGACCTATGACACTAGACATATGTCCTGTGTAAGCCTGGGCTAGGGGAGCTCTATTTAATACTTACATAAACCCCAAAGATGTCCTAAGAAATAAAATTTGGAAAAACTTTGATGTGCTACAGCACGGATTTTCTCCTACAGCAACAGAGCAGACACTTGAATGTAGTTATACTCCTGCTTTCCACCTCCCTGTCAAAACAATAAAAAAGGCCACAGGCCTGTGGTTCTGGCCTCCAGGGAACTGGTGGCTTCTTTAACCCACACTGCTGCTGCTGAATCCCATTTAGGTTTAGGGTTTATTTTGTATATGCCTTTGTACAGGCTAAATGCTGGTCTAGTTGAAAATCAACCTAAAACAACCTTAATAGCATCTCATTTTATTGTGACTTTACTTTTTGTGTTGTTTGGTGTTTTACTTTTGGAGACAGAGTCTTAATCTGTCACCAAGGCTGGAGTGCAGTGGCATGATTATGGCTCAACCTCCAGGCTCAAGTGACCCTCCCACTTCAGCCACCTGAGTAGCTGATACCACAGGAACATGCCACCACATAAGGCTAACTTAAAGAACATTTTTTTAGATGGGATCTCACTATGTTGCCCAGGCTGATCTTGAGCTCTTTGCCCCAAGCAATCCTCCCACCTTGGCCTCCCAAAGTGCAGGGATTATAGGTGTGAGCCACTATGCCAGGCCTCTCTCATGACTTTAAACTTGAACATGCTTTTGTGCTGTGGCCGAGTTTAGGATCCCAACCAGCCTGTGATTACTGTGGTCACCACACAGATTCCCTCTTGTTCCATCTTTTATATTCCATCTTCTCACTCTCATAACTGTGTGGATAGGAAAACAATTATCCATACAGGTATGATATTGGCAGAGAAAATCACAAAATGTTTTAATGAGCAAACACTTTGGGGATGGTAATAATCTTTCTACCACCTTCATTGTCTTGTTTAAGTATCTCTACATTCTTCTTTAAAAATTAGGAATATATCTTTCTTGCTCTTTCGTTGTTGTTGAACACCAGAAGGGGATATTCCTTAATTCTCTCTCCATAGCTAAGGACAGTACAGCACAATATTCCATTCAGCAGGTGAAGTCAGTATGAATGAATGCATTTCAATCAGCAAATTGCTGGTTGTGTTGCAACTCCTAGTTATGATGTTTTGTGTACTTTGAAGGGCTCCCATTAATTAAGGTATTTCTTATAAGCATTCAGAAAGTTTCTTTTCTTGGCATGCGACTTGAAAATTTGTCCTGATATTTTCCCTGTGACAATGTTTTGTGAATTGTAACTCAGCCACTTAAGTGGCTCCTCATAATAAAGCCACATGGTATCCATGTACACATATTTAACAAATCAAAGAAGTGGTTCTCAACCTAATCTCTAGAGGAGGTCCTTCTTGTTCACTTTCAATAACTATGTTGAAGAATAGATTCTAAAAAGCTATCACCAAATTTTCGAATATGTTTTGAAATTTGTGTCCACAAAATCTATAAATCAATAAATGTATAGAATAGAGCATAATAATCCAATTAACAAATTTAAGATGTCATCTAAGCAGGAATGAATGCAATAAATAGGCCTTCTTACTTCAAAATCAACTGCAGAGGTAATGCATTGCCACTAGACTTGTGTGCTGTGTTGGTAATAAATTAACAAAAACTTTGGGGATAAGAAAAATCTGCAAATAAAATGGTGTGTCATTTGTGAAATATAATCACAAAAATGTTCAGATTGTTATAATTAACAGAAAAACTATTGTTTTTATTATATCCAGTGTTTAACAGACACTATTCATGTATACATACAACATTCTTATAATAACTCTTGTGTCCATGTAAATAGCAGTCTTGCCAAAAAGAATTGATTATCATGTAGTAGTTTGTAAGTATTTTCATGCATAGGCTGCAACCCTTTAGAGTGCTATTCTAATAAATTATTAATATTAACTTGATGAACACAATTCTAAGACATTTCATTTGAGGATATGTTTATTAACTATTAGGTTGGTACAAAAGGCATTGCGTTTTTTGCCATTACTTTCAATAAAAAATAGAACCAGCATTTAGAAATCTACTTTCAGAAACTTAATAAAATGAGAATTTGTCCTCTTTTACATATAGGAAGCCTGCATAATAAGCATTCTGTTGCTAGTACATAAGCTTCCCATTTTCATCAGGAAACTATACACTTACATTTCACTTTTACTAACTTCAATGCATGACTTCTACCTTCAAGGTGATTTCATGCTTCTAGCCACCATGTCTGTACTCCAGGACAGCAGCACAAAGTGTAGAAAAATAAAAAAGACATACCTCCCTAATGAGTCAACTGCACTTAAGGAGCCATCCCAGAAGTTTCACACGGCTTATTTGAATACAGCTATATCCAGATGCAAGGAATGCTGGGAAATGTGGTATTGTGCGCAGCTAAAGTTGGGATTATGTTAGTGAAAATGAGACCACGAACATTGGAAGGTTAAAAGCAATCTCTCATGACATATACAATTACAGAAATTAAATTAAATCTTTAAGCAATGTGATAAACCTATGGAATGTTAACAGGCAAAAATAGCAACATTAAAAATTACAGTGAGGGAATAAGGTATGATTCGTTTGTAGATGGTTTGTGTGTCATTAATCTAGGCAAAAAGTCATAAACTCCTCTAACAGTGACCACATGTATAAAAGAAATAATAATACACACTATGGCTAACAACATTCCATTTTGGCCTATTTACTGTTGTTAAGTCTCTATGGTTAGCATCAGAAATGTACAGTTTTGATAGCCTATGACCTCAACATGTTCAGTTTGATAGTAGAAAGGACAACATAAAGACAAACCAATCAACAAGTAAGAATAAAAACTGTTAAAAAAAGGACAATATTATCATAAGAACATAAGGATGTGATAATGTATTTGACATATCGTTTATTTATTGTTTTATAGTTGGATAATACATATAAATTTACTGCTCCTTCAATGTTAGAATCAATAGAATCATAGCAGAAGTAATTAAGCAGATAAAGATCAAAACGTCACCTTTATTACTTACTGTTTGAAAAATAGTCTAAGGCTGGTTTTACAGGGTTGCTCCTATCCATCACCTGATGTGAAGTTTCTTAGGAAGCTTCAGGACTACACCAAAGAAGCAGAACCTGCTCTTTCACTCTGTTGCATTGTGTGGAGTGCAGGCCATCATGACTGCTCTCTACAAGAAAAAGAAAGGAAATAATTAAGAAACGCACAAAAGTTTGTGAATTGAGAATCCCAAAATAGGTATGAAATTGGTTAGCTTTCTAAATTCACCAATCTCATAACTAACACCTGTCCCCATGCAGTGAATGAGTAAAGGATGGACAGACTCCATAATGATTATTCTAGGGAAAGCCTTCTGAGTAGAAAGAGGAGAGTTTTGCAAACAGTTTTGTAGAGTTTACTCTTGTTTATGCACTGATAATAAATAAGAGTTCCTAAAATTCTCTCTAGAACTCTAGGTAAATGAGATATTTCACTGCTCATGCTGTGTGACCTTCATGTCCCATCTGCCTAGACTGTAAATATGCTTTCTGAAGTTTAAAAGAATTAGTATACTATGCTTACATTAAGCAAAAAAGTACCCTTATTATGCAGGATCAAGTAACACTCTAAAGATTCATGTTTATGAAAAAACACTGATGATTCTATTTTATTATGTGTCTTCTAAAGAGAAAAATACTTGTGCTCTGCAGCATAATTTTACAATGTGCTATTCTAAATACTTTCATTTAAACAAGACCATTATGAAAATGTTTTGCACACAGAAATATATTTTGAATACTTTTTTAAAAAGATCACAAAGTATATGGTCTCTGTACGTGTTCAATTATTTTAATGCTTTCACTATAACAGGAATTCTTAAAGAGGATATGTACTTGCATAATGCTGATAATTCTTTCTCATTTCTGTTTGTGCTTTGGCTGTTGTTACAACCACTGAAAGTAGTAATTACATGAGTGTATTATCCATGATTATCTTTAGATATATGTGCATTTTCTTTAATTAAACTATAAACTCTAAATGAAAAATAAAAAAGAAGTCACCTCTTGTCTCTTTGTACAATATTAAAATTTTTTTCTTGTATCCAGAGTTTCCCAAATGCCTGTTGCAAAATTTTACTTAGGGAGTAGAAAGTGGAGAATCAATATGGTAAAAAAAAACTGTGTTACAGGGAAGGAGACACAGGGTAAGCATTTTCCTTATCTTCTCTCCTGTATCTACGTGCTGCACAAGCATAAATGATAGCAGTCACATGAACGAGTACTTTTCAAGAACGTAGAATATGGTGATGGAAAAAAAAAACCGCTTTGAAACATCGAATAATATAAAAGCCAGAACTACTACAACTATTTTTTACATCCATAGAAGGTAAACTATTTTTAGATATAAAATTCCTTCTGACGGTAGTCCTGATCATTTAACCAATATTTTGATAAATCAAAGAAGGGAAAAATGGACATTCAGTCCAAAGATGGGCATGTATTCCCATGCCCAGTCAGGCAAAATTGTGGATGTTCTTTAAAATAACAATTCATTCAACAAATAATTTTTAAATGGCTACTGAATACCTGGAAAGGTTCTAGACACAGGGGCTATAGTAAGAAACAAGAAGGAACTAATTGACAAGAATGTGCTCACCGACAATGAAACATCTCCTCATGGAGCTTGAGTTCTGTTTGAAAAGACAGAGAACAAAAAAATATTATTGCACAGAGTGTTAGTTATGTGTGAATTAAAAGACTGGTCAGTACTTGAAGGAGAAGGAGTGACAACAAATCTCACTTCCAGTTCTATTTACCTGAACAGATTAATTCTATTTTGTTTCAATGCAACAGTAGTCCTACGGTTAACAAGATGCACTACACAAAGCAAACAACTTATAAAACGCATTTTTTCCTTATATTGCAAATCAATTTTAAGTGGATCTACAAATATACAATAAATAATATAAATTACGGATCGTTTGTTTCTAAGGTAATAAGTACATTTGTTAATTTCACATAAATAATTTCAGAAGGAGAGCAAATGTAAAAATGTGTTTTAGACAGTGGAGATGCCATTTTATTGTAAGACTATTTATACTCAAAGGACAAAGTAATCAGCTTTCTATGTCAATGATCGTCCTTCTCTATTTCACCCAGTTCCAGACAAACCCAAGTCTTCCAAGTCTCTTCATATATCTGATCCAATAAAATCTATAATGAGTTCAGTTAGCATACACACACACACACACACACACCACACACACACAAGCACACAAACACACACACGACTGCATTGAAATACTTGCTCTAGGGAAGGAACATAGTGTATATGCAACTTGTGTACTTTCTAAGTATGGGAAGACTAATCCTTTAACAACTGCATTTACTTTCTTTCACTTCTATCGTTGCTATCTACTCCTCAGAAATCTACTTAAACAACCAATAAATATATATGATGTTGTTATGAGAGTTTTGGAAATAATTCCTAAAAATTTGCATGGTTGCCTCTTTATATTTGGCAGCTTCTATCACCCATGGGAACAACCCCTACAGAATGATCAGAATATAAAGCATGTGAGCCCTGGGTTTCTCAGGCACTGGAAGGACCTGTCAGAATCCTCTCAGGTGGGTCAAAATGGCCAGGCTTTATAACCTCATCTCCATTCGTGTTTGCATGTCCAGTGCTCCAGGATGCCCTAACATTGAGCCAGACAATGGTTACAGCTGAGGCAAACTTTGAAGGAGCTGAGAGCTGAAGGCTGCTTTGTAATATTGCTCCTAGCAGCCAAGGGGGAAAGAAATCTTTTCTTGAAGAGCGATCTGTGTCCATAGCAAAATGTTTTTTTCTTAGCTCTTGTAAAATCGAAATTGTTTGCTTTTGAATTTTTTTAAATGATTCCTTTAAGATTCTTAATACCAAGATATCACAAGGTCAAGGAATTTTATAAAGAAGTATTTCTATTTATGTAATTTCCTAAATTTATCTATACACAAATCAGCACTAAAACATGCCTTTGATACTAACAACTTGATCGGTTTGTGAACCAAATCTGTCATGCAAATACATACGGCTGTTTTTAGATAAATTCTAAAGGTATTACCAAATCATTTAATTTTATTGTGTATCTCAATATTCTGGTTGATGTATAAGTTTAAATAGAACAAACTATTTGACATTGAAATGTTCTTTATCAAAGGAGAAGGAATACAATTTTAAAGCCACAACGAGTGACACATAGTTCTGAATGATTTATTGGCTGTCTGCCATTCTGAAATGGCTGCCAGTCAATGTTACATGTGACATCTTTCAGATAGTGTGAACTCTTTTATGCAAGCACCTTTCACTATAAAATTACAGCTGGAGATCATGAAGAGAAAAGTGTGGTGTTTATCTTAATGGGCTGAAAGACCTATTTCAACAGTTACAGTAATTCAGAAAAATAGTCTGAAGTCTAGTATTTCAATAATGTTATTTTCATAGATTTTAATCTCTAAAGACAATGCTTCACTTTTGTAGAAAATGACTTTTCTAATCATCCTGGATTTCAAAATTCTTTCCATTACTTAATATTTAAATCACTGGCAGAACTTGGCATGAGGACTAGAGAGCTGTCACCAAGCAGCCAGTCATTTTTCTTGGCTTCCCATATGCCATGCCCAGCAATAGAGCATTTCTTAGTAGCTGAGGAATAGCAGCAGTGCTAAACACAGAGATGACATTAACAGGAATGAGAGGGTCCAAGCTGTTTTCCTAGACTAATTCTCATTCAGCCTGAATTCAAAGCATTTTCCTATCATTATCATAGATATTTCGCTTGTGGTATTATCTATCTTTTGGCAATGTTGATTTTTTTCTGATTATCCAAATAAGTAATGTTAATGGAAAAAATCAGATATTAGGGGAAAAAAAACTCTAGAAATAAATGTTAACCCAAGACAATAACAATTCAATTAATTTATATGATACCTTAGGGATTGTGTCAATTATTTTTTAAATGAAATTCAAAAAATTCAACACCTGTGTTTTCTCCTACGATTACAAATTCAACTAGGGCACAATTGTAAATGGTTGTATTTGGTTGAATTTTTAGATTGTTTATAAGTTTTACTCTTGCAGACAATAATAATGGAGTTTCTTTGAAAATAAATTTAGTTGTTCTATAACCAAGGCATAAATATTCAATTCAATAAAATTAGCAAAAATATTAAATGAAAAGTATATTATATATAAAATGCATAAATAAAATATCCTGCACTGATCATTTTATGTCTATGGTTACCCTACTGATTCTGTGCACATTTGCATATGGGTATATATGCAATTTTATACAATGAAGTATTAATAGTGTACATAAATTTAGTAATTATTTTACCCCTTAAAAGTATATGCAATGAGTGTCACTTATATATAAATTCTGTTAACGTGGAAGAAGAATGTTAGTCAAAAAAACTACGAATTTAACAATTTTCTGGTTAATTCAAAGGGCTTTCCAAAAATGTCTTTTAAAATTCAATTTCATTTATTTTCTCATAGCAGAATATGAGAATGAATCTTTTTTGCTGCAAATTGGCTAGCAATAAATTTTTATTTTTATTATTTTAATTCTGTGAATTTCGGGAATGGAGTCTCATTCAGTATAAATATTATAATACTAATGAGATTGACTCCCTCCTTCTTATTAACAGTGTGCATTTTTACCCTCCGTGATTCAGTGCATGGTGTAGTGCTATAATTAAAAATGAACATTTTTTTTTAAATTTTATTATTATTATATTTCAAGTTTTAGGGTACATGTGCACAATGTGCAGGTTAGTTACATATGTATACATGTGCCATGCTGGTGTGCTGCACCCATTAACTCGTCATTTAGCATTAGATATATCTCCTAATGCTTTCCCTCCCCCCTTCCCCCACCCCACAACAGTCCCCAGCGTGTGGTGTTCCCCTTCCTGTGTCCATGTGTTCTCATTGTTCAATTCCCACCTATGAGTGAGAACATCCGGTGTTTGGTTTTTTGTCCTTGCGATAGTTTACTGAGAATGATGATTTCCAATTTCATCCATGTCCCTACAAAGGACATGAACTCATCATTTTTTATGGCTGCATAGTATTGCATGGTGTATATGTGCCACATTTTCTTAATCCAGTCTATCACTGTTGGACATTTGGATTGGTTCCAAGTCTTTGCTGCCCAAGGTAATTTATAGATCCAATGCCATCCCCATCAAGCTACCAATGACTTTCTTCACAGAATTGGAAATAACTACTTTAAAGTTCGTATGGAACCAAAAAAGAGCCCGCGTTGCCAAGTCAATCCTAAGCCAAAAGAACAAAGCTGGAGGCATCACGCTACCTGACTTCAAACTATACTACAAGGCTACAGTAACCAAAACAGCACGGTACTGGTACCAAAACAGAGATATAGATCAATGGAACAGAACAGAGCCCTCAGAAATAACGCCGCATATCTACAACTATCTCATCTTTGACAAACCTGAGAAAAATAAGCAATGGGGAAAGGATTCCCTATTTAATAAATGGTGCTGGGAAAACTGGCTAGCCATATGGAGAAAGCTGAAACTGGATCCCTTCCTTACACCTTATACAAAAATTAATTCAAGATGGATTAAAGACTTAAACGTTAGACCTAAAACCATAAAAACCCTAGAAGAAAACCTACGCATTACCATTCAGGACACAGGCGTGGGCAAGGACTTCATGTCTAAAACACCAAAAGCAATGGCAACAAAAGCCAAAATTGACAAATGGGATCTAATTAAACTAAAGAGCTTCTGCACAGCAAAAGAAACTACCATCACAGTGAACAGGCAGCCTACAGAATGGGAGAAAATTTTCACAATCTACTCATCTGACAAAGGGCTAATATCCAGAATCTACAATGAACTCAAACAAATTTACAAGAAAAAAACAAACAACCCCATCAAAAAGTGGGCGAAGGACATGAACAGACACTTCTCAAAAGAAGATATTTATGCAGCCAAAAAACACATGAAGAAATGCTCACCATCACTGGCCATCAGAGAAAAACGAACATTTCAAAGATGTGCTTCCAAATGCCAAATCATCACTAAAAAGCTCTGTGGCATAGAGGAAATTTCACAACCTTTTAGTGCCTCAATTTTGTGGAAGAATGGTTAGGAGGCTATTGCAATAACAAAAGAAAATTTGAATAGCTGTATCCAACATGAAAAGATTGCTAGTAGAATTAAATGAGTTACTATAGGTAAAACAATCAGGGAAGTAATTAAAGAGAATCTGCACTAACATTGTTTTATTAATTTAAAATATCTGTACACAATCCTTTGACTCATTTGGAATTAGTTTTAGTGTATTTTAGAAAATAAGGTTTATTTTTTATTTTCTCCCAAAACAATTCTTCAAGACAACTTTTCGAACAGTAAATTCCTTCTTTGTTTATAATATGTATTTTAATAAAGTCACTTATCTTCATGATTTCTAGGACATCGGTTCTATCTAATCTACTGTTCAGCATTCGTCTGAGTATTTTCTGAGCAGCAATTAACCCCTCTGTACCTCTGAGTGCCCACATTTCCTTGATCCATTTCACCTTGCTGATCAATCCTTCTTTACTCATAGTCTAAATTTTTTTTTTAGAACTTCTGAGAGTGCCCCAAACCTTGGTCTTGGGTCTTCCTTCAATCTTATTTGTCTTTCCACCTGATCTTAATTATTTACATCACATTATACCCTATCTTTATGGTGACAAATCTCAAAATTATCTCTCTGACCTAAACTTATCATTAAAGATTTGGTTGCAACTTATTAAGAAGTCAGGTTCAATGTAATACATGCATTGTTGATTTAATAAGCTCATCAAAATACTTAAAATTTTATTTGAATGCAAAAAAATAAAGCTTTTAATTTTATCTCCTATTTAATAATTTTGACAAAAACATTATACCAATCATTACTAATTATTGCTGGCTTTTAAAATATTATCTGATTAAATATTTTTGACTTGGAAAAATGGTAACAAATGCTTCTCTCTTTCTTGTCCCCTTGAACCATACTTGATATTGCTTTTTCCAAATCCGGGCCACAAGTTCAGAATATAACCTGTTAAAATATCTTCTGTGTATAAACTATCTTTAAATTTTCTTGAGAGAATACTGAGTAACCAAAAGCATTGCTCCTTCACCCTACAAAAGAGAGAAAAATTAAAAAATCACATTAATTTGTAATTTTAAATGGTAATTAAAGCTATTGTGAGGGCTCTTTTATCGGCCAAACTTGTGAACAAAAAACAGCTCAAATTTATGTGTAAATAAAATATATTGAGATGAAGCCTTTCATTCAATGTGTGATTTTCAGTTCAAAAAAACACACTGATGTTCAAGAACAAAGACTGGTACAATAACTATCTACAAAATGCTTTTGTTACTAGATTTTAATTCCTTCATCAAACAGACACAGTCAAAGTTGATAGTGTCACTAGATCTAGAGGTCTATCAATATCCTTCCCACCATTTAATATGTTCTTAATCTCAGGGAAATTCTAAATCATATTCTTCTAAACTGTACAGTTGACTCCTGAAAAACACAAGGTTTAGGGCCATCAAACCTCCCTAACCCCTCCCCACCACCCCAGCACAGTCAAAAATTCACATATAACTTTGGACTCCCCAAAACTAAACTAACAGCCTACTGTTGACTGGACAATCCTTAACACATATTTCATACGCTGTATGTATTTTACACCGTAGTTTTACAATGAAGCTAGTTACAGAAAAGAAAGTGTTATTAAGAAAATTATAGGGAAGAAAAAATACGTTTACAGTACTACAGTATATTTATTTCTCTCATAAGTTTACAATCCTGTGTTTACAAGATGGATCCTTCTTCTGAAATGGCAGCACACACAGCTGCAGACCTCAATCTAGGGTACCTATCAAGCAATTCATTGTTTTCCTGTAATGTCAGGACCCTTCTCTGTTTCCTGGAAGAACTTTCAGCATCACTAGCAGCACTTTTTATAGGTCTGAAGGTGTTATTCAAGGTTTATGGTATTGCACTAGACATCATGAATAATACAGGAGAAACATGAGAGAACACTTTTTACTGTGTTAATTTACTGGAGAGACAAGCTACTCACAAGAAGATGATTAGCATTATGTGGCATTTTAAGTGAATACTCACAACACTTGAGTTCACTGCAAGAACAACAGGTGGAGGCTAGGAAATTATCCCAGTAGTACAGTATGTACTACAGTTAATTTTGTGCAGTTATGATTTACTTTTGTATATTTTTGTTTTACTTTTCTCTAAACTTCAATTGGCTGCATGTATGCTCTGTGTTTGCCTACGTCTTGATAAATTTTAACTTTTTATAATAGACGCATATATATTTCATTGTATTAAATGATCACTAGTATCTACATATGATTTATGCATTCATGACATCGTTTTCTTAGTTTTTTAATATTTCTTGTGTAGATGGGTCACCTGTTATCTTTTTCAATTTTTCATAAATCTCCAAAAATTTTCTAATATATTTATAGGAAAAAATCTACATATGAGCAGACCTGCACAGTTCAAACCTGTGTTGTTGAGGAGTCAACTATATATTATAATTTAAGAGAGGATTCAACTCTTTCATTCTACTGGCAATGGGTTAACATAAACTTTAGTCAGAACTGCTGAGCTTTTCTGGCACAATGAGGACAAATTGACCAATGTATTTAACCAACAGCTGGGGGAAAATTTTGCTAAAATTGGTAAGTATATCTTTATATAACTATATCCTTACAACTTGTCTCAACCTTCGTCAGATTAATCCTAACAAAACTGTAAAATGTCTCAGTAAAAATCTAAATGAATTTTTCATAACAAGTGCTGGCAATAGATTTTAAATATGTTCTGATCATTATTTGTCTCTTGTTGGCATGGAGAAAATCCTTTTTTTTTTTTTCAGCCTGGGGAATCCCAAACTATATCTCTAGTAACAAGGAAACCATTTTACCAGAATTTTTATTAACATGGAAAAGTTCTGTCAATTAATCAGACTTCACTGTCCATATCACTTTCAACCTTTTGGGAAGGTAGAAAGATGGAATTCTGAAACTAAAGTTGGTAAAGTTCACAGAGATCGTCAAACTTGCATGGTCTAAGGTATTTCTTCTTTCTGTGGTTCATGAGTTAGTAACAGCTAAACCAAGTGTCTAGGAATATTAGCTCTGATTCTAGAAATCTACACTTATTTAACTAAATGCTGTAAGGACTCAGGAAATCCATTCTTTCAACAAAAGTTACTGAAGACTTTCCCCATTAGTATCCTAAACAATGTCTGCAAAATTGGTTTTCATACCTGGATACCTTGTCTTCTAAGAGACACGGCAGGGAAAGATCATAGGAAAAAAGTCACTATCAGGCACAGCTAACAACTAGCAAACCCATAGTCTTTAAAAGACTGATCCTTTGATTCCTATCTCTCAAGTAAAGAGGTTTAGGTCATCTTCATATTACAGGAAAGTATCCCTACCAAAAACTTCTAACTAATGACTCTTAGGATTCTTCCAAAAGCAAATAGTCTTTGGGAGAAGACAGCTTCCATCAAATGCCTTTGGATCAAGTGAATCACTATATGAGATATCGGTATCTGCAAACCAAGATCCACAAAAAAAGATCCATTGTTTGTCATATTTAATCTGTATATCTTGAGTTTTCATTTTCCTAGTTAACTTTATCTTTTTATGCTTAAGGTTACATTTAATTACTTTACCTATAAAGCTACTATTCCTAATTCCTCTATGCCGTCCTTAGTCACTCTCTAGAAGAGTCCGGAAGCTGGCCGTAATTTGTTCACAATTTGGCTAAACATGCAGTTGAATCAGTGCTAAGCTGCACACATTTTCCTTAGGATGCCAATTAGAGTTTTTTTTTTTTAACATCGATTCCTAAATATGAAACATCTGGGTTTATCAATAATTGGACTCACTATTTATTGTTATTTTATCTGACAAACAGCAGAGTATTAGATAAATAGAAATCTTAAATCCTAACATGCTGCACCCAGGAAAGAAAGCTTATGCCTACAGCAGAACAGCACTTAGGGATCTTTAATAGAATGCAACTTCTGTCACTAAACCTTTAGAAAGAAATGTCTTAAAAAGAAGAGAACAAATGGCACATACTTAATTCATTTCTCACATTTACATATCATAAAAAATTCTTATTACATATTCAAGCTCCTATCACATCTACCTCTTCCTCTATGTGATAAGGTCTTCATTTTATATCCCCAAAAGTGATTAATAGCAGAATGGAGCTGAAAGCAATCAATAAACTCAATCAACCTTAATGACTGCTACTGGATTTGTGGTACCAGAACCTATTGATTATTACAGCAATCTTGACATAAACTAACATACTGATGTGGTAGTCAGAATAATGGCTCTTCAGAGATGATGGGGTCCTAATCCAGATAATTTATAAATTTGTTAGCTTACCTGGCAGGACAGACTTTGCAAATGCAATTAGAGTTAAGGATTTTGAAATGGAGAGACTATCATAGATTTTTAGATGGCCAAATGCAATCATAAGATTCTTTACACGTAGAAGAGGGAGATATAAAAGGAGAATGTGAAGACTTGCTCCTTCATTTGTAGCTTTGAAGGTCAAGGAAAGGAACTGTTATGAACTGAATATTTGTGTCTCCCTAAAATTAATCTATTGAAGATGATTGGCATTGTTCAAATATTAATAGATTATTTTCAATGATCTATTAATTGGCAGTGTGATAGTATCTGGAGATGGAGCTTTTGGGAGGAACCTAGGTTGAGATAATGTCCTAAGTGTGGTGTTCTCATGATAATGTTAGTGTTCTTATAAGAAAAGGTGGAGATACTAGACCACCTCCCACCCAACCACCCTTCTCTTTCTCTCTCCGTAAACATGTATCCAGGAAAGGCCATGTGAACACAGAGAGAAGGAGGCCATCTACTAACCAGAGAGGGAGTGGGCCCTCACCATGAACCAAATATACCAGCACCTTAATCTTGGACTTCCCAACTTTCAGAACTCTGAGAAATAAATGTCAGTTGTTTAAGTCACCCGGTCTATGGTATTTTCTTACAGTATTCCAAGCTGCCCAAGACAGGGAACATGCATCAAAGAATGCAGCTGGATTCTAAAGCCTGGGAAAGGCCAGGTCATGGATTATTCCACAGAGCCTATAGAAGGAATGCAGTCTTCCAATGCTTTGATTTTAAATCAGTAAGACCTGTGTTGAACTTCTAACCTGGAATACTGCTAGACAATAAATTTATGTTGTTTTAAACTACTAAGTGTATTGTGATTTTTATAACAGCCACAGGAAAATAATACATTTGGCAAATCAGTGCATGTTTCATGATGGTCAATGATATGCCCCAGGGTCCATCTTAGCCATGATTTCTATCCCTTCAAAAACCAAAACAAAATAAAAAAGTAAAACAAAAAGACCAATTTTACTATACTACTTGATTTTTAACAATATTTTATATGTATTTAATCCAGTATATCCAAAATATTGTCATCTCAGCATAAAACAATATTAAAATTATTCAGTTTTACATTTTTTAAACTAAATCTAGTTTGTATTTTACATATAGCATAAATCAATTCAAATCCACCATATTTCAAGTGTTCAATATCTACATGTCACTAGTAATGACTATAGTGGACAGAATTGATCCAGATTTCCAGGTGTATTGCTATAAAACTAACCATATTTTTATCTTATTAAAACAAAACAAAACTCCTCCATAACTATGTCTATGTTCCTTTTGCTTTTATTAACATTGAACATATTCTTGTTTTTAATCTAATTTTGTCTGTATTTAGGTCTATTTTTTGGTGGTGTTATTTCTTGTATGCTTGGCATCAACTTTTTTTTCAATTTCTTAGACTATCTAAACTATTATGCTCTGAGTTTAGCTCAATTTCAATCAGCTACTCACTTTGAAAGACTCATTTAACTCTCTTAAGCCATTCTCCACAAACATGAAAAATCTTCCTCTCACTCTTCCCTGCTGAAACACTGCAAAAGTATGTCAAAATGGTGTACTTTCTTGGCACAGGGTTTCAATAAACTTAGTTTTGCTTTAATAACAAATTATCTGAATATATTTCAGGGAGTTCCACTGGTAAAAGCATAAAATCATGTTAGTTCAGGTCATCTTTTGTAAAGTTATGACAGTGCCATAGTATCAATTCTTGTCAAAATTTATGACTTCAAAATCAACTTAATATGCATCAACATAGATATTTTTTAGTTAATTCTAGACTCCAGGTGCTCATTTAAATAATATGGGTACATAAGACTGAACAAAACCAGTTGCTATTGAATGTACATTTTAGAGAAATACTTCATACACAGCTGTGTTTTGTTAAATAAGGAACTTGATGACATAATCAATATCACGGCAGCATACAACTGTTTGGTTAGTATGTCTCTTTAAACAAGCACATATGCTCATTCATGGAGTGTGTATTTGTATCTGTGTATGGTCTGTGTGGTGAAGCAGCAAGCAACAGTTGGATGTCTTAATTATCTAACAGGAAAAAACACCTAAATAATCAGAAGAAATTTTGATTTATTTATTAGTTCGACTGAGCTTTTCTCTTGAATGTAACACAGATGGTCCCAGATTTACAATGGTACAACTTTACAGCTTTATCATGGTACAAAAGTGATAAACATTCAGTAGAAACAATGCTTTTATTACCCATATACCCATTCCATTTTTCACATTCAGTATTTAATAATTTACATGTGATATTCAACACTTTATTTAAAAATAGGCTTTAGGTTAGATTTTTTTTTTGGACTGGCTAATGTAAGTGTTCTGAGCACATTTCTTAAGTGTATTTTTTTTTAATACTTTAAGTTCTAGGGCACATGTGCACAACTTGCAGGTTTGTTACATATGTATACATGTGCCATGTTGGTTTGCTGCACCCATTAACTCATTATCTACATTAGGTATTTCTCCTAATGCTATCCCTACCCATCCCCCCACCCCACAATAGGCCCCAGCATGTGATGTTACCCACTCTGTGTCCAAGTGTTCTCGTTGTTCAATTCCCACCTATGAGTGAGAACACACGGTGTTTGGTTCTCCGTCCTTGCGAAGGTTTGCTCAGAATGATGGTTTCCAGCTTCATCCACGTCACTACAAAGGACATGAACTCATCATTTTTTATACCAGCATAGTATTCCAGGGTGTATGTATGCCACATTTTCTTAATCCAGTCTATCATTGATGGACATTTCGGTTGGTTCCAAGTCTTTGCTATTGTGAATACTGCCACAATAAACATACATGTGCATGTGTCTTTATAGCAGCATGATTTATAATGCTTTGGGTATATACCCAGTAATGGGATCACTGGGTCACATGGTATTTCTAGTTCTAGATACTTGAGGAATTGCCACACTGACTTCCACAATGGTTGAACTAGTTTACACTCCCACAAACAGTGTAAAAGCATTCCTATTTCTCCACATCCTCTCCAGCACCTGTTGTTTCCCAACTTTTTAATGATCGCCATTCTAACTGGTGTGAGATGCTATCTCATTGTGGTTTTGATTTGCATTTCTCTGATGACCAGTAATGATGAGCATTTTTTCATGTGTCTGTTGGCTGCATAAATGTCTTCTTTTGAAAAGTGTCTGTTCATATCCTTTGTCCACTTTTTGATGGCTTTGTTTTTTTCTTGTAAATTGGTTTAAGTTCTTTGTAGATTCTGGATATTAGCTATTTGTCAAATGGGTAGATTGGAAAAATTTTCTCCCATTCTGTAGGTTGCCTGTTCGCTCTGATGGTAGTTTCTTTTGCTGTGCAGAAGTTCTTTAGTTTAATTAGACCCCATTTGTCTATTTTGGCTTTTGTTGCCATTGCTTTTGGTGTTTTAGACATGAAGTCCTTGCCCATGCCTATGTCCTGAATGGTATTGCCTAGGTTTTCTTCTAGGGTTTTTATGGTTTGAGGTCTAACATTTAAGTCTTTAATCCATCTTGAATTAATTTTTCTATAAGGTGAAGGAAGGGATCCAGTTTCAGCTTTCTACATATGGCTAGCCAGTACCATTTATTAAATAGGGAATCCTTTTCCCATTTCTTGTTTTTGTCAGGTTTGTCAAACATCAGATGGTTGTAAATGTTTAGCGTTATTTCTGAGGCCTCTGTTCCATTCCATTGGTCTATATCTCTGTTTTGGTACCAGTAAAATGCTGTTTTTGTTACTGTAGCCTTGTAGTATAGTTTGAAGTCAGGTAGCGTGATGCCTCCAGCTTTGTTCTTTTTGCTTAGGATTGTCTTGGCAATATGGGCTCTTTTTTTGATTCCATATGAACTTTAGTTTTTTCCAATTCTGTGAAGAAAGTCATTGGTAGCTTGATGGGGATGGCATTGAATCTATAAATTACCTTGGGCAGTATGGCCATTTTCACGATATTGATTCTTCCTACCCATGAGCATGGAATGTTCTTCCATTTGTTTGTGTCCTCTTGTATTTCGTTGAGCAGTGGTTTGTAGTTTTCCTTAAAGAGGTCCTTCACATCCCTTGTAAGTTGGATTCCTAGGTATTTTATTCTCTTTGTAGCAATTGTGAATGGGAGTTCACTCATGATTTGGCTCTCTGATTGTCTGTTATTGGTGTATACAAATGCATGTGATTTTTGCACACTGATTTTGTAACCTGAGACTTTGCTGAAGTTGCTCATCAGCTTAAGGAGATTTTGGGCTGAGATGATGGGGTTTTCTAAATATACAATCATATCACCTGCAAACAGGGACAATTTGACTTCCTCTTTTCCTAATAGAATGCCCTTTATTTCTTTCTCTTGCCTGACTGCCCTGGCCAGAACTTCCAACACTATGTTGAATAGGAGTGGTGAGAGAGGGCATCACTGTCTTGTGCTAGTTTTCAAAGGGAAAGCTTCCAGTTTTTGCCCATTCAGTATGATACTGGCTGCGGGTTTGTCATATATAGCTCTTATTATTTTGAGATATGTTCCATCAATACCTAGTTCATTGAGAGTTTTCAGCATGAAGGGCTATTGAATTTTGTCAAAGACCTTTTCCGCATCTATTGAGATAATCTTGTGGTTTTTGTCTTTGGTTCTCTTTATGTGATGGATTACATCTATTGACTTGCGTATGTTGAACCAGTCTTGCATCCCACGGATGAAGCCAACTTGATCTTGGTGGATAAGCTTTTTGATGTGCTGCTGGACTCGGTTTGCCAGTATTTTTGTTAAATGTACTAAATGCATTTTTTACCTAAAATATTTTCAACTTATGAGTATATCCAGATCCATCATAACACATCTTGGCCTGTGGTTATCAGGATGTAACTCATTATAAGTCGAGGTAGATTTGTATTATATCCCATGTACACACACACACACACACACACACACACACACACACACACACACACACAGACTTAATCTGTTTACAGAAATAAAAGGAATAAAATACCGTTTCTATTATACACCAAAACTAGCCATCTTGACAGATACTTCACTCTGAAAAATAACGTTTTATAGCTACTTTACAGATTAGTATAATAATTTGGTGTTTCTGTTTCAGAGATTCGATTTCACATTTCAATAAGTAGGCCGCTCCCTCTGCTAAGCCTGGGAATGTAATTCTTTTGAAAAACTATCTGTGCTGTAAAATTACATGTCATATTGGGAAAAGGACAATCGCAAACAGTAGTCACACATAAAATCAAGCAACACAGACATCCTTTTCACATACAGTGAAGACCCTTGTCAATTTTGAGATTACACAGGAAAACAGAATGGGGGACAAGTGTCTCTGACACATAGAAAATCCCGTGAAGAAGAACTCAGCTGACACAATCAAAACATACACAAAACTGAAAGAAACAAGGTGAGTGCTTTTTATATTAGTTCAGCTGTCAAGAAAGTGTAAAATAAACCTAACATTTTTTTACTAAGTGAGGATTTTCTTTTTTGAAACATCATCATTTATATTTATCCAGTTTGCAACTTCATCAGCTGAATCTCAGGATGTGTTCCATGACACTGAAGGACAATTAAATCATATCCATGACAATATATGAGAAGCTGACAGGAGAACATGGTGGCATTTGAATTAATGTCTATCATTAGATAGAATTTCTGATCACATAATTTAAGTTGTAGTTTTCCATACAATTTAATCAAGATAAGCACTTATTAGGTGAGTGATATACTTTGGCTCTGTGTCCCCACACAAATCTCATGTTGAATCGTAATCCCCACGTGTCAGGGGAGGGGTCTGGTAGGAGGTGATTTGATCATGGGGGTGGATTTCCCATACTGTTCTCGTGACAGTCAGTGAGTTCTCACAAGATCTGATGGTTTAAAAGTGTGTGGAACTTCCCCCCGGCTCTTCTCTCTACTGACACCATGTGAAGAAGGCACCTGCTCCCCCTTTACCTTCTGCCATGATTGTTAGTTTCCTGAGGCCTCCCAGTCGTGCTTCCTGTTAAGCTTGCAGAACTGTGAGTCAATTAAACCTCTTTTCCTCATAAATTACCCAGTAGTTCTTTATAGCAGTTTGAGAAGAGATAGATACAGAAAATTGGTACCAGAGAAGTGGGGCATTGCTATAAAAATACCTGAAAATATGGAAGTAACTTTGGAACTGGGTAACAGGCAGAGGTAGGAAACAGTTTGGAGGACTCAGAAGAAGACAGGGAGATATGGGAAAGTTTAAATCTTCCTAGAGACCTGTTGAATGGTTGTGAACAAAATGCTGATAATGATTTGGATAATGAAGTCCAGGCTGAGGGGGTCTCAGATGGAGATGAGGAACTCATTGAGAACTGAAGAAAAAGTTACTCTTGCTATGCTTTAGCAAAGAGACTGACAGCCTTTTGACCCGGCCCTAGAGATCTGTGTAATGTTGAACTTCAGAGAGATGATTTAGGGTATCTGGTGAAACAAATTTCTAAGCAACAGACCTTCCAACATGTGGCCTGGCTGCTTCTAAAAGTTTATGCTCATGTCCATGAAGAAAGAGATGGCTTGAAACTGAAACGTATATTTAAAAGGAAAGCAGAGCATAAAAGTTTGGAAAATTTGCAGCCTAACCATATAGTAAAAAAGAAAAACCCACGCTCTTGGGAGAAATTCAAGCAAAAATTTGCATAAGTAAAGAGGAGCCAAATGTTAATGGCAAAGACAATGTGGAATACGTCTCCAGTACATTTCAGAGACCTTTGAGGCAGCCCCTCCCATTATAAGCCTGGAGGCCTAGGAGGGAGAAATTGTTTAGTGGGATGGGCCCAGGGCCCTGCTGCTCTGGGCAGCCTCGGGACATGGTGCCCAGTGTTCCAGCTGCTCAGCTCCAACTGTGGCTAAAAGGGTCCAAGGCACTACTCAGGCCATTGCTTCAGAGAATACAAGCCTCAAGCTTTGGTGGCTTCCACATGAGGCTGGGCCTGTGGTTGTGCAGAAGGGAAGAGGTGAGGTTTGGGAACCTCCATCTAGATTTCAGAGGATGTATGGAAATGCCTGGATGTCTAGGCAAAAGTCTGCTGCAGAAGTGGAGCCCTTATGGAGAACCTCTACTAGGGCAGTGCAGAGGGAAAATGTGGGGTTGGAGCCCCCACACAGATTCCCCACTGGGGCACTCCCTACTGGAGCTTTGAGAAGAGGGTCATAGTGCTTCAGACCCCAGAATGGTAGATCCACTGACAGCTTGCACAGTGTGCCTGGAAAAGTCACAGGCACTCAATCCTAGCCTGTGAAAGCAGCTGTGGGGGCTGTGCCTTGCAGAGCCACAGAGGCAGAGCTGTCAAAGCTCATGGGAGCCCAGATATTGCATCAGTATGCTCTGGACGTGAGAGATGAGGTCAAAGAAGATTGTTTCAGAGCCTTAAGATTTAATGACTGCCTTGTCGGGTTTTGGACTTGCATGGGGCCTGCAGACCCTTTGTTTTGGCTAATTTCTCCCTTATGGAATTGGAGTGTTTACCTGATCCCTGTACCCCCACTGTTGTCTTGAAATTAACTAACTTGTTTTTGATTTTACAGGCTTATAGGCAGAAGCGATTTGCCTTGTCTCAGATGAAACTTTGGACATGGACTTTTGAGTTAATGCTGGAATAAGTTAAGACTTCCAGTCTGTTGGGAAGGCATGATTGGTTTTGAAATGTGAGAAGGACATGATACTTGGGAGGGGCCAGAGGAGAAATAATATGGCTTGGCCCTCTGTCCCCACCCAAATCTCATCTCAAATTGTAATCCCCTCATGTCAAGAGAGGGGCCTGGGTGGAGGTGACTGGATCATGGGAGCAGATTTCCACATGCTATTCTCATGATAGTGAGTGAGTTCCAAGAGATCTGATGGTTTAAAAGTGTGTGGCACTTCCCTCCTTGTGCTCTCTCTCTCCTGGTGCCATGTCAAGAAGAACCTTGTTTCCCCTTTGCCTTCCACCATGATTTTCTGAGTTTCCTGAGTCCTCCCATTCATGCTTCCTGTAAAGCCTGAAGAACTATGAATCAATTAAATCTCTTTTCTTCATAAATTACTCAGTCTCAAGTCATTCTTTATATCATTGTGAAAACTGACTACTACGGTTAGCAATCTTAAAGAATACTTGTGATTTTGAGAATCAGGCACATATTTTTTTAATAATCGGACTGCTTACAATTGTTTAACTCCTTGCAACTTATAGTTAGTGCCTAAAACTTTGATGACTTTCATTACATTTCAATGGCTCTGTTCCCTTATAGCAAACTACCTTTTTTACTGTACTTACTGTAACTACAGTGCATTTATTTTCAGCCCAAATAGTATTCAGTAATAAGCATTTCTTCCCACATAAGAATAAGTTATATTCCTATTCACTATATTCTAGAATTTCTATTTTCCTTCCACAGTGCCAGCTAAAATTAAAGTGGAATAATCTATTGGGGCCCTGTGTATTTAATGTTTGTTTTCTTAGTATATTATAAACACTGTGAAGGAAGGAAATCCTTGCCTCTTGTTTATACTTTTATCTCCATTATAGAAACACTCTGCATTATTTTCTTACTGCTGCTGTAGCCAATTACTACAAAGTTAGTGGTTTAAAATAGCACAAATATAGTGTCAAACAATTGTGTTTGTCAGATGTCTGCAATGCATCTTATGAGGCTAAAATCAAAGAGTGAGAACTGTTGTGTTCCTTTCTGAAGGTTTTAGGGGAAAATCAGTTTCCTTGACTTTTCCAGCCTCCAGAGGCTGTCCTGATTTGTTAGCTTATGGTCTTTCATTTGTTCAAACCAGAAATGCTGTGTCTCTCTGACCATTCTTTTGAAATCATACCACCTTATGTTTCTAGCCAAGAATGTTTCCCTAGTTTAAACCCATTTGATTACACTGAACTCAAAAGGACACTTTTTCATCTTACCATCCTTAACATTATAATACTTGCAAAGCCCCTTTTACCAGATAGTTAACATATTCACAGCTTCCAGAAATCAGGACATGCGGTTTTTTTTTTGTTGGTTTGTTTGTTTTGTAAACCATTATTTTGCTTACTATACTGTCTTAATTGGAGGAAGCAACTTCTTCGAATAGGTGAATTAATTTCAAATTGATAATGTGATTCTGAATGAACATTAAAGAAATCAACTATTACACCGAACATTACTTTATTGAGCTAAACAAATATTAACTGACTATATAAAATTCATTACACATTTGGAGATAGAATTTTGTACTTTTTAATAAGACTTTTTACATTTTTTGCAATCCTTTTTCTTATTTAAAAAATCAGTACTGTATTAGTACCTACAATATAAGTTTGTTCTAAGAATCAAATGAGATAAACATTTCAGACACCTATCATAGTATCAAGTTCATATCGTAAGCCTAAAATATCAGATGACTTTTATTATTTTCAGAATGTAGTCAAAATCAACATAAAGTTACATTAACACTTGGTTTACTGTATCATAATGCTAGCTTTGTGTCATATCTATCTAGAGAGTACACTGAATAGCTTAAACCAAGTAGAAGGTGATTTCTTGCTTACATAACAGTTTACCATAAGTAATTTTGGCTAAAGACGCATCTTTCCTGCAAAAAATAATTCAAGTTAACGAAGGATCTACTATTACCAAATTGTATCTTCCCAGATTACTTTGTATATATCACCATTCCAGAAGACAAAAGACTACTCATGAAATACAATTTGCACACTTCTTTATATATGAAAAATTCACTTTTCTTCCCTCTGTAAACAACTTAAAGTTTTGCCCAGTTACTGCCTACAACTTAGAGTTCAGGATGTTTCATGACGTGCAGTTCTCTCCCTCAGGCCACTATATGACTTAACGAGGACTAGTGTCCTATAAAGTCAAAAGACAAATTATCTGTAAAATCTAAGTTACCATGGTGAAGCTCCTATCAGAAGACAAAGAAGTCTGCAGAGCACTGACAAAAATATTTCTGAGCAGTACAAATATTTATTTGATGAAACCATAAACATGTCCTGTGGAAATAACTTTAAGGTCCATTGTCCCTGTGGCTCATAGATTTACTTTCTGAGGTAATTTACATTTTCTCTTATTCTCCATGCCTCCATCTTAAATTAGAACAATGAGTGTTTTCTCAGCATGACTCATCAATTGCACTGATTAGTGCAATTTGGGATGCTTGAGGATATTTTAAGCCTTAATTTTTTTTCTCACAATAGGCTTATTGTACCTTTGCCAAGTAGTTATATGGAAACCATTTATTTATTTATTGGATCTAGTTTATAACCAAACATACAGTTCTTTCCTAGGTATAATTCTAAAGTCTGCCTCATTTCCTTCTTTTTTCTCCTCCCCAACACACATATGCTTCTCTGACTGTAAAGATGACCACTTTAAGGTCATTTGAAATCACAGACTTGAAAGAGAAAACAACTTCCCTGATGAGTTCTTTGCTTCAGGGCTGGGTTCCTTGTTTTTTATGAACACAGTAGGATTTAATTTCTGAGCAGCTTTTTCAACCTAATCAGAAAAACCTGAGCTTTTCTGTCACTGTATAATTCCACCATTACTAGACTTTTTGTTTACAAGTGGTTTCCAACAAGGAATGACTTTGTTTCCATAGAACACTTGTCAGTGTCTGGAGACATTTTGAATTATAATGATTAGGTGGTGATGCTACTGGTATGTGGTGGTATAGCCTAAAGATACTATTAATATCCTACAATGCAAAGAATAACCTCCCACAGAATGCAGGAATATCAGGCATAAAATGTCAATAATGCTAAGGTTTAGCAACTCAACTCTATCCACTTTCTTTCCACTCTAAAGACAGGATATTTCTTTTTTTTTTTTTTTTTTGCCTGTGTTTATCTATTTCTTGGATTATGGAACAGAACAAACATGAACACATTACCTTTTGCCTTTCCTCATTTCCCACACTCTTTCCTAGAGGTAATATTAAGCTTCCAATTAATTTTAGATGGTAGTTTCAATAATTTTTTTTCACTGGGTATTACAAGTCTTCATTTCAACCCTCTGAGTTTGGTTTACTTGTCCATTTAATACTAATTTAGTGGATACGTTTTAGGTGCTGTTATGGCAGACCCAACTCAAGCTGGTGATTTCTATATTACTTGGAATCGTGCTAGTTGCTTTGACAACTACACTCAACAACATATAATATCTTAAACAGAACAGAAGTTTCATTCATATAAACTGTTTTTTTAAGATAGGAAAAGCATTGCTCCTTTATGTCCGCATTCAAGAACATAGGCTACTAAGGTATTTAATCTGCAGTATGTTGCTTCCAAGACTACTGTAGAATTGGCCGTTCCAGTCAAGCATACTGAAAAACGTATACAGAAGAGTGCATGTTGGGATTTTGGAGACTAAATTGGATATAAAATATGTTATTTCTACTAATTTTCCACTATTTTGACTTTAATCCCATGCCCTAATATAAAGTATATAAGAATGAGAAACATAGTTTATGTATCTATCAAAATAGAACATAAATGTTTGTGAACATTTGAATCTGTCAGCTTCTCTTGCTCACGTGCCTGTAGTGCCTGTACTCAGGATGCTGAGGCAGGAGAATCGCTTGAACCCAGGAGGTGGAGGCTGCAGTGAGCTGAGGTCACACCACTGCACTCCAGCCTGGGCAACAGAGCGAGACTCCATCTCAAAAAAAAAAAGAAGTGACTCAACTGATTGATGTGTAAAACCTCATTGTAAAATAATGTTCTACAAATGAGACATTAATACAGTTAAATTTTTGGATTAAAAAAGTCTGCCACTTTGTGAATATGTTTTATTTAGGCTTGATTTAGTTAATTTTCTTTTTTCTTTTTCTTTTTCTTTTTTTTTTTTTTTTTTTCTGAGGAGTTTCACTGTTGCTGCCCAGGCTGCAGCGCAGTGCTGGGATCTCGGTTCACTGCATCCTCCACCCCGCCAGTTCAAGTGATTCTCCTGCCTTAGCCTCCTGAGTAGCTGGGATTACAGGCACCCACCACCATACCCGGCCAATTTTTTGTGTTCTTAGTACACATGGGGTTTCACCATGTTGGCCAGGATGGTCTCGAACTTCAGACCTCAGGTGATCCGCCCACCTTGGCCTCCCAAAGTGCTGGGATTACAGGCATGAGCCACCGCACCCAGCCAGTTAATTTTTCTATTAACTAAGACCTAATTAAGATTGAGGCAGAAGAAATGGGTCCTTGGGATTTGAAAATTACTATTCAATTTGGAAGTTTAATTTGCAACATAGATTGTCTGTTATTAAATTACTAGATATAATATCACAAAGGTGGAAAGAAAGGTTGCTTAGTTAAAGATCTAAGTTACTAGTCATGGTGTCAGATATAGAGAATGATTGAAGGTTATCAAGAGTCACACACCAGATGAGTAAATTGTTGTTTTCAAGGAAGAGGTTACATAAAGGTAAGCGGAGTAATATTTTAGCATTTTTGTTAATTAAAAATTTGTAAAGTTATTTCCATTTCAAGGAAATTACTCTCAGTAATTTTACGGGTAAAATGACAAATTCCAAGTTTAATTTTCACATGTAACACCCTCCTTGAGCACTTATTTTTATAAAGCTATTAATCTATTTTGGTCTCAATTTACCTTTCTTTAAAGAGATTTTAAAATTTTCTGAAAGAAGCTAACATCTGGAAGTGTAGCTGTTATATTTTTCAATTTTTAATTACATATTTAATTATCCTTTAATTACTTAAGGTTATTCTCAAAAGTGAAGAGAAAGCTGGGATCACACTGCGTAAGATTTTACTCCTGAATGTAATATTCAAAAATGTTACAAAGTCTATCAAAAGGTTTTCATTCTGTGACAATACATGGTCAATTTGACATGGTCAGGAAGCACCACCCCCACTGAGAGATACCAAATTATGGAGTAAACCACCGTAATTTAGGCAGATCTTGAGAGAGAAAATGCTGAGTGGATGCAGAGGCAGCAATGAAGCTGAGCTGAAGAGGGAGGAAGCCTGTGCAGGGAACCCAAACACTACAGCTAGTTCCCCAGAATGGCTCCTAGGAAAGGGCCTCTGCCTGAGAGAGACCTGTGGCCTAGAACACCTAACACAAGAAACACAGTGATTGCAGGAGACTCCCCCAGGGCCCAGGAGCACATCTGGTGATGGAGGCATCTCTCCCACCCCCACTATAGAGCACACCTGCAAACAAAAGGAAGTATAAAACAGCCATGCCACTGGGTATTAGGCTAGCCACTGGCCATCACTCTTAAGCACTATGCATTGGATCACATCCCAAACTACAACATCAAAATTTATCCTGCTACATATACACCTGTGAAACCAAACACCAGAATTACTCATACATAAAAATCCTGGACAGAGAAAGCCCTGACCCTTTGAAAGCATCCAGAAACAAAACCAATTGCCTATACTCAACATACACTACAGTTAAAGGAACACTAACCCTACCAGAAGAGAAAAAATCAGTGCAAGAACTCTGGCAATTCAAAAAGCTAGAGTGTCCTCTTACCTCAAAATTAGCCCACTAGCTACCAAGCAATGGTTCTTAATCAGTCTAAAATAATTGCAACAGACATAGAATACAGAACCTCGATGGCAGGGAAGCTCATGAACATTAAGGAGAAAGTTGAAACCCTAGCCAAGTAATCCAGTAAAGCAATTTAAGTAAGTGCTGAAAGATGAAATTGCCATTTTAAACAACAGCCACACTGAATTTCTAGAGCAGAAAAAATTCAGTATAAGAATTTTATAATACAATAAGAAATATTAACAGAAGGTAGGCCAAGCTAAGGAAAGAATCTCAGAGCTCAAAGACTGGTTCGTTGAATCAACTGAGTCAAAAGAAAATTTTAAAAAAGAATTAAAAAAAGAAAATGAACCAAAGCTTTAAGAAATATGGAATTATATAAAGAGACCAAATCTACGACTCATTGTCATTCCTAGAAGAGAAACAAAGAGAAAAGGCAACTTGGAAAATAGATTTGAGAATAGAGTCTATGAAAATTTTCCTAACCTCGCTAGAGAGAGTGACATGTAAATCCAAAAAATACAGCAAACCCAGCTAGGCACTACAAAAGGTGACTATCCCTAAGGCACACAGTCATCATATTCACCAAAGTAAATACAAAAGAAAAAAAAAATCTTAAAGGCAGCTAGAGAGAAAGGTCATGTTTTCATAAAGCAAGAACTCCACTAGGCTAGTAGTAAATATCTCAGCAAAAACCTTACAAGCCAGAAGAGATTAAGGGCCTATGTCCAACATCATTAATGAAAATAAATTCCAGGCAATAATTTTATATTTCACTAAACTAAACTTCCTAAGTGAAGAAGAAACAAATTTCTCCTCAGATAAGCAAATACTGAGGGAATCAATTTCAACTTGACCAGCCTTATGAAAGGTCCTTAAGGGAGTGCTATACATTGAGTAAAAAGAATGACACCTGCTACCACAAAAGCCCACTTAAGTACATAGCTCACAGGCACTATAAAGTATCTACACAATCAAGTCTACCTAAAAACCAGCTACAAACGTGATGATAGGATCAAAATCTCATGTATCAACATTAACCATAAATGTAAATAGGCTAAACACCCCCACTTAAATGACATACAATGGCAAACTGGATAAAAATGCAAGGCTCACCATCTGTAGTCTTCAAGAGACTCATCTCATATGTAATGACAGCCACTGGCCCAAAATAAGGGGATGGAGAAAATCTGCCATGCAAATGATAACAAAAAAGCAGGAGTAACTATTCTTATATCAGATAAAACAGACTTTAATCAAAATTAAAAAGAACAATTGAAGAATGAAGAGCATTACGTCATGAGAAAGTATATGATCAAACAAGAATACTTAAGTACCCTAAATATAAATGCACCCAACATGGAGCACCCAGATTCATAAAACAAGTTCTTTTTGGACTACAAAAAGACAGACGACCACCCAATAACTGTAGGAGACTTCAACACCCCCGCTGGCAGCACTGGATCATCAAAGCAGATAACCAAGAAAGAAACTGTGTACTTAAACTTCACACTTGACCATTTGGACCTAATAAGACATCTACAGAACACTCCACTCAATAACCACAGAATATACATTCTTCTCATCTGCACAGGGAACATATTCTAACATTGACCACATGCTTGGTCATAAAGCAAGTCTGGATAAATTTTAAAAAATGAAATCATATCAAGCACACTCTTAGATCTCAATGTAATCAAAATATAAATAAATATCAACATCTCTCAACACTACACAAATAGATGAAAATTAAACAACTTTCTCCTGAATAACTTCTGTGTGAAAATCAAAATTAAGGGAGAAATTTTAAGAAAGTGAAATTAATGAAAATGGGAACACAAATTACCAAAATCTCTGGGATGCAGCTAAATCAGTGTTAAGAGGAACGTTTAAATGCCTTTATCATAAAGTTAGAAATACTTCAAATTAACAATCTAACACTACACCTAAAGGAACTAGGGAAGAAAAAAAAAAGAACAACCCTACATCAACGCTAGGAATGAAAAGAAACAACTAAAATAGAGAAGATCTGAATGAAATTGAGATGCAAAAATCCATACAAAAGATTAATGAAACCAAGAGTTGATTTAAAAAAAGAGATTGATAGACCTTTAGCTAGATAAACAAAGAAAAAAAAGAGAAGATCTAAATATATAAATCAGAATGACAAAAACGACATTAAAAATGGTCCCACAGACATACAAAATAATCCTCAGAGAATACTAGGAATAACTCTAGACACAAAAATTAGAAAATCTAGAGGAAATGGATAAATTTCTGAAAACAGGCAATCTTCCAAGATTGAATCAGGAAGATACTGAAATACTGAAGAGACCAATATGAAGCTCTGAAATTGAATAAGTAATAAAAAATCTACCAAGCCAAAAAGCCCTGGACTATATGGATTCACAGCAAAATTCTACCGGAAGTATAACGAAGAACTAGTACAATTCTACTGAAACTATTCCAGAAAAGTTGAAGAGAACGTACTCCTTCCTAACTCACGCTGTGAAGCCAGAAGCAGCTTAATACCAAAACCTGGCAGAGACGCAAAAAAAAAGAACATTCAGGTGACCACTGTTGACGAACATAGACTCAAAAATTCTCAACAAAGTACTAGCAAACTGAATCCATCAGCAGCATATCAAAAAATTAATCTACTATGACAATACAGGCTTTATTCCTGGGATGCATGGCTGGTTCAACATATGCAAATCAATAAATGTGATTCACCAGATAAACAGAATTAAATCAAAAACCATATGATCATCTCAATGGATGCCGGAAAAGCTTTCAATTAAATCCAGTGTCCCTTCATGAAAAAACAAAACAAAAAAAAACCCTCAACAGTTGAGGCTTCAAATAAGCATACTTCAAAATAAAAAAGAGCTATCTACAACAAACCCACAGCCAATATAATACTCAATGGGCAAAAGCTGAAAGCATTCTCCTTTAGAAATGAAACAAGCCAAGGACATCCACTCTTACCACTCCTATTCAACATAGTACCAGAAATCCTAGTCAGAGCAATCTTGCAACAGAAAAAGAGAAAAGCACCCAAATAGGAAGTGAAGATTAAGGCAAACTATCTGTCTTCACCCAACAATATCATTCTATACCTAAAAAACCTTAAAGACTTCAACAGAAGTCTACTAGAAATGATAAAGGATTTTAGCAAGGTTTCAGGATACAAAATCAATGTACAACAATTAGTAGCATTTCTATACAACAACAACATCCAGGTTGAGAGTTAAATTAAGAACACAATCATATTTACAACACCTAGGATGAAAATAAAATCCCTGCAAATACAACTAACCTAAGATGTGAACGATCTCCACAAGGAGAATTACAAAACACAGCTGAAATCTGAAGCTGGATGCAGTGGTTCATGCCTTTGGGAGGCCGAGGCAGGTATATCGCTTGGACCCAGGAGTTTGAGACCAACCTAGGCAACATAGTGGAACCTCATCTATACAAATTTTTTTTTTTTTTTTAAATAGCGAGGCATGGTGGCACATGCCTGTAGTCCTAACTACCCTGACGGCTTGAGGCCAGGAGTTCAAGCCTGCAGTGAGCTATAATGACTCCACTGCATTCCAGCCTGGGTGAAAGGGTGAGACTCTGTCTCAAAAAAGGAAGGAAATAAGAAAAGGAAGGAAGGATGGAAGGGAGGGAGGAAGGGAGGGAGGGAGGGAGGGAGGGAGGGAGGGAAGGAAGGAAGGAAGGAAGGAAGGAAGGAAGGAAGGAAGGAAGGAGATTTTGATAACACAAATAAATGGAATAACATTCCATGTTTACAGATTAAAAGAATCAATATTGTTAAAATGGCCACACTGCCCAAAGCAACTTGTAGATTCAAGGCTATCTCCATGAAACTACCAACATCATTCTTCACAGAATTAGAAAAAACTATTCTAAATTTATATGGAACACCCCCAAAAGCCAGAATGGCCAAAGCAATTCTGAGCAAAAATAATAAAGCCAGAGAGGCGTCATACTACCCAATTTCCAGCTATACTATAAGTGTACACTAACCATGATACTGTTACAAAAGCAGACACTTAAGCCAATGGAACAGAATAGAACACTCAAAAATAAAGCTGCACACTTACCACCATCTGGATCGTGGACAAGGCCAACAAAAACAAACAATGGGGAAAAGGCACCCTATTCAATAAATGGTGCTGGGATAATTCGCTAGCCATAAGCAGAAGAGTGAAACTGGATGCTTACCTTCCACCACACACACAAATTAATTCAAGATGGATTAAAGGTTAAAATGTAAGACTTCAGATTATGAAAACTCTAAAACAAAACCTAGGAAATATTTTTCTCGACATTGGCCTTGGCAAATAATTTTTGGCTAAGTTTCTAAAAACAATTGCAACAAAAACGAAATTGACAAGTGAAAGTCAATCAAACTAAAAAGCTTCTGCACAGCAATAGAAACTATCCACAGAGTAAACAGACAACTTACAGAATGGGAGAAAATATTTGCAAACTATGCATCTGATAAAGATCTAATATAACAAATCCATAAGGAAGAAAAAATGACAAGCATAAAACAACCCCAGTTAAAAAGGGCAAAGCTAATACAGGAGCAGAAAATCAAACTCCGCATCTTCTCACTTATAAGTGGGAGCTGAACAATGGGAACACATGGACACAGGGAGGGGAACAACACACAATGGGGAACAACACACAACACACACTATAATTTTCTGTAGGGGGTTGAGGAGAGGGAGAGCATCAGGAAAAATAGCTAATGCATGCTGGGCTTAATACCTAGGTGATGGGTTGATAGGTGCAGCAAACCACCACCACACACGTTTATCTATGTAACAAAACTGCGCTTCCTGCACATGTACCCCACAACTTAAAATTTAAATCAAGAAAAGGCAAAGGACATGAACAGATATTTTCTCAAAAGAAGACACTCAAGTATATGAAAAAACACTCATCCTTACTAATCATCAAATAAATAAATGCAAGCAAAAACCACAGTAAGATGCCATCTCACATCAGTCACAACAGCTATAATTAAAAAGTAAAAAAAATTAGATGTTGGCCAGGCTGCAGAGTAAAGGGAATGCTTATACACTACTGTTGATGGAAATGTAAACTGGTTCAGGTACTGTGGAAAGTATTTTGGAGATTTCTCTAAGAACTTAAAACAGAGATACCCTTCGACCCAGCATTCCCATTACTGGGTATATATTCAAAGGAAAATAAATTATTCTACCAGAAAAATATATATGCACTCGTACGTTCATCAGCATGTTATTCACAATAGCACAGACATGGAATGAACCTAGGTGCCCATCAAAGGTGGATTGGATAAAGAAAATGTGGTACATATACACTATGGAATACTATGCCTCCATAAAAAAGAATGAAATTATGTCCTTTGCAGCAACATGGATGGAGCTAAGGACATAATCCTAAGCAAATTAGTGCTGGAAAAGAAAACCAGATACCACACATTCTCACTTATAAGTGGAACCTAAACACTGAGCACACAGGAACATTAACATGGGAACAAGACATGCTGCAGGCTATGGGGGTGGGGGAGAGAGGGGAGCATGGGCTGAATAACTACCTACTGGGTACTATGCTCACTACCAGGGTGCACTGTACAAAAGTAACAAATCTGCATATGCACTGTGTCTGGAAAAAACTGAAATTATAAAAACCAAGAGAATATGTTTCTAATGAATGTAGACTTTATTTGATGGACTGGACTAGAATATAATATTTTTTTAAGGGGAAAGGCATTGGGGGATGCACAATGTCTACAGGTTTCTAAACCTCTCTGGTTTCTCACCTAATTCATAGTCTCTTATGTCATTTTCATAGTTTTCATATTCTGCCTTTCCACCTCTTCTTTTTAACAAGTAAAATTCCTCATAGCATACAAAAAAACAATTTTATAAAAAACCCATATTATAGATCAGGGACCTGTGGATTATATGCTATTAGAACTATACAAAATGTCTCTATATAGTTTTCTGTATCTTTGGAATATCTTTGGGTGAAGCTGCAGACCTTCTTGGTGAGTGTTACAGCTCTGCGCAGAGCCAAACAGTGAGCAGCAGCAAGACTGCAAAGAGCAAAAGAACAAAGCCTCCACACTGTGGAAAGGGACCCTAGCACGTTGCTGTTGCTGGCTCTGGCAGCTGCTTTTATTCCCTTATCTCACCCCACCCACATCCTGATGATCGGTCCATTTCATAGAGAGCTGATGGGTTCATTTTACAGAGAGCTGCTTGGTCTGTTTACAATCCTTTAGCTAGACACAAAAGTTCTCCAAGTCCCCACCAGATTAGCTAGACACAGAGCACTGATTAGTGCGTTCACATACCTTGAGCTAGACACAGCATGCTGATTGGTGCATTTACAATCCTCCAGCTAGACGTAGTAAGTTCTCCAAGTACCCACCGGACTCAGGAGCCCAGCTGGCTTTGCCTAGTGCATCCCGGCCGCGGGCGGAGCTGCCCGCCAGTCTCTGGCGCGCTGCCGCACTCCTCAGCCGTTGGGCGGTTGACGGGACCGGGTGCCGCGTAGCAGGAGGTGGCGCCCGTCCCCTCGGGGTGGCGCGCGGGAGCCTGCGGTTGGGGGGCAGGGGGCGGGGGGCAGGGGACGGGGGCGGGGAGGAGGGTGAGGGCTCCAGCATGGCAGGCTGCAGGTCCCGAGCCCTGCCCCCTTGCCCCGCGGGGAGGTGGCTGAGGCCCAGCGAAAATTCGAGCGCGGCGCCGGCGGGCCATCACTGTTGGAGGACCCAGTGCACCCTCCGCAGCTGCTGGCCCGGGTGCTAAGCCTCTCACTGCCCAGGGCCGGCGGCGCCAGCCGACCGCTCAAGAGTGCGGGGCGCGCCGAGCCCGCGCCCACCCGGAAGTCGCGCTGAGCCCGCGCCCACCCGGAAGTCGCGCTGGACCTGCGAGCACCGCAGGCAGCCCAGGTTCCGGCCCGCGCCTCTCCCTCCACACCTCCCCGCCAGCAGAGGGAGCCCGCTCAGGCCTCAGCCAGCACAGAGAGGGGCTCCCACGGTGCAGCTGCGGGCTGAAGGGCTCCTCAAGCGCGGCCAGAGTGGGCTGAGGCCGAGGAGGCGCCGAGAGCCAGCGAGGGATGCCAGCAAGCTGTCACCTCTCAGAAATACAGGAAGAACATCAATAATGTTCGAAGTTATAAAGTAGTAGGTTTCTATCAAGAGTAAAACATAAACGAAGTTATAAAGTAGTAGGTTTCTATCAAGAATAAAACATAAACGATCAAAGAATTCCTTATAAAAACATTTTTTATTTCTAGGAATCAAAACATAAATATAAAATTTGAGAGTCCACCAAAAAAAATTAGATGCCAGATTTCACTATAATTATCAGGGAAGCGCCCAAATGGGTTGTTTACGGCGCCTCGGGGAAACTTTCTGTTTCGTGTTAAGGGTCTTGAACCATGATGTTTAGAAAACCATGGGCTGATGCTTTCAGAACCTCTGTGATTTTTGCCTCCGACACTGCATCCAATAGACTAGCATGTTGATTAGGGAAAGCTAAATTCAATAAAAGACGACTGTAAGTGGGGTCACCACCTTGAGGGGTCATGTTAGAAAAGTAGATGATAAGGTGGTATTGATAGAGTATTGAAGTCTGGGCTCAAATGGTTGCCCGGGGCCTTTCAAGACCAATGACTGATAAGAATAGGTAATGTTCAGGACATAGAGTTTAGGATTGGGGGACACTGTGAGTTAAGGGCCATGACAGAAGTCTTCATAAGTAAACTGTTAATTGACACAAGCTGCTACCTGCCCAGGTGAGCAATCTGTTGGCCCAGAGGAGAGTTGCTTACTGACATAAATTGATTTGCAGAAATTTCCTGAAGCAAACAATAAGTTATTTATTGGTTTGCAGCCTTACTTTCCTGAAAAATGAATTGTGAAATCATGTTGACACAGATGGCCTCAGGTTTCAGTTCGGATAATTAAGCTGTGTAAATATAGAAAGTCGAAGGTTTCTGGGTGCTGTTGATTCACAGTATGCAACAATGATCATATTACTTTTATTTACTATGAGCTTCAGCTGAAAATCCAAAAGAAACTTTAATTTCAGATATTTAATGAAATCATTATAGCTGTGGTAATTTCCTTTAGCTGGGTGTGAGTGTGTGATGTGAGCGTGTGGTGTGTGTGTGTGTGTGTGTGTGTGTGTGTGTGTGTACTCTGGCAGCATATTCCAAATAATTTCTGTAAAATTTCAGTTTGAAATTAATAGAAGACATATTAAATTGTTTAAACTCTTTGTTATTTAAATTCTATATTACTTTAGTCGATTACTCTGTATTATTACGGCAAAGCTTTGATATGTTGCCCTGAATTTAAAGAAAAGGCTGTTCGGCCTAAAAACAGGAATATTTTATTACCAAAAAGAATTAACTACCATATGTCATTTACAGAAAAGAGTAAATTCTTCAGGGCATAGAAAATACACATTTCCTTCTGTTTGTGTGGAAATAAGCAAAATACCTGTTATAATAGATTCCTCACAGAATTTTGTGAAGCTTCAGGTAAACTTGAAAGAGAAAAATTAAAATGCTAGAGTTTCATAATTACAAATTGGGATATAAAAATAGAATAATTATTTGAATTTTGTATTTCTCTCCAGGGGATCAAAAGTAATATATAAACTTTTAATAAATATTGATATAGCTTCACGTTGACTCCATATGTGAGCAATTTGCTTTCTGTTAAATTCACAATTGCATAATTTTTTTCAGGCTGGAATGCACTTGGATGCCAGAGATTTTGATTTCTTCATGTGAAATAAGGTGATAATACATTCCAAAGTATATATTTTTTCAACTTTGAATATATCTGGTGTATTTGGAGTAATATCTGAGTAAATACACTTATATGTAAGAGAATCAAAGGAACAAGATATTATTTTATATCCAAGGAAATTAACACTTAGAACATAAATACGTATTGCATTACTTCATATTAAAGAAATGTTTTACAAAAGAAAATAAAGGAGCTTATTTTATAGCCCCATTTCCACAAATAATAGCAAAGGTACATACACATATCTAATGTTTTACACACTCATTATTGTTTCTCTTAAAATTTGTTGCTTATACTATTTTAAAAGGCAAGCCTATAGATTGTTGTGTGTATATACATATACACACAACATACATATATGTGTGTGTGTGTGTGTGTGTGTGTATATATATATATATATATATATATATATATATCAGCAAGCAAGAGAATGGGCCTCTTCCTGCTGAGGTTTAACATTTGCATGTATATGTATATTTTGATTCACATAGACTTATTGTTCTTTAATTACATGAACAGTGATTCCTGGTTACATTATTGGAAAATGGAAGCAATGCTCAAAGAGCATCACCTAAATTTCCATCATATTTTGCTCTCAATATATTTTGTACATCCAAATATATTGTGATTAATCTGCATACATTTTTGCTGTTCTAGGTGACGCTGGTATGAGGCTAGGTAATACACGACCTTAGTCTGCATGTTGTACTTGTGTAACACACATAATTTTACAGTGCTAACAGGTGCTATAATAACTAACTATAGTTAATGATGAATGAAAGAAGGAAGATGTTAAGATGTTAGGGAAGGACTCAAAAGATGCAGTGCTTGAGTTAGAATTTTAAGGGAGATTATGCAAAAGCAGTCACTTAAGGTGGGTCGGGATGATCTAGAATGTGGGAATGATGTATGCAAAGTCACACAGGAGAGATACAGCATGCATGTTTAGAAAATTGTTGATTACATATGGAAAGTTTGCAGGACTTGCATCCTAGAATGTCAGGATTTTAAGCTAAGTAGGGTTCAAATTAAATTTTTCACATACTTCGCTGCATTATAATAACTAGTTTATGTTTAACTCATCCACTAAACTAAGTTATTTGAAAAGAGATGCCAGTGTTCACTCAATCTAGTTGTCTGTCATTAATAATTTAAAAATAATTGAGATTTTAATTTTGGTCTGCTAAGCCTGTTTAATTAAAATTTGACGTTAAATAAGATTTTACAGGCCTCATTTTTTTTTCAGTCATCACAGTTTGAATATTAAACATTACTACTTTTATCTCCCTCAGTCAGCATAAAACATACTACTTATGGTTTTAATAACCAAATTCAATGAGCACCAACAAAATTTGATGTAACTATTAACTTTGAAATTTTGTTGAAATAGAACTATGCCTTGGGTATCATTCAAAGCATTTAATTGTTGCAATAAAAAACTTTGAGATAAATTGAAATGATGGACAATATGGGTCGAAAGCAACACTGGCTTGAGGGAATAGGCTAATGTTTGAGAACAGAATTGTTAAGGACAAGATTGGATGTTTATATTATTTTAGGAAAGATACACTCTAATGGAGTTTAATTCTAAAATGTTTAATATTATGAAAATATTATATGTTATATGATCATTATAGAAAATTAAAAATATAAGAACATCAGAAGCAAAATAGTCAAAGTCTACCTAAACCCAATTAGAAGTGAATACTATTAATCTTGATTTGCATGTTTCTAATCTTATTATTATCAAATTAATAAACAGCTTTCAGATATTCTGCTTCTCCCTGTTACTAGATCAGGATAATGTCATTTATGTACAGGCATCTCCTGCTTACTCAGTTCAGCATTGATCAATAAATATTTTAGACTTCCATTCAAAACACTTCCATTTTTCTTTTGCCCATATTCTTTTTATTCAGTGCTGCCTGTTTTCAAATACACAACACTTTGTCAAACAAATTCCAACATTAGATTGGATATAGTTGGTATCAAAGTAGTAATACACATTGCCATTCCTAATCCTCAGTGCATTGATCCTGAAAATTATTTGTAAGAATAGAAAAATACTGGATATTTCAAATTAAGTCTCATTTTGTTGCTTACCCATGAAAGACTGGAATTAACCAACATAACCATTACAAGGTGATTGAGCAAATGAATAGATGGAAAATATTATAGAAACTTTACTGCAGTTCATCAACCATTGTGGTCATTAGGCCGTAGGAAAATACAGTGTGACAGTACCCCTGTCTTCTTTTCCATTTGTTAAGTCTCATATCCAAGTAACAGTGGGTAGACCTTATGAGAACCCAAAGTGAGATAAAAATAATTTTTGGCTTTTCAATGTATCTTATTTGATCTAAGAGGTATTTCCCCGACTTTGATGCAATAATTCTTGTCACAAAATTTGACTTTACTGAAGACCGTTTTAAGGATCTTTGCAGCTGACAGCAGTGACTTTTTTACCTCCTACAAAGTTTCAACTGACAGTCTTATTGTCTCTGACTTTCCCAAATTAATGACATAATTAGTCACCAGGGCTTTGGCTGCTCAATAGGGATTTAGTAAGCAATGAGTCATATGTTGGGGAACACTTCAACAAACAAAATGTTGGCAGAGAAAGATGTATGAATCAGCTAGGAAGAAACACTATTCTATCACTGAGGATCTTTCTAATATTAGATATCACAGAAAAATTTTCATATAGATTACCATACGAGTGAGCCAAAACCTCTAGGAACAAAAAAGCTTAGTATAATTATAACTCCTTGCCATGATTTAACTTAAAATTTCTTTACTTATTTAGCAATTCTATAAACAAGAATCATTTCTGTTAAGGATACTAAGGAGAGTGTTCCTATTGAATCAGAACATTTAAAACAAATAATTGAGGGAACTCACACATGTAAAACGTCATTAACCAAACTAAAATAAAATGTGAGGGCATAAACTTAACCAGAAATGTTTAAAACCTATATATAAAAAAAACTAGAAAACACTTCTGAATGGCACAAATTTGGACTTGAGCACGGGGAAAGAAATTCCATGCTCTTGAAAAAGCCTTAAAATCATAAATGTGCCAGTTCTTTAAATAAACTTATATCTTCTGTGTCATAACAAAACGACATTTTCTAGAATTTCTTTTTCCAGATTTAGAAAAATAGACAAATTTACTTGGAGGAATAAAGAAGCAAGAATAGCTAGAAATATCCTATAAAATCAATGGAATTTGGAGTCAATACAAAATATTAAGCAATTCTTAAAGCTTCTATGATTAAAATGAGTTATAACTACAGATAGATGAAGATCATATAGAAAATCAAGACATTGACAGATATGGAAAGGTGGTATATAATGAAAACATTTCAGATCAATGAGGGGGAAATGTTAACCGGAAAAGAATATTAAAAAGGCAATGAACTCAATAAGACAACAAGAAGCAAACCACAGAAAAATAACTGGACTGGATTAGAAAGAAAATATCTTAGACACTTCAAAAATAAAATATTCAAATAACCAATGAACTTATTAAAAGGTTTTTATTTATATTGGTTACCTGAAAAAATAATTCAAACCACAATGAGATGTAAGTACTTGTCATTCAGAATCCTGAATTTGAAAGGAATATTTTAGAATTCTAAGTTGAAGAGAAAGTGCAAAGTATTGATGAGAATGTTGACTAATTAGAACACTCAAATTGATGTTATTGGCATAACTTAGTTCAAATAATTTGGATAAAGATATGTATTAGGCCCCAAAATTCTACTTGTAAAGATGGTTTCTCCAGAAATGCATGCATATATATAGCTAAAAAAAAATGTGTACTCATGAAAACACTTTTCAGAATAACACCAAAATAACCCCAAACTGTGGCCCAAAAGTGGACTAAAATACTTATAAAGAGTACAGTAAACAAATAAGTTGTAATATGATCACCTAATAAAATATTAGAGAAATAAATATAAATAGTTTCATTTGCAGGTCATATAGTCAATTCGTCTCACAAATATAATATTAAGCAAAAAAATGTGGTTCAAAACACTACACACACTATTTGATTCCTTACTGGTAAAAGTTAGAATAGTGTTATGTTAGGAGGGATGGGTGGAAATCAGGTGTGTGACTATTACATTTTCTTATTCTGGATGATCATAGTATTTTAAAACTCACTAAGCTTTAAACTTATGTGCATTTACCCATGTGTATACAATACTTTAATAGAAGCTTCAAATCAATGAGAAAACATGAAACTGTCTGATGGAAAAATAGCTTGAGGAAATGAACAGGTATGGCAGAAAAGAAGGGCTGCATATAGTTTAAAAACTTGAAGAGATGTTTAATCTCTTTGCAAATAGAAAAACATACGCATTTAAATTGAAATACCATTTTCATGTTCCAAAATTAAAATTATTAGAAATATGATGGTAAACAGTGATGGTAATATGGGAGAAAGGAAACATCCTAGGCAATTTGGCTAAGCTTTTCTGAGAAAGATTTAGGCAATATGCCATTAAAAGATTTAATGTGAACAAATGGGAAATTTGCCCACATAAATAAATGGAAAGATACTCTATTTTTCCTAATTTAATCTGAAAATACCTAAGCCCCTGATATTTTTCTAAAAACTGGAATGTCCCTGTGGTCATTGGGTTTTAGAGACATAATTTTCACTGCGATGGTCATAATTTTAAAAGGTTGCATCATCCATTTTTAGTTAACATATATTGTACTAACATCACATATCTATGTAACAGAAAAATAGAGTCAACTCATGTAGGGACAGACATGAAAATGACAAATACATATAGAGATAGAAAGGTATCTTGTGCATTATACTGAGAAAGACAATAGAAATAAACAATTTACATGGGTTGATTTATTTTGATTAAGATATATAAGTGGTTAGATAAATGTTAAATAGGTCAGTATGTAATTACAGAAAATGACAAATTGTTATGTATGGTACATTTGTAGGCATAACACAGACATTACATTTTGGAAAATTGTGTTCTATGCAACAGTGCCAAGTCTAATGAAAGTAAGAGGAAGAGGAATTCAGCCAAAGTACCAACCCCTGTTATCCATTCCTTAAGAAAGGAACTTCTTTATACACTCAAAAGAGGGGATTCTTTTTAAATTTGTTTCCAGAGGGGCATCTGCATACACATACACATACACATACACACACACACACACACACACACACACACACATTTACATTATATTTAAATGTGTGTGCATGATATATATATATACATGTATTTATTTATTTAATATATATGTGTTATCTGGGTCCTATATAGGAACACACACACACACACATTTTGAATCAAACACTCTTTCGTATAATTTTGGTGACAAACGTATGCAATAAATGAGAATACTTTAACTTTCCAAAAAGCTATTCAAAAGTATAATTTTCAAATAAAATATATGTTTGTATGACAACAAATGATTTTTTATAAATAATATATTCTGCATTATCAATCTGCCACTGGTTTTTATTAAATAAAAAAACCTGTAAGTTTGTATGCTCTTAAAATACATATAACATTTGTAAGAATAGTTTTTGTGTAAAAATAATTATAGTTCACTATAACTATGTTAAAAATAGACATAGCCAGGCAAGTCGCTCATGCCTGTAACCCAGCACTTTGGTAGGCTGAGGCGGGCAGATCACTTGAGGCCAGGAGTTCAAGACCAGTCTGGCCAACATAGCGAAACCCCATCTCTAATAAAAATACAAAAATTAGCCGGGCATGGTGGCCCATACCTTGTAATGCCAGCTACTCAGGAAGCTGTGGCAGGAAGATTGCTGGAACCCGAGAGGCGGAGTCTGCAGTGAGACAAGATCATGCCACTGCACTCCAACCTGGGTAACAGAGTGAGACTCTGTCTCAAAAAAAAAAAAAAAAAAAAGAAAAGAAAAGAAAAGAGAAAAATAGACACAGATGAAGGGTGTCTTTGATTATGCAAATAGATTACCCATCTTGTACTCACTGTGTTTATTTCAATAAATGATCCACAGAATATGCTACTTTTGATTTATAGTTTTCTTCTCCTTCACCGCTGTGGACTGGGAAAATATTTCTTATTATTTCTGCTGCAGAGTAGCAAAAAATTATGAGCCAGAAGGAAGACCACTACAACAAGCAAAATCTCTGAGTAATCATAAAATGAAGAACTATTTCCTGTTGGGATTCACTGTGATGAATTTGATTTTAAATTCTTGATGTTGGCATTTTATTTTTAAAACTTAGCTTTCTTGCCTATTCTGAAATTGTCAAAAATTCAGAAAAACAATCATGATCATTTGCTTGCTGACCAGTGGAGACCTACTGATTTTTAGGCTGTGAGACTACAGTAATAAATAAATAAAAAAGTTCATACTTCCTTCTATCGAGGGAAATTGAGCATTTTTCTCATAGTCCTAAATCACCAGATCAAGGGATATATGTAATACTTGAGTGTTGACATTTTATTAATTTTTATATTTAACTAGAGCTGTAAAGTTGAAACAAATGGGTCAATGCAGTAGCCCATAAAATATTTTAAAAACACATAAAAGAAATATCACTAAAATTTAAACATAAAAAAAATACAAAAAAACCCTGAGCTATAGGAAGGGAAGTATCCTCTAAATGCCCAAGTTGAAGGTAGTCCTCTTAGAAAGGGACAGTAAGAAGCAGTGTTTGATGGGAACGTGATTTTTCAAGTATTTGAATTTTCAAACTCACCACATTAACTGAGTAAAATGAAAAAAATATATAAACTTCCTCTGAGGCAGAAAAAACATTTGGCATTTTCAAGATAGAATTATAATAAAAATATCTCGCCCCAATAGAATACAAAGAAGCATCCTTAAGCAAATAGAAGGCATCTACGGAAATATCACACTGAAGTTTGAACTAATAAATTATTCATTTAAGATCCAGAAGAAGACAAAGTGTCCTCTTTCACTATTGTTCTCTCTACTGTATGGGAGGAATTAACCAGTGAGACAAATCAAATAAATAAGTAAAACATACACAGTTAAGAAATGAAAAATACAATTCTAAATTTTTAAACAACTCCATTACCTACACATAAACTTCTAGTGACTGTAAAAATCAGCTGCTGGAATAAACTAGTAATTTTAGCCACATCATAGAAAAAATAAGTCAACCCATTAACTTATTTCTATATATTTCCAATGAGCAATTAATGATAAAAATCAAATCCATGTAAAATACTAATAAAAATAAAATATGTATATATGATTTTAACAAATTACATGCAAGATCTCTCTAAATAGGAAACTAGCAAAAGTGTTGGGAGATGTAGGAAAGTTCTAAATAAATGGAGTCGCATACAATAATTGATGGTTTTGATGTGTGTCCCTGCCCAAATCTGGTATGATGTAATCTCCAATGTTAGAGGTGAGGCCTGATGGGAGGTGATTGGATCATGGGGTGGATTTCTCATGAGTGGTTCAGCATCATCCCTCTTGATACTGTTCTCATAATAGTGAGTGAGTGAGTTCTCATGAGATCTGGTCATTTAAAAGTGTGTAGCAGCTTCCCCTTTCACTCTCTTGCTGTTCTGGCCATGTGACGTGCCTGTCCCCCTTTGCTTTCTGCCATGATTGTGCGTTTCCTGAGTCTTCCCAGAAGCTAAGTAGATGCCAGCATCATCCTTCCTGTATAGCCTGCAGAACAGTGGGGCAATTAAACCTCTTTTCTTCATAAATTGTTGAATCTTCTGTATTTCTCTATAGCAATGCCGGAACAAACTAATACAATAATCATGGCTTGAAAGTTCAGTGAATTTTAGTGTGTAAAAGGTTTTGGTTTTTCCAAATTAATCATTCTAGAAATCCTCACCATAATCACAAAAGATATTTTTATATAAATTGACACACTGATTTAAAAATGTACATCAAGAGAGCAAAAACAAATGATAGAAAGCTGAAAAAAAAGTTGGAATACTCACACTTCCTAACACCATGCAATAACTTAAAGCTATAGTCATCGAGAGAATGTGTTATTAGTATATGGATAAACAATTAGAGTAATGGAATGGAATAGAGTTCACAAATAGATCCATGCTTATATGAATAATATAATATCAAAGATACTGCAGTTATTCAAAGGGGAAAGATAATTTTATTTAACAAAGTGTGCAGAACTACGAGATAAATGTGAAGAAAACAAACCTCAAGTCCTTCCTCACAACAAAAGCGTGAATGAGTTCAAAATTAAAGGAGTCCAAAATATATTATGGAACAATGTGTAAAAGTGAAAGCATAGGCTTCAAATATAAAGCACAGAAAATGTCTTAGTAAACTACATGAAAGCACTTCTTTTTATCCAAACTGTGGATACATTTCTTTTTATTCAGAAAGCAATAATTATATAATGATAAACTACAGAAATGTGTAAATATATTTATACTTTAATGTTTATTTTTAATTACACAATTATATATACTATTTATTATGAATAAGAGCAAGAATATATAAATATAATGTACAACATAGAAACAAGAGAGCTATAAAAACTAACAGATGCTACACAAAAATGATATAATAGCAAATAAGCAAATGAAAAATTTCTTAATATCGTTAGTAATAAAAAATAAAATGAGATAATTATACACATCTACTAGAAAAGCTACTATTTTAAAAATTGTGTTACCAATATTTGGCATAGATGTCAAGAAACCAGACTCTAGAGTTTGCATACATTGACGGTGGGAGTGTAACACAGTACAGCTACTTTGGATAACTAAATCTACCTTACATGTACCAATTCTACCCCTAGGCATTTATCCTAGGGGGGAGAAAAGCATAAGTCTGTAAAAAGGCTTGCACAAGTACCTTTATTCATTATTGTCAAAAACAGACACCATGCAACTGTCCACCAAGAGCGGCGTTCTCAAGTTCAGCACTATTAGCTGTTGAAGTGGCTTAATTCTTTGTTGTGGGGAGCTATCCTTTGTGGAACCCTGGCCTGTGGACACTCTATCCCCTCCTCCACAAACCTCTGATAACCAGAAGTGTCCCCAAACATTGGAAATGTCCCCTGGCAGGTAAAATGTCCCTCATTTGAGAACCTCTGGTCAAGAGTTTAGTAAATAAATTATAGTGGTATGTCTATGAAATGAAATAATATGTAACAATAAAAAAGTGCTACTTCAACATGCAAGAAATTGTTGAATCTCAAAAATATTATGCTTAAGGAAAAAAGACAAAAAGAATTCATACTCTATAATTCTACTGATATATAATTGTAGAAAATAAAAGCTAATATATGGTAATAAAACCAGATTAGTACTGGATTGACAATGTGTTGAAAGTCAAAAGAAGAGGCTTGAGATCTCTTTCTAGTGTGATAGTTTTACAAGTATATACGTATGTTAATGTTTAAAAATTTCACACCTCAAAAATGTGCAGTATACCAGATGTTAATTATATCTCATAAAGCTATTAAAATTTTATCTCAAAATTATAGCTTTATTGCATTTAGGGCATTATCCAATTTTGAATCTAATCCAGTTATCATAGCTTAATGCAGTATTATGAAAATAATGCCTATAAAGGTCCAGTTCCTCAAACACCCTTGGAACCAATTTTGTCATCTATATTAGTTACCTTGGGCTGCTATAATGAAGTACCACAAGCTGTGTGTCTTTAAGCAACAGAAATTTCTTCCCTCACAGTTGCGGAGGTCAGAGGTCAGAAAACAAGGTGTCTGCAGGACCAACCTCTCCTCTGGATGCTCTAGGTGAGAATCTTTTCCATGCCTTTCTCTTAGCTTCTGATGTTGCCATCAGAACTTCAGATGGTGTTCCTTGGCTTCTGTCAATATTAATACATAAATCCTTTTCAGTCTCAGCTTCTCTCTTCACATGGTCCTCTCCACATCCTATCTGTTTCTGTTCCCTCTTCTTATAAAGACAGCCCATGTTATTTTAAGTCCCACCTACAGACATAATTTTAGCTTGATTACATCTGCAAAAACTTTGTGTCCAAATAAGGTTTCATTTACCTTATGTGTATAACTAGGGGTTAGGGCTTGAACATACGGGTTTGGGGAGGGGAACACAGTTCAGACCATGACACTCATTGTTTCACTCATTAATGAGTTAAGGGTGCTTTGATATTATTACATTTGAATGAGAGTGGTCTTTAAAATTACATTTTGTCGTGTAGTTTGTTCCACCCTGATGCTTAAAGGGAGTCACCTGCCTCAGCCAATTAAACTGTGTTGTCTCTGCAGTGCGTTTTATCACAAGAACATGACCTTTAAGCACAAGAACACCTTGTACTCCACCACTAAAAACAGAAATGACATCTACCTTCACTGCTTCCCTATTTCTCTCCATCTTTACTGACTTGGTATTTTGTTGTTGCTGTCATTTCTGGTTGTTGGTCAATTTTCATTTCTGTTCTTATTTTGCTGATAATTCTTATAAATCAGTGCTGAATTTTGTCAAATTATTTTTCTGCATCTCTACAGATGATCATTTTATGTTTTTGTCCCTGTGATAATTTAATGAATGTCATTGATCAATTTTTAAATAATGAATATCTTTGCATTTAAGATAATATTTTTCACTATTAATGTTATCTCTGAAATGAAAGCTAAACCTAGTCAATAGATATTAGAGGTGCATGATTTTTAAAATTGTATAAAATTAGATAAAAAATACAAAGAAATATATATAATTTTAAAACTATGTAAAAATGTAAATGCCAAATGATAGAGCACTAAATGAAGCTTGTAATATTAAATACAACCTTTAGAAACTCTTTTGCAGTGCAGGAAAAAAATAGAACTGAAAACAAAGCAGAAGAAATCACAGATATAAAATTAAAGAGGATAGAATTAAGCACCTGAGTTCCCACATCTAAAGTGAAAATCTAAGAATTTAAATATCATTCAAATACAGACTAAAATACAATATAAAATAAAATTTCCTGAGCTAATTTTTAAAATACTGCTTAATTTGTAGGTAAAAATGCAGACTAATTTTCTGACTATATTACTATAAAAACCTTCTACAAATATTTTTTAACTAAAATTATAAGAAAAACATCCGCCATAAACACGTAAGATTAGTATTTTCGTTTCTGAAGTATAAAATGTCTGGATAGACTTGAGCTTGTTGCTTTAGTTTTATATGTGAAGACTGGAAAAATTCTGTTTTGTTTTGAAAAATATTTTGAGCTAAAAATGTTGTATTCCACATTTGTTAGGAATGGAAGTCTTTAAAATATGAAATATTTCCAATTGAAGAAAAATAGTGAAAATGAACTTTATCTGAATAAGATTAATGAAAATTACATGTTGAAAAAGTAAAATAGTTATGTGTACTAACAGTGACTACTAACCCAACAATATAAAATTAAGTAAAAATATTATTACCATGTTAAATACAAATTAAAATTAATTATAAAAAAGTTAAGATCTATGATTAAAGTATTAAAATAAAATGAGACTGTATTCACAAATCTAAAAGCAAATTGGTGAATGACATATTTTTTGAAATAATAAATTCTTTGGCATATTTTATATTTTTTATTATAAATGAAAATTATTTATTTGAAATATTTAAAGGAACAAAATATTTGCAGCTCTATTTTATTGAGAAAGGAATTACAAAACAAAAACAAGGAGCTTTTGTAATTACAAAAGAATATATTAATAATATTATTTAGAAGCACAAAACCAGAAAAGCTTTATATTATTTCTAACAATAAATGTAAACCATCTAATTTTCTGAAAAGGGGTGGAAATAAATATTTAACAAAGAAGATGTTATTCTTAAATTGTAATATGTACATTGCCTAAAAATAAAAAGGTAGTTGAAGATATATTGTGAACAACAAAAAATGAAGAGCTGATAATATTAATGTGCGAAGGAAACTCATAACATATTGTACTAATTATAAATCAGTGTATTGACAAAACCTGAGTCCTCAATTATTATTGACTGTCATTGACATGTTAATGATAGAATATTAAATATAGAATATAATAAAGCAATTTAGAATAAAAAAGAGAAAGCGATAGACATGAATAGAAACAAAATGCAACTGTTCAATATTAAAAGCCTTTCTAAATTGCTTGTGTTTTTCTAGTGACCTGTTTCGCTATGCAGTGTAGGCTCAGGTGTCTAGATTTTAGTTGCAGATAAACACAGGTAGTGTTTTCCAGATCTCAGAATGACCAGTTACATAAAAATAGGCCATAAACCATATATTTCATTCTTACGGTTGACAAACCTCTAATTCACCTGAAAATATTAAAAAGAAAGAAGACAGACGTGACAGTGGTTGGAAGTTGAGGATAAGAAGAAGTTGGCAGAAATAAGCTTTCTTCTTTTGGACAGCAATGCATGATAAAAAAAAATTAAACTAAAATCAGTTCATTTCCACTAACTGGGACTTATTTAGAAACTTTAAGAAAGTCTGAAGAATTTCAATTGAGGAGTAAATAAGGGCCAATTTATTTCATAGTGTGGACTCTCAAGACAATATACAACAGTGCTTCTCAAAGTTAAACAGTGTATGAGTGACCTGGAAATGAAGATGCAGATTTAATAGGGCTGGAGAGAAGTCTGAGATTCTCAATTTCTAATGAATTAAATTACAAAGAGGAGAAAATAAGGTTATTGCTTACTTTATATACATTCACAAACACAGGCTAATCAAATAATTGTTTAAAGTATTGCTCTGATAAGAATTAAATTACATAGTTCATAGGAAACATTTTCTTTACATTCGGATTTTATCTATTATTAGAATAATAATAGAATCTTGACTTTATGTAACTCTATGTTCCAAACAACTAGAAACTTTTCGATAGCAATTGTTCACCATTTAATAACATTTTTCCAAGATACCTAATGCACTCAAGGACAAAATAGCTGCCTTCCAGTGATTTCCAATTTATTCAATTTTCAGGCCATCTGTCTGCCCACACAATGACAGATTATAGTTACATTCTTGCCATGCTCTGAACAGCTAAGCCAATTGTTTTCAATCTTTTTTCTTCAGCAACTCCATCTCTTAAAGTACTTCAGAGTAGTTCCTGAAAGGATTCCTCTTTAGTTAAATGGCTATACAGCTCTCCCATCATCCAAAATAATCAGTGGAGAGATAGCAATATTTTTCATTACATTAGGCCAAGTTCCATTGCTTCCTTCATCTTGTAATCTGATCAGAAACACCACTATAGATTCAATAATTGAGTTTAGAGTTTCAGAGAATTTGGGGTCACAGAACATCTATGTCTATTTTGTAAAGATTATTGCATATTACTGAAATAGCTTGTCAAACACTGCAGTCTGCTTAAAGTATCAAAATAGAAATGTTGAATGCTGTGTCTGCACAGAGTTCATTTAAGCAAAGAATCTACTAGGCTCTTAAGTCTGTTAATGCAAATTCCTGAATACAGCTGACCCTCCATACCCCCATTGTGGGTGGATTTAACTAACCATGAATCAAACATATTTGTTAAAAGAAATACCAAGAATAATTTTTAAAAAGAAATACAACAATAAAACAATGCAAATAAAAAACAATCCTTATAACAATTATGTGCATAGCATTTATATTGTATTCAGTATTATTAATGTAAGTAATAATCTGGAAATGATAGAAAGTATACAAGAGGGTTGTGTAAGTTATATGCAAATACTAGGCCATTTTATATAAGAAACTTGAGCATCTCTGGCTTTTGCTATGAAGGGATGATGGTGGTAGGATTGGTGGTGGTCCTGGAACAAATCCCCAGCAGGTACCAAGGGGGACTGTAGACCCCAAAGCTGTTTAGGAATGGGTCACAGCAGCAGGACTGAGGCAGGAATGCTCCCCACAGAAAACATCAACCACCTGTTGATTTTTGAATCTGCTCCTCTCAGGCATGCCTTCAAATGCTATAACCTGGAGATTCAACTCATTTTCATGCTGCTAAGTAGGAATAGGTGATTCAATTCCCCAAGAAAGTGACAGAGGTCCCTGAAATATAGATTTAAAGTTACATAGTGTCAAATGCTAGTCATTTTCTTTTTGCTCGATGGTATCCTCTCAGAAAAACCTTTTATAATATTTCTAATTCATTTACCAGATTTATAGAATCATCAAATTGTCTATCCATGTGTTTTTCAAATATTTTGTGAAGTGTCTAGGGTAACAACCTAGTGTTCGAACGTATTTTGTGAAGTGGCTAGGGTAACAACGTAATGTTCGAACTTATGTTCGTATTTAAATACAAATGTATTTTGGTTGAGTGATTACTCAAGGTCACTGAGGAATCCACAAGGTTAACCTCCTGACTCTAGAACCATTGTTATATAGAGATATATAAATAGCTGATTTAATATTATAGGCTTAGCAAAATATTTAATAAATAAGGTCTTAGTAAAACAACACACATGTATTTATCCACTTATTTAATTTTGTTTTTCCATTTCTTCTGAACATAAGTTCCTGAGGACACGGGCCTTTTTTCACAGTTCATTTTTGGATTCCAACATCTAGCCAGTACTCTGCAAAGAGCACTGAATTTGAAAGAAATTTCTCAGTTAATGATTTGAATCATATAAAATATTTAGTAAATTTGAAAACTAGTAACCGTGTAAAGCGATTAAAACAAACATACTAGAGGGTAATAATCCCCCGCCCCTTGCCTTCTTCCTTTACATCCACTTCATTCTTATTCTTGTCTACTTCCCCTGCCCCACCCAGGGAACGTGGTTAGCCCATCAGCTGCAAAGATTGTTCTCATATAATATTGTTCTGATGGATAATGAGACTCTGAAAGTGGAACATAAACAGATAAAACAAAAACAAACAGAAAAGAACCCAAAAACCTAAACTCAACTTCAGTTAAAGCAGAAAATATCTGTCCAGCCTAAACCAGGCATACTCCACAGACTTCTGTTAGACGCCTGATCCTACTTCAGTCTGGAACCACCTAGTCTTCAGGTTTGCCTGGTGCTCACCAGCTGAAGAAATCCTTTAACGACCTTTATTCAGTCAAGTAAATCGTTTTCTTTTGGCAACTTGCATGTTATTTTTTAGGTTTTCATTTATTTATTTTTTTATATTTAAAGTCATATTTTCTTCCTTTTATTCACTTTGCTGGTCTTTCTCACTTTGATTTTTTTTTTTTTGCCTTGTTTTGCATTTGTTTACTTTAACATTTTTTGTAACTTATCTCTTTTATTTTGGAAATTATTCACATTATCAGTTTTCTTTTGCTAGGCAATTTTGATATTCTAATAAACATTATTAACATAAAATATAAAGTTTACTAACACCAAGCCCAAACAATACAAAGTCTTAGGGCTCTTTAATTGCAATTATTTAAAAATATTTGCTACAAATTGTTCATTATTTTATATTCATGTTGTTTTTCTTATTCCCACAAATCACATATTGTTGGTGTGTTTGTTAAATAAAATTGTGACTGCTTATATATGTTTTTTCACATCCTTTCTTCTTCTAATATTTTGGAATTTACATCCAGTTAATTATCCTTTATTCTATGGTACATACTGTAAAAGTTACTATTCTTGGTAGTAAACTCTCAGTTTTTGGATTGTCTGAAGATGTCTCTATTTTGATCTGCTCTTGAATTCTAAATCTAATTGACATAAAATTCTAGATTTGCCGTTATCATTTATTAGCACTTCAAAGATATTCCACAATTTTCTGACTTTCAATATTTTTGTTGGTAAAAATGGTGATTGTTAATTGGCTTGCATATTCTGTTTTGGATATTCCACTGTTTCCTTATAATTTGTTTATTTATAAGGAAACTTATAAACAAATTATAAGGAAACAATAGAATATCCAAAATAAAGAGAATAGTTATGGGTTCGTTTAGATAATTCTTCAGAATCTACTAATTTGTGTCTTTCTTCTTTACTTCTGTAAACTTTTCAGCTACTATATATTAGAATATTTCTTAACTTTTTTATATTCATTCTGAAATTTCTTGCTGAAATTTGTTCAGAAGGTGAGTTAACGGAGCTATACATCTTTAGTGTCATGTGCTCTAAATTGCAAAATACATGTATTTTTATTTCAGACAACTTGAGTAACATTTGTGCAAATGTTTTATATACACGGACTTAATTTGGTAAATTTAGGCATGTGGTAGACAAATTTAAAAATGTATAAAAATCATGGGCAAGCATATGAACATTCTATTTTTGCTACTATAAAAAAATAGCAGACTATCCAACTATTTTATGATACTCAACGATACATCTTACTAAATGGTCACGACTCTTGCCTCTCAGGGTCAGAGTTTGCAATAGTGAAAGCAAGAGAAAGCCACGGAAAAAAAAACAGGGAGAGGGAAAATATTAAGCTCTAGAATATGTACATTGTTTTGCTTGTATAAATTTAGAACATTCAACACATGTTTACAATGAATACATATAAAATACCAATGACATGAGGAGAATTAGAATAGAAATAAATACAAGGATTCTTTCATGATAACTAAAAATATCAGTGAAGGTTTGTACATAAAATTTAGGGATTTTATATTATTACCTAATACAATTCTGGCTATAACATCACTAAAGGATTGTAAACGTCTGCTGGGAAACCTATGGGAAAAAAATGCAAGTGGAACTGGTGTCATACAAACACATTTTCTAATGGGAAGCTTAACTGGTGAAATGTAAGTTGGAAACATTACTCAATTTAGGTCTATGAAAATGTTTTCCCAAATACAATCTTTTCTTGTTTGATAGGAGGTTTTACTGTGATGTATTATTTCTGACAGCCTCTTTTTTTTTTTTTTTAAAGGAAACGAGTAGAATTAAGTGAATTGATTATCATATCTAACCTGTAAGTACAAATTACTTTCCCTTGGAATTACATAATTGATAATTGTACATCCTCAGATGTGTTTGAATCTGAGATTTACTCTAAACTCAGAGGAAAAAAAGTGAAATTTTGTTTCCATTGTGACACCTTTGTTTCCTTTTTAAGTTTTCAAAATTTCTTAAAAATTATTTTTCCCTTTCATAATTTATTCAACAAGTATCTATTGTTAGGTGTTGGGAACACAAGACCTAAAACTCCTGACAAATATATTCTATTTCTGAGGTCAATTTGTACATTAATAAATGCATATATAATACCAGACAAGATTGTAATGCTAACCAGTTTGACTTTGAGGCACGGTATTCAGAATGTAAATGCCCCTGGAAAAAACATTGAATATAAATGCCCCTGGAGAAAGAATGTAGTTGGAAAAAACATTCTGAGGTAAAATTATGCAATATTGGTATGACTAATTAGAGTGACCAGAGGTTCACACATTTTTGTGACATGCCATTGGTAGAAAAAGAGCCATAGCTGAAAAAATATGGCAGTCATAAGATGTCAGTGGAAATGAAGACAAGGATACCTTTTGGTCAATTTTCTTGAAAATATTGGCTTTTTCAACAGTGTAGTTTATTTAAAATTTAGTCCCAGTTCTTAGCAATTATTTATATACTGATGGACTTATATCCAGGGTCTTCTTGAATTAAAAAAAGTCAAAAAATAATTTTATAAATTTAAAATATTATAAAATTATGATATATACAATTCTTGCTCTCTCTGTCATATTTTTCCAATTTTTTGTCTGTCTTGTTTTTTCTTGCCTTTTCTTCCCTGTCCTTTCCCTTTCATTTCTTTTCTTTTTGTTTCCTTTGTCTGGCCTTGCTTTGAGTTTCTTTTCCAAACGAATTCACTGGAGGTGGTATTTTTATGCATAATATACACAGCAAATGTCTAGGGCCTCTCATTTTTTACAAATCTTTGTAAGAAAAGGCTATCTATTAACCCAATGACATTGTCATAACCTTTTCTAAATTTCAATGATATTCAGTTTCTCGCAGCTATTACATTACAAAGTATACCTCAGTAAAAATCTAGTAAGTCATAGGGCTGATGTTGCTGATTGCTCACTTGCTCAAGCCAGAAGCTTAGAATACATGCTTGATTCTTCACTTTCCTGTGGGTTTATGCCAAATCAATTTCAAATCTATAGATCTTATCCTCTAAATAACATACAGCATGCCTACTTTTTTCTCTCTCTCGACTACTGTCACATTAATTCAAAAGAAAAAGACTGATGATTCCTAACTTCCTGGCTTCAGTAATTGGCAACGATGACATCACTACTAAGGCTTCACTTCTCACCTCTGCTTCCATATGAGTGTAATGTTATTTTCTCCTATGACAGATAAGTTTATTTTTCACCATTAAAAGGTAAGAAACTCACTCATAACCAAAGTTGGAGGAGACAGTTATTTTTTTTCCCCAGCTTGCCTGTTAAAACCATAAGGAATGATTAATCTGCCATGGTGCTTGATGTGGCCCAGGGATGTGCTCAGACTCAGTCATGTAGGGGCAGGTGGTATTAACATTAGTTCAAACATGGAACCATGGCATGTGTTAGAAATAATGGCTTATATTAGAAACTGGACATAAAATTGTCGTGAGCAAGAAAGTTACCTCAATTTGAGTCTACTAGAAGTTTCAGAGTGCCATTTCACATGGCCACAAAGTTCAAAAGTTCCAAAAGAAGCAAAAGTTTGACCAAGAAATCAGTGATTTTTTAAAAAAGAGAAATTGAGCTCAATCATGTTTTTTATATCTTCTACTGTACTAAAAGTTTTTTTCTCAATAATTGACTAAAAGTTCATTAACTACTGCACAGACTTCAATATTTAGAAATGTAATACGGGCTTGCTAACTAAAAGTGAAGTTATTTTATTGTCGGAACTAGCTATTGTTAGAAAGACTCATTTGCTTTTTATAATACAATTTTACATATGATTTATAGATTGACAGATTATAACAATTTATAGATTATTACCTCATTAATTTATTGAATAACCTGACTAAATTACTTAGTCACTGAATTAAATACAACCCAGCCTTAATACTTTGGGTCAAGGAACATTGACCAAATATGTATTTATGCCACAGATTCCTTGAAATTTCTTACCAAAGTAAATTGTTTCATGAAAAATACAGAAATAAATTGGTAACTAAATAAAACATGTTCTATATTTCAACTTGAAAAATTAAAGAAATTAATAATTCTTAAAATCAAAGCAATGATCATTTGTTTCCTAATTATTATTATTGTGAATGTACTTAAAATTTTTGCTATGCTTTTAAGAAAGATGTACTTCTATTAAAAATTATTAAAATAAACAGCAGAGAGACTGACTTTTCAAAATAGTTTATCTGGGAAGAGCAATGAACTGCAATTTGGGATATGTGTACCGTACTGAACCATAGGCACATTTGAAAAAGCTGGGGGAGCCGAAGCTTTTTTAAGGGTAAAAGGTGAAGTTCCCCATCAAACTACCGTTGGCATTCTTCACAGAATTAGAAAAACCTATTTGAAATTTCATATGGAATCAAAGAAGACCCCATATAGCCAAGACAATCCTAAGCATAAAGAACAAAACTGGAGGCATCACACTACCTGACTTCATTACTGCAGGGCCTCAGTAACCAAAACAGCATGGAACTGGTACCAAAACACACATATAGACCAATGAAGGTGAACATAGACCTCAGAAATACACCACACGTCTACAACCACCTGATCTTCAACAAACCTGACAAAAACAAGCAATGGGAAAGGATCTCATATTCAGTAATAATGTGGGAAATCTGGCTAGCCATATGCAGGAAACTGAAACTGGACCCCTTCCTTACACCTTATACAAAAATTAACTCAAGATGGATTAAAGACTTAAATGTAAAACCCCAAACCATAAAAACCCTAGAAGAAAACCTAGGCAACAACATTCAGGACATAGGCATGGTGGGCAAAGACTTCATGACAAAAATGCCAAAAGCAATTGCAACAAAAGCCAAAATTGACAATGGGATCTAATTAAACTAAAGAGCTTCTGCACAGCAAAAAAAAAAAAAAAAAAAAAAAAAACTATCATCAAAGTGAACAAGCAACCTACAGACTGGGAAAAAATTTTTGCAATCTACCCATCTGACAATGATCGAATATCCAGAATTTACAAGGGACTTAAACATGCTTACAAGAAAAAGACAAACAACGCTATCAAAAAGTGGGCAAAGGATATGAACAGACACGTCTCAAAAAAAGACATTTACGTGGCCAAAAAACATACAAAAGAAGCTCAACATCACTGATCACCAGAGAAATGCAAATCAAAACCACAATGAGATGCCATTTCACGCCAATTAGAATGGAGATTATTAAAAAGTCAGGAAACAATAAATACTGGAGAGGATGTGGAGAAATGGGAATGCTCTTACACTGTTGGTGGGAAAGTGAATTAATTCAACCATTGTGGAAGACAGTATGGGCATTCCTCAAGGATCTAGAACTAGAAATACCTTTTGACCCAGCAATCCCATTACTAGGTATATACCCAAAGGAATATAAATCATTCTACTGTAAGGGAACATACGTATATATATTTATTGCAGCACTATTTACAATAGCAAAGACATGGACCCAACCCAAATGCCCATCACTGATAGACTGGATAAAGAAAATGTGGTACACATACACCATGGAATACTACGCAGCTATAAAAAAGGAATGAGAGCATGTCCTTTGCAGAAACATGGATGAAACTGGAAGCCGTCATCCTCAGCAAACTAACACAGGAACAGAAAACCAAATACCGCATGTTCTTATTCGTAAGTGGGATTCGAACATTGAGAACAAATGGACACAGAGAAGGAAACAACACACGCTGGGGCCTGTTGGAGGTTGGGGGGTGAGGGGAGGGAACTTAGATGATAGGTTGAAAAGTGTAGCAAACCACCATGGCATACGTATACCTATGTAACAAACCTGCACGTTCTGCACATATATCACTTTTGTTTGTTTTTTGAAGAAGAAGAAGAAATAAAGAAAAAAAAAGGTGAAGTTCATGTAAATTATTTTAAAATAAACCTCTTTGGCCCCAGAAGCTTATTGCTTGGTATGGACAAATACTCATCGGTGATACTGGCTATTGCTGGGAAGATGTCTTCATAGAAGCGTCGTATCTAAAATTTTTGTAGTTTTCAGGGAGTCCTTGCAATAATTCTTTTAGAGACATCCATGCATGAAGGGCCTTCTTTTATACTCTCCCAGCTCCATTTTGTTGTGGTTTGACTTCAGTGAGTCAACTTCTTTGCTTGTAACTTTAACATTTCCCCCCTTTGACCAAGAATTTTTTCTGAAAGCATTGCTGATTAATCAGCCTATAGTTAGGTTTTGATTGTTTCTTGGTGCTGGAGTGGACCTTTCCTAGTCAGTCTGATCCTGCATCAGAGGTGAATGGCCAGCAACTAAGAGCAGATGTCAAAACCCTATTAGTCACATTTAAGAAACAAAGAGGTTCAGAAGGAGTGGCTCTCAGGATAAATCTGCCTGGAGTTCATTGCTAAGTTCAATTTTGTCAGTTCCATAGGCATTGACTACCATTTGGAAGTTCTGGACCAGTGTTACTCTGTTAGATGCATCATTTCTGCAGAGGTTGGACAGGAAACAGATAAAAAGTTTAAAAAGAATGATGCGGTACAAAATTAATAGTAACATGAAATATTGTCTATGAACATGGACCCAAAGGCAGCCAACTAATGAATCAAAAGTCTATGTGAGACTGAGTGAGATCTGTTGTAGCCATAAAGCCTGTCTTGCTATTTTATGCAATTAGGTCTTGACTTCCCCAGAGAAATATATTCAGGTACAGCATGTAGTTATTAGCAATGGCACAGACATTCTTGTTCAACCAGTAGATAATTGAGAGTTATCTCATCCTGTCCTGTTGTGTTATCTACGGCTACTCAGCAAGATACTTTAATGAGCACTGCTGGGCGGCAATAGCCTTTGCGGTGAAGCCTGCAACGAAACCCAAGGTGGCAAATAAATTAGGGATGTTGCCATAGTTACCCACTGGGTGGACTAAAGGATCCCTTAGGTCATGTAAAGATGTGGGTTTGACACGACAGATCCAAAACTTCATTCAGTTACGGAAGCTACTGAATGTGAAATTCTAACCACAGCGTTATTCTGCCAAGTGAAAAATGTAGGCATAAGCAAGAAAAAAAAAAATAAGAAGGATAAGAGTCCAGTTTTGTTACAATGTCTTGGGAAAAGCTTTCCACACTGTGATGTCATCAACTTCTTACTCTGGTTTGTAGTTTGAATGTTCCTGGGTATAGCATGGGGCATTTTAGTCAATTCTCTTTGTAGCCCACACAATAGCCATGAGATTTCTCTCTTGAAATTTACATGGAGTTTTCTGGCTCCAACTTGTAGGACTTTAGGAACAAGGCAGTTTATGTTCTTAGTTGGAGAATCATAGCCAGACGTTGGAGGAAATTAGAATAATTAAGTGCCCTGTCTAATTTAGAGATAGATGACAAAAACTTGAAAACAACAAAGAAAACTACAATCTACTAACAGGTGTACTGCAGTTTTTCTTCAGAAACATAATTTTTCTCTGTACAATCATCCCTATTTCTACTAAAGATAATCAGAGTAAGACTAATTTGTCTGCTGAATAAGTTTAGTCTCATTAAACTTGGCATGATTATTGACAACAGTATAGCAAGAAAAGGGATGAAACATGGGCTGTTTTTAAGTTTATTTTGATGGAACTTTTGATAAGAAATCTCAGATTAGACTTTTAAAAGCCTTTCAAGGGTCAGAAGTCAAAGGAGGGCGAACATCAGACTTTGGCTGCAGTATCTAAAAATCTGCATGAATTTCTCTCTTCTTGAGGTCTCCAATATATCTGGAGGTTCCTGGCCTGTCAAGAGGTAAAAATGTTTATTCACTCACTGTGAGCTTGGGAATCCTTGAAGCTAGGCATCCTGTGCATAGTCTCAAATATCACATTCAAGTCAAACCATTTATAATATAACCAATGTTTGTAATTCTATCCTGTTACAAAGAGAATAGATTTTTATTGAATTAATGCAAATAACTATGTTGCCATAAAATAAAAATATCAATAAGAGCTCTCTGAAGACTGCAGCCGCAGGTAGGAAGAAAAAATAAATATTTCCATTTTTATTTATAAAAGTATACTTTACCAAATTGCTGTATGCTATAGATAGCTTTTTAAAAGTTTTCTCAAATCTGGAAAACAAAAAATTTAAAAAAAACAGCAAAATGTTAAACAAAAAGTCACTCGAAAATATTGCCATCAGTTTGTTTAGTCCCATTCATTAAACTTATTCTACTTGATCTGGGTTAGATGTTTTAAGAAGCCATCGTTTCTTCATTAGAGTCCTGGAAATTCTTTCCCAGTCCAGTGGTATAATCTTAAACTCATAAGAAATCTAAATTCCAGCATACTTGTTAGAGTCCTTTTCATGAACCTCCTTGAAGAGGAAGTATTTTTCTTTATTCATTTTAATTTATTCTCTACAATACTTCATTAGGGAGTTCAATGATTTGCACTCAGAAGTTAAATAGCCAAGAGGCAAGCAAGTATAATAAACTTCAGAATTGGACTGAGGTTGTTGCACTGAAGGCCATGTAGTCTTTTGCTTCAGGGAAATAACAACAAAAATAACCAAAATGAACACATAGCTCCCTAGGCTTCTGAATCTCAGTAGAGAATAACATCAACATTTAATGAAATTGTAGATATTAACACATCATGGGAAAAAAGATACTGTGCAAAATATTATAATTAACACTTGGCACTTCTTATGTCTAGATTTTTATTATAAACAATAAAATATATGTAATATCTTAACTACAGACCTTTCATGTTGAAAGGGCATCTAACATAACTTGTTTTAACATTATGAAGGGAAAAAGTTTAGAAATTTCAAAGTGGAAACAATCCAACACTAACAAACTATAGTGATCAAAAGTATTAACTTTTAAAGAAAAACAAGGACAATTCATAAAAGTAGAACTACCATTTGATCCAGCAATCTTACTGGTTATCTACCCAGAGGAAAAGAAGTCATTACACAAAAAAGATACTTGCACATGCACGTTTATAACAGCACAATTAGCAATTGCAAAAATGTGGAACCAGCCTAAATGCCCGTGAATCAATGAGTGAATAAACTGTGGTATATATTTATGTGTGTGTGTGTGTGTGTGTGTGTGTGTGTGTATGTATATGTATATATATATGCATATGTATATATATATATATGCATAAATACATATATGTAATGGAATACTATTCAGCCATAAAAAGGAATGAATTAATGGCATTCATAATAACCTGGATGGGATTGGAGACTATTATTCTAAGTGAAGTATCTCAGGAATGGAAAACCAAACATTGCATGTTCTCACTCTTAAGTGGGAGCTAAGCTATGCAGATGCAAAGGCATAAGAATGATACAGTGGACTTTGGGGACTCAAGGGAAAGAGTGGGAAAGGCATGAGGGGTAAAAGACTACAAATTGAGTTCAGTGTATACTGCTCGGGTGATGTGTGCACCAAAATCTCACAAATCACCACTAAAGAACTTACTCATGTAACCAAATACCTCATGTTCTCCAAAAACCTATGGAAATAAAAAATTTAAAAAATTACAGAAAGGGAATGTATTATGAGACAAGCCACGTTTATAGACCAAAGCATGCTCATAGCTAGGGATGAAACAAACCACAAACCAAGCCAGCAAAGTTGGGTTGATTCCTTGAAAAGAATGGTTACCTATTGTCCAGATTGAGTAGCCCAAAGACAGAGGAAACACTGAGCGTAAAACATTCCCTTTTTTTTAAACCTACCACTCACACCACATGCACTGATCACTCTCATCACTGCTTTGGTAAAGCATGTAGGATGCAGTTCAGTTTCAATTTGGAGCTGTTACCTCCCCAGGCAAAGCTGCCACACAGATGATCCAGGCTTGGTGTTTTTCCTGAGAGCCACCTGCCACACATTTTCATAAGGTGACCATGACTATGCACATCCAGGCTACTTCCTGACTAGGCCCTGTTCAGGAAGCATCCTGAGGTGTCCATTCCTCGTGGAGCCAAATAGTTCCCTTGGTTGACTCCTGAGTCCCCTTGGCAAGCCAAGCAGAATTCAAGCATTTCTACTGCTAGCCTTGTGTGGGAGCATGAGCGAATGTAAAGGGAGCAAGGCTCTTCAGTCCATAAACCACAGCCTACTTCGGGGTGGTGCTGGACCAGCCCTATTCTTGGGTACTGAATTTCTTTTTCTCATTTGTTGGGATTTTAAATTTTCTATTTATTTTCTTAAATGGCAGGTATCCTACTGCATCTTCAATAAAATAAAATATATACATATATATGTTGTACACTGGAGAAAACAAATAGGGGAACAGTTTGATAGTTTAGCCCCATTTTTTGCTTTTATTTAACCTTTAGAAGAAAACACAATTATTAAAACAGAATGCTTGAGCAGTAATAAGCGTAGCCCTATGTATCAATATTATTGTACAAATTGGATGTGGGTGCTTAACCCAGAGCTGACCACCCTGATAATAATCCAGAAAAAAACCATTGTTACATCTGTTTGTAACAAGACATTTATTATTCTCAGCACCAGGACATCATAAAATGACTCCTTGATCTTCATTTACTTCACCAAGGGAAACGTGGCAGGCTACAGAAACTCAGCACAGCAGTTAGTGGGGCTGTGCCCTGGGTGCCCTGATGTCACCCACATTTCCCTTGCATGTCTCAGGTCCTAATAAGCAGTGCAGGACAATGTTGAGCCAACCTACTCACCCGTGCCCATTCCTTCCCAGAAACTTAAAGGTGATCCCTATAATAGCACATATGTCCTTTCCCAAATTGTGTCTTTGCTCCCCTAACCCCATTCTTGGCAGAAGAAAAAACAAAACATCTCTTGACTTGAATATTTGCTTATTTTAGAAACCGACACAATCACCATAAACTTAAAAAAAAAATAAATCAAAATGTTGTTTTCACTGGGTTGACAGCTATCTGCTTCAAGAATTCTCTAAGCATGTTGTTGAAAACCAGTGTAACATCTTTAGGATCTTTCTCCCAACTGACCAGTCTTCCTGTGAATCATTTCAGCAGTTCCTTTGTGGCAATGTTTACAAAGCATCTTCTAAGTCCTCTAATTCTATGAGCTTTGCTATCAAAATAGTGAAGAATAGGAAAGGGGGAGGAAAAAACTAGCTGACAGCTGTTTGGAAATCAGCAACAATGTGAAAGAGAAATGTATCTCATGAAAGTTTGAAAGACATGGAATAAATGAGCTCTTTGGAAATTTGCCCTGGCGGAGTGAAGATTCCCACTTTATCTTCTTAGGCAAGATAAAGATCCACCTTATGTAATTACACAGCTTTGTTTAAGCATCCTGTAAAAGACTGAAAAATCAACTGTCTTCCTAACTCTACAGGCAAACTAGAAAAAGGATCTCCCTGCTTACTGGTCCCTCAGGATGTTTTCCTGAAAAGAAAACCAGCTTAGAGATACTGGATTTTCTTCTATGACAAAGTGTCCTCTTAAAGTCCAACCGAAACTTGTTTGCACACTTACACTTCTGAAAGCCTAGGTCCGACTATAGGGCTGATACCGGGAGAGAAGTGAAGTAGCTGGGTGGTGAGGAAGTGGTCTCTCCTTTCACATCTCTGTGCAGTCATGATATCAAGACCCCTTGTGGACATCTCTATTCCATTCCTCAGTCAGTGACACCACAGAGCTCTGTTTGATACCGGGAGACTTAATGCAGTAAAAGTGACAGAAAGTGCAACTGATAGTAGGATGAAAATTATAATCTTCAAGGATTATTGAGCCATGAGATCTGCAATGCTATCGTAGGGTTTCTGATCCTGATGTGGGTCTCTGTCCAGGATCCTTGAAGAAATTATGGCACCCACATCCAACCCTAACATAGCTTCCACTTATGAAACAAGGAGGTTGTAATCAACTCTTGGTATGTAATAAACTGGAAGTTCAAAAATGTAATTTAAAACAATCTAAAAGAATGTAATGTTGGTCTCCATTGCACAGACTGCTAGGGGAATATATCAACTTGATTTGGGGAGGCTGTAGAGGTATATAGAGGAGTATATGGGTTAAACCTTAATGGACCATCAGTTTCAGAGAAGAAGCAATTTTTTATTGTAGCTGATGGCAAATGCTTTTAGAAAAGAATGAAAGCAGTCGGTCCCTGTGGATGACAGACTTAGAGCGGCCATGGTTAAAAATCTCATGGAGTTTATTATAATAATAATGTAATTGACAAAGAAATTTGTTTATTTCTGTGGCATACAAAACTTGAAGATAATAACCAAGATTATGACCGATAACATATCAGATTTTGAAGAATTTATTTTGTAACACATATCAATAACATTCTGAAATACAACTTAAAGAAGGTTTAGCACCACTTAGTATTTGACAATACTCCCTATATAATTTAATATATCAAGTAAGTCTCATTAGTTTAATATATCTCTTTACAATGTGAGATACACATTCTTTGATCTTTCCAGGGGTCCAAATGAGAAATATCAAAATTAACTTGAGGGCAAAAAGAGTTAATTTAAAATATTATTTTGGGAAGTTTTTCAAAAACATCAAACAGTTTAAAACACTTTATCAGAGTACGATAACAGGTAACCAAAATGAAAATTAAAAGATTTCAAAAAATAAATGTAGAAATTTACATAATTGTCAACAAAAACATAGCTTTTTAATACTGAGAACATTTACTTTTCTCTTTTTTTAACTTTTATTTTAGGTTCAGGGGTACACATGTGGGTTACTTACGCATTTATATAGGTAAATTGTGTGTCACGGGGTTTGGTGTGTAGATTATTTCATAACCCAGATAATAAGCATAGTACCCAGTAGGTAATTTTTAAATTTTCATCCTCCTTCCTCCCTCCACTCTAAAGTAGGCCCAGTGTCTGTTGTTCCATTTGTGTCCATATGTACTCAATGTTTAGCTCCCCTTATAAGTGAGAACATATGGTATTGGGTTTTCTAGGATAATGGCCTCCAGCTCCACTCATGTTGCTGGAAAAGAGATGATCTCATTCTTTTTATGGCTGCATAGTATTCCATGTTGTATATCTACCACATTTCTTCATCCAGTCTACCACTGATGGGCATTTAGGTTGATTCCATGTCTTTGCTATTGTGAAAAGTGCTGCAATGAACATACACGTGCATGTGTCTTTATGGTAGAATGATTTGTATTTCTTTTGGTATATACTCAACAGTAGGATTGATGAGTTGAATGGCACTTCTGCTTTGAGTTCTTTGAGAAATGGCCACACTGCTTTCCACAATGGCTGAACTACCTTACATTCCCACCATCACTGTATAATCATTCCCTTTTCTCCACAACCTCACTAGCATCTCTTATTTTTTGAGTTTTTAATAATAGCCATTCTCATTGGTGTGAGATGGTATCTCATTGTGGTTTTGATTTGCATTTCTCTAATGATTAGTGATGTTGAGCATTTTGTCATATGCTTTCTGGCCACATGTATGCCCTCCTTTGAAAGTGTCCGTTCATGTACTTTGTGTACGTTTAAATGGGATTGTTTGTTTTTCACTTGTTGATTTTTTTAAGTTCACCAGATGCACTGTGCTGGGGTTCTGTGATAGTCCCTAATTGCTGTGCACCCTCCCAAGCCTGAGAGCAGCAGGAGGGAGGGTTGCGAGACAGCAAAAAGGTGGACTGCCTCTCTCTTTGGGAGCTGCATGCCGGAGAAGTGTAGAGCTGCTCCCAGCTGGAGAACTCAGGAGGACTAGGGTGGCCTCACTAGCATCCCAGGCTAGTGGGCCTTATCCTACAAGGTTCAGTGGTGGTGAGGTCTGCAGTCTATCACTGCTCAGCCCCATGGACTTGGCCCCTTTTCTGGGGAGCGTGCAAGAAAACTTGGCCTTCCCAATTGCTGGAGCTGCAGCCCCTGGTTTTGGGGTACCCAGGGAACAAATGCTACTGGGACTCCACACCTACCTAAGAAGCAGCTCTACCCAGACTCCACATGGCTCTCTGTTTTGGTCTGGAGACCCCAGCTGGGGTATCTCCTGAGCCCAGGGATTCAAAGGTTCGTGGCAGAAATATGCATCCCACGGGACTCTCACTCACTCACCATTTTCTTGTAGGGGGATTCCCCTGGGTCTGTGCCACTCCTGGGTGAATGGTTGATCTGTCTCACTCTTCTCCGTGATCCGAAGGTCACACTATGTCACTGATGAATCCTTATGTGTCCACCTGGATGTTCCGGTTGAAGAGCTAGTGTCTCACCACTCTTCCTGCTATTTGTGAGAGTGGCACACACTAGCTGCTTCTAGTCAACCATCTTGGCCCCACCTCACTCACTTTTCTCAAGTAATCAAAGACCTAGTAAAAGAGAGCATAAAGCATAAGAAATTACCTTGATAAACAAAAAATCTTGGTTTATTAGGCCAGTTATCTAAAAGGTAGAGAAAACATTTCACTATTGTCTATTAAGAGCAGGTCAATACTCAAAGAAAAGCTTGTTGTTTCAGCACAGGGGACAAATTTCAAGTTTTCCATTCCTGTACTTTTGATAATAATGCTCAAGTTTTCAGAATATTTATAAATAATTTCCTTTTAACTTTAGCCAACTTGGTCACACATAAAATTCTTTTCACAAGATTAATCTTCCACAAACTTTCTATAAATTTGTCATCCAGTTATCTTATTCAGTTTTTGTCTATATTTTTTCTCTTTTTCTTTTTGGAACAGTAAGACATTCTACTTTTAGACAAAAAATACTCTCTTTTTCCCTTAACAAAAACACAACCTCTTACTTATAACTTTCTGTATGTGTTTTCCTTCCCTCACGTACAGATTTGTTTCCCTTCATTATTTCTAGTTTAAATTACTCTAATATTAATTTTAATTAACTCTTAGTAACCTTAATTTCTAGTGAAAATTAGTAAGCATTTTGAAGTGCATCATGTTAGTATTTTGCAGATGAACACCATCTCATAAAATAATTTTTATGCCTTTAATTAACAGGCCCAAATATGTTTAGCTTTTCCATAACATGTGAAACCAAGATGCCAAATTACGTATATTTTAAACTTCTGTTAAGCAATTGATATTTCAGTATTTTCCTTAGAAATGACTCAAATATTAAATCAGTAAAGTGTTACTTAATTTAATATAACATGATTTTAAGATTTCAAGTCACACTAAATTATTTTTGAAATTCTGACAACTTTATTATCAACCTTTTGTCAATTTATATTCACCTAATTCACTTGTTCTTAACAATTGTGCTTCAGTTCCTCCTTAAACACAAGGATGAGTGGATTTATAGCTTTAAGACATTCATTATACATCTCAGTAATAGCAAGCTTGTTTCACCAGTAACTTTAGGTTTAAAAACTGTATCTGTACATTGTAATTAATGCTGACAATTCTGAAAATATTTGTTTTTATTTTGCCAACAAATTTTAAAACTAGCTTTGTCTGCCAAAGATTATTTCATCACATAAGCCAAAAGGCAATTGAGTTTCTGTTTTTCTGAGAGAATTCTTAGTTTAAACACTTATGTTTTCTCTGTAAGCCAATTAAGTAGAGCCGTTTATGAATTTTGGTAGAAAAAATTGTACATACGCACACACACACACACACGTAGAAAAATACAGACAGAGGAAGAACTTACAACTTGCATTAAGAATTGTTATTTGCCTGGCTTGCAAGTAGTTTTACTCCCTCTTTCAGACTATCTGTCTTTTAATGATCTGTTCAATTGGCCCATAAACAAGTGTTAGTTAGGCCACCCAAAATTTGTACTTCCAAAGAGATGATTTTTAGGTGAAGGAATGTAGAAAATTTAAATCTCAAAGGTACAGAACTTAAACACCACTATTTGTTGAGATGAAAAAAAGCATATATAGGAAGCCTTCAAAATGAAATGGTCAAGGGTGAGTTTACACAGATAGATAGATTTAGGTCTCTTCCTTTTGCTTTGTGAAAGCATCTAGTGTTTTAGGTGTCAGAGAGGGAGATATCCTTACAAAGCAGAGATTATCATTACAGGTTTACATTTCTTACAAAGAGTTTCAAAATAAACAGGTAAATGCCAAAAACGTATATTTTGGAGACGGATTAATTCACTAGTTGGTCTATTCAACTTAACTTGTTTCCTAATGAGATTAAATTCATGCACAAATAACCAAACCAAAAATTAAACCAAAAGAATACTCACCAGAAAGGATGTCCTTTACAAGAGCAGATCCCCCAAAATGTAAGAGTTCACTGAAAAGGTGGGAGCTCAAACCAAGAGAGGACTTATCTCGCAGCATAAAGACAACTTGTACAAGTGAAGATCACAATAGGCTCAGGTGAGTATCATACACAATTTCAAGTATCGCCAGATACTTGAAAGCCTTCCAAAGGCTTTCTTTGTTACTGTTTGGATAACAGTGCTGTAACTGTAAGTAACAAAGAAGGCTTGGAGCCTTTGCATCTTGCTTCTGACATTAGATTATGTCAACTTAAACAACAGAGATACTGACTCTCTAAAATAAAGAGTGGAGTGTATTCAGGAAATAGCAGTAAATTGCAATTTGAAATACACATGCTATGGTGGACCTTAGGCACCAAAGAAGCTGAGGGACTGTATTAGTTTGTTCTAGCACAAAGAACTACCTGAGACTTGGTAATTTATAAAGAAAAGAGGTTTAATTGACTCATGATTTCATAGGCTGTACAGGAAACATGATTGGAGGAGGCCTCAGGAAACTTACAATGATGGCAGAAGGCAAAAAGGAAGGAGGCACGTCTTACATGGCCGAAGCAGGGGGAAGAGGGCAAAGGGGAAATACCACACACTTTTCAACAAGCAGGTCTCATGAGAACTCACTATCACAAGAACAGCAAGGAGGAAATCCACCCCCATGATCCAATCGCCTCTCACCAAGCCCCTCCTCCAACATTGGGGATTACAATTCGACATGAGATTTGGGTGGGGACACAAATCTAAACCATATCAGGAAGGCAAAAATCTTAAAAGAGAAATTTTATGTAAGTTTTGTAATAAACCTCATGGGCCAGAGAAGCTTGTTACAAGAGTTGGCAAATACTCATTGATAATATTGGCTGTTGCTGGAGAGATGTCTTCATAGAATTATCATATCTAACATTTTCGTGGTTTTTGAGAGAACCATTGCAGCAGTTCTTATTATAGACATATGTACATGAAGGCCCCTCTTTCATGGCCTCCCAGCTTCATTTTTTTATGGTTTGATGTAAGTGACTCCATTTTGGTGCTCACAACTTCCACATTTCTCCCTTTTGGTTGAAATATTTTTCTGAAAGCATTTCACACTTAAAAGATATAGATTGGCCGGGCATGCTGGTTCATACCCGTAATCCCAGCACGTTAGGAGGCGGAGGTGGGTGGATCACCTGAGGTTGGGAGTTCGAGACCAGCCTGACAAACATGGAGAAACCCCATTTCTACCAAAAATACAAAATTAGCTGGGCGTGGTGGCACGTGCCTGTAATCCCAGCTACTCAGGAGGCTGAGGCAGGAGAATCACTTGAATCCAAGAGGCAGAGGTTGCAGTGAGCTGAGATCACGCCATTGCACTCCAGCTTGGGCAACAAGAACGAAACTCCATCTCAAAAAACAAAAACAAAAACAAACCAACAAAAAATGAAATAATTGTAAAAACCAACTATAGTTCTCAGTAATGATAGTTTCATTACCGTCAGCTATTAGTAGAGTTAATTAACTCCTATCAACCTCACATTTTCCATTTAAAAAATGCAGGAGAAAAAGTTTGATGTGGGTTTAATGAGAAAATTTATATAAAATAGATCTAACTACTATATTTATCACAAAACAGATGCACAAACTATGTTTTTTTCCTCTCACTTGTTCTTATTTTATATATCATTTTAATTGAGGAAATCATTGAGCATAATGTAACAAATATTTTCATAAGTTATTATAAAGAGGGTTGAAGGACTTGTTAGAAAGTGTCTGGCAGTGGAAAAAACATCTGAATAGAAAATGAAAATAGCATGTGAATGCTGAAATAGCGTATTAAATAGCTGCAACTCTAATATAATTTACATTTGGATTTTAGTATAGACAGAATACTTAAATTTATTTCTGCAGTCTTTTCAGTTGTTAAACATTTTATTGAACTCTTCATGTGCCTTTCAGATGTATTGTGCTTCAAGTGTGCTTGTACCAGCTTTTTCTGTTTAGAAATGCTTGAGTGTCTCCATTGTCAAAACGATCAGAAGGCAGTAATTGTATTTCCAATGTGAGGACAAACAATACTAGATATCCTGCGATCCTACATTGTAAAAAATATTCCCATCAAATGCCCCAATGGATAGCCACGTAAGTGATCATCTGTAATTATTTAGTCAAGAAATGAATATTTTACATGTAAATACTTTGAATGGCTTAATACAAACTAAATTTTTCAGAATGCAACCACTATGGAAATTGAAGAGAAAAAGTCTTTTTATTGTAGAAACTTCCCAGAGTCTTTCAATATTTACAAAAATTATGTTGCCAATGGCAATACCTTAGTTATTTGAATCACCAGTAGAACACACTATAAAAACATGCATTGTCACATCTGTACCCTGTCACATCCAGGATAACGATAATATTGAGATATATAACTATTTAGCCCTTATTTTAAAACATCAGGTAACAAGCATCAATCAATTTCTATCAAATGTTTCAACTTGGGTATTACAGCATAAGCAGAAATATACTGTTACCAATATCCCAGCCAATTTCTTTTCCTAATGAAACAATAAAACTGAGAATATAGAGACCATTTAGTAAAGCTGATATATATATATATATGTTTGCATATGTGTGTGTGTGTATATATACATATAAATGTAATTAATACAGTAGGTGAGGTCAAAGAAGCAAGTGATACACAACTTTTAATTTGGATGGGATGTCCTTGAAGATTCCTGTATTAGTCCTTTCTCACATTCCTATATGAAAATACCTGAGACTGAGTAATTTATTAAAGAAAGAGGTTTAATTGACTCACAGTTCCCTATGACTGGGGAGGCCTCAGGAAACTTACAATCGTAGTGGAAGGTGAAAGGGAGGCAGGCACTTTCTTCACAAAATGGCAGGAAAAAGAAGGATGGAAGGAGGAACTTGCCGAACAGTTGTAAAACCATTAGATCTCGAGAGAACTCACTCACTGTCATGAGAACAGCTTGGGAGAAACCACCTCCATGATTCAATTACCTCCACCTGGTCTCTCCCTTGACATGTGGGGATTATGGGGTTTACAATTCACCATGAGATTTTGAGTGGGGACACACAGCCAAACCATATCAACTCCTAAATCTTAATACACTTTATTACTAGCTGATATGATTTGGATCTGTGTCCCTTACCAAATCTCATGCTGAATTGTAATCCCCAATGTTGGAGGTGGGGTCTTGTGGGAGGTGATTGGATCATGGGGGCAGATTTCCCCCTTTGATGCTGTATCATGATAGCATCCTCATGAGATATGGTTGGTGAAAGTGTGTGGCACCTTTTCTCTTCCTCTCAGTCCTGCTTCTGCCTTGCAAGATTCGTGCTTCCACTTTGCCTTCTGCCATGAGTAAAATCTCCCTTTCGCCTCCCCAGAAGCAGATGCTGCTATGCTTCCTGTTCAGCCTGCAGAACTGTGAGCCAATTAAACTTCTTTGCTTTATAAATTACCCCATATCAAGTGTTTCTTTATAGCAGCAGTGTGAGAACAAGCTAATACACTAGCCTTCTTGAATACATCTTAGCAAGCTCTCGAGCAGCGTAACCACATAGATTAGAGAAGGCCAAAACTGACAGATTCCCATCTTGACCAAAGTTTAATCATTCTTCTCCAGTCCCTCTTCTCAGGCCCAGTTTAACAAAGACGCCTGCTAAGCCAGTTCACTGAGAATCACTTCGCCCTGGATATCTTATCACTTTGGCATGCCTTTAGCAATAATGCAGTTTAGCAAGAACCCCGCTCCCCGCCACCCCACCCCCCGCCACCCTTAATATCTAATTAGTTTCTATCCACTGACTCACTCCCTCAGCTCTTTGCTTATAAATTTCCAGCTCCATGCTGGGAGAAATTTTAGTTCAATCTCTCTCTACTATAGCTATATTATTCCCCCATTGCTATAGTCCTGAATAGTCTTCCTTGCTATTTTTAACAAGCATCTAGTGTACACATTTCCTTTTGACAAAACATAGTGTCCATATGTAGAGGGAAGAGGAAAGCTAACAAAATATAAAGTCATCCAAACCACACACACCTTGGACAAGCTTATCATGTGTGGGAATAAAATGCTGGAGGTGGGTTTGGCTTCCCCCCCAAAAAAAGTGTGTAATTTGAAATTTCATATCAAGAACAGTTAAATTCCCAGATTCTTTATCATTACTGAATACCTTAGTAATTATTCTTCATTTAACACAACAGGAAATAGGAGATTTATTTTCTGGAGAGACTTGTCCAATTAAAGTGGGGATATGGTTGCTCCGTTGAGCAGAAATTTGGCTTATATAGACCCAAAGCTCAGAAAAAGAGTTATAGATCTAAAATGACAATCATTGAGACAATAAAGTTCATGGAAACCACGATGGGAAGCATCTACGTGGAAATAAAAAGTTGGATTTTCAGTAGAGAAATTGGTAACAATGTAAATTTCCTCTTAATGTCAGGTGAGAACTAATTCTGAAGTCAGAGGAGGAAAGTAGCCTACAACAAAGAGTAAGATCATCTTGACAGGATCAGGGAGAAAGATAATAGTTGCAAATGGAGACAGGTATATTGATTTAGTGCCAGGTAGTTGAAAGACTATGAGTATAAAGACTTATATTTTCTCTGTGTTGCAGTAGCAAAGTCATCTGCAGAGAGAGAGAAGTGAGAAGGGAGAAGAGAGTGTCAGAAATTAGAGGATTGTAGAGATTGAAAAAGTTATGTCAGGCACAATTGAAAACCCGGTTTCCAATGGTGATCATCGTCTTAAAATATTATCAGTTTGTTTTCTTGCATGACATTCTTCAGCAGCAGTCATGGACTGAGAAATATGCAGAAATCAGATAGTTGAGTTCATCTAGAGAAGAGGTTGCAATGTGCTTCTAAAAAGGACAAAACCAAAAGCAACCGAGAGAGAGAAAGAGAGAGAGAGAGAGAGAAAAATGAAGATGTGAAAGGGGATAGGTCAAAACTCAGTAATTTTTTTTAAGCAAAGGGCCAGATAGTAAATATTTTTATTTTGTGAGCCATATTGTCTCTGTAGGAAGTACTCAGTTCTCCCATGTTCTGCAAAAGCAACCATGGACAATAAGAAAATGTGGCTGCGTTCCAATAAGAATTTATTTAAAAAATAGGAGATGGATTGTATTTAGCCCAAGGGAAGCAGTATGTCAATTCTGGTTTTATGTTACTGGCAATTACATTTTAAAATATTCAGTAATTGAATCTACAATATCGATTCCCAACTATTGCTGCATATTAGTATCATAATAGAATGCCAGGTCCCAGAGACACTGGGTCAGCCAATCTCAATTGGGGCCAAGGCACTCATATGTATCTTTGGAACCTCCTCAGGCAATTCTAACATAAAGCCAGTGTTGAGAAGAGCCATTGTTAGTTTGCTTGTGGGAGTAACTGACCGCAGGAGGATCATAATGCTATAGGCAAAGGCTGAGGCACCAGTGGATTGAAAGTCTTAGTGAGGCAGGAGAACAGCTGCAGTGGGAATTGTTGCCACACTGAACAGACAGGAGATTGATCAAAGAGTGGTGTGCTTATTTAGTCATTTAAGAGGAATATCATGTTTTGTCATTATACATTTCATGGGTTTGGTAAGCAGCCTCTAAAATTGCTCCATGTCACTTGTACCCCTGGTAGAGGTAACTCCTTGAGGAATCTTCTACTCTGTTGTCCTAGTTGAATTTATCTCACTTCACTATCAAATAGACTGTGGCAGAAGTGATGGATATCACTTCCAACATTAGATTGCACAAAGACTGTGGCTTCTGTCTTGGGAATCCTCTCTCTCTCTTTCATTGTAAGGGAAGCTGACTTCTATGTTGGGCGCTGCCTATTAAGAAGTCCACATAGCACGGAGCCAGTGTCACCAGTCACAGCCAGCAAGGAAGGACCTGGGGACTGCCCCCAGCCACATGATTAATCTTAGAAGTGAATCTTCCCTAAGTAAGGCTTTTAAATGATGGCAGCCTTATGAGAGTCCTTGAGCTAGAGGGCCTTACTAATTCTGATATAGTTCTTGACCCAGAGAAGTTGGCATAATGAATGTTTGTTGTTTTAATCCACTAAGTTTTGGAGGTAATATGTTAAGCATCAACAGATAACTAATAAAAGGAGTGATTCTGAGCAAGAAAGCCTTAAATGGAGGGAAGCTAAGGTCAAATAGTTTATGAATATCATCCTGTAAGAATACAGGGCTTGGAGCTTTGAAGGTGGGAGCAGAAAAAAATTTATGTAAGCTTGTCATTAACAATATGACTAAAAAAGTTCATTATACTGAAGGATAAATGCTTACATGTGCCTCAGAGAATAGATGTTTTTATTCCTGGGAAGAAAGATAAACTTTTTCAAAAAACATAAAGATTAAGTAGGATGCAGTTTCCAGCTTTGGATTCTGACATTCAGGACATGGGGAGGGTGATGAGCTTCTCCTGGAGGACTGAATTTAGGACACAATCAAGTTCATGATGGAAGCCCTTATGAGGTAGAGAGGGAGTGCATCTCAGCTCTTTCGATTAATTAAATGATTGCTTGAATTGGAGAAGGTGTGGGTATTTTGTGTTGTTTGGGTGAGTACATTGGAATGGTTTTCTAGCATTCCTTTGAGATTTTCCACAGTATAAGTTAAGGTAAAAGAACATTTTTACTTGTTTCAGAAAGCATACTGAGGAAGCTTTAATGTTACTATTAAGTAGGTAGGGAAATGACCAATATTATAAACGCAGATTTCCAGCCTCTCCTTTTAATGCTTTCAGAATGATTCCACAAGAACCTTGAAAATGTTGAGTATTTATATTTATTTTATGCCCTTTTATTGTGATTTTTTTAATAAATAACATTTTTTTGGTAAATACTGGAAGTTAATATTCTATAGTTCAGAAAAGCAATTTTGAACACTCAACTAGTGAGCCCATATAAAACTACATAACAGCACAGAATATAGTAAAATAATAATATAATGAACTGGGAGACAAACTAGGCACTGTGTGCCAAGTTTTTCAAGGAAGATACAATTTCAATACCAATGAAATAAACTCCCACAAATTGATTTTTCTTTGTGTGCACTCATCAGTGTAAATACAATTAAGTAATAAAGCCTGTACTTGTTCAGGAAAGATGTTTTCTATTCATAGTCTGATATCTGGGTGCTTTGGTTTCTGATAATTTGTTATGTAAAAACCCTGCAAATTAAAAAAAAAAAAAATCAGCAGCTCCAAGTTCATGGGCCCTTATCACAGAGGATTTAAAACCTGTGCATTTTCTTTAAACTGAGAATATTATTACATTTTTTAATCCAGTGATGAGACCATAATAGTTTTCTGAAATAATTCAGAATAATTATATACCTAAAAGTTAATTTGCATGTGCTGTAATTTAAATAAAAGGACAGTTAATTTTTGCATTACAAAACATGAAAAATAAAATCAAACGTTGCATCTTTACTTTTATTACATAAATTCCTTTACATTGTAGTGCCCCCTAGCACCACGCAAGTTTATAAACTGCTTTCAATATTAATTATGTTATTATAATAATAACTAATTTAAGAATGTATTATTAAAGTCAGTAATTTAATAATAATAATTTCAATAATATATGTGTCACAAAAATACCTGAAATTACAATTAGTATGTCCGGTTTACTGATGGGAATACTGTGGCTCAAAAACATCATCTCAGGCAGGGTGTGGTGGCTAACTCATGTAATCCCAGCACTTTGGGGGTCCAAAGCAGGTGGATCGCCTGAGATCAGGAGTTTGAGACCAGCCTGGCCAACATGGTGAAACCTCATCTCTACTAAAGTACAAAACCGGTCCGGCATGGTAGTGCACACCTGTAATCCCAGCTACTCGGGGGGCTGAGGCAGGAGAATCACTTGAACCCATGAGGAGGAGGTTGCAGTGAGCCAAGATCACACCACTGCCCTCTAGTCTGGGTGACAGAGCGAGAGTCCTTCTCAAAAAAAAAAAAAAAAAAAAAAATCATCTCACCCAAATCATGTAGCTACAAAGTTATGGTTTAGAATAATTCAACTATTTTACTGAAATCAAAACTTTTACTATTAACCAATCAGTTACACTCAGCTTTGTGTAACTGAATACCAAATAACATCATGTTCCAGTAATTTTCATTTGAGTGAGAAGGGAGCACACTGGTACCCTGGACACACCCAGATACACTAAATCAGAATCTCTAAAACTTGGTGACTGTAAAAATAATTTTATTCTGAGTCTGAAACATATGCTCCGTGTTTCTTAGCAAGTTTCTGCAGCACAGGAGTCAGGTGAGGGAAGGTAGCGCCCCACTCCTGGTTATGGAAGGCAGAGGGTGAGTTCTGCTGCACATATGAAGCTATGGAGAGAGCAAGACTGCATAGGAGCAGGGTACAGTCTCTGGATATAGAAGACAGATAAACCTGGGTTATAGTTGACCCAGTGGAAAATTATAGGCCAAGAATAAGTTTCCAGATACCTTAATAGGACTGGGCATTTGATAAATTTTGAAAGTTCTCTGATAACTCGTATGTGCAGTGTAGGCTAAGAACTCATGGAAACAATATAGACATTTTTTGCCTCTCAGGGATATGCAGACACCCCAGTTCAGATATGATGTCTTCATGATCATCAGAAATCCAGATGGCTATTATCTTGTTGCTTTGCACCTCCAAGTACTGCTGCTTCTCATGTTGCCCCATGGCTGCCCCAGATCTAGCCATCAGAGCTGCCTTTCCAAGAAGGAAGAAAGCACAGAGATAGGACATGCCCCCTGCATGTAAGTCAGCTTCTCAGAAGTTACACGCGTTACTTCCCCTTACACAACATAGGTCAGAAATTGGTCACATGTGTCATGCCCTATGTTAAGAAAAGATTGGGAATATAGCATTTATTCCTGGTGATCATGTGTCCGGCTAAGCATTAGAGGACATTTTTACTGATGGCGAAAGGGTCAATGGAGATTGCAGTGAACCAGCCATCTCTGTCCAATAGGCACTTTATTTGGTGACAATAATTATAGGAAAGGTAGCACTAGACAGTTTTAATTCATTGAAGTTATTTTGGGTTTTTCTTGTTACTTTGTTTGTTTGCTTATTTGTTTTATCCTTCAGAGAAATGCTAGAAATTTAGTAATTAAATTAAATATTTCATTGAACACAAAAGCATAACATTATGGAAAAGAGTAACTGTTGTTTGGTTTTATTTATATATGTTAGTGTTTATACTGACTAATCTCACCAATGGAGACAGACAATTTCTAAGATTTATTATAGGCATTGTGTTTGGATCTTTCTTTCAGAAAAGTAAAAATCAGCTTAACCCAAAAATTATTTTAATAATAATTGGCATATCCAGCTTCATCCATGTCCCTACAGCGGACATGAACTCATACATTTTTATGTCTGCATAGTATTCCCATGGTGTATATGTGCCACATTTTCTTAATCCAGTCTATCATGGATGGACATTTGGGTTGGTTCCAAGTCTTTGCTATTGTGAATAGTGCCGCAATAAACATATGTGTGCATGTGTCTTTATAGCAGCATGATTTATAATCCTTTGGGTATATATCCAGTAATGGGATGGCTGGGTCAAATGGTATTTCCAGTTCTAGAAGCTGGAAACCATCATTCTGAGCAAACTATCGCAAGGACAGAAAACCAAACACCGCATATCCTCACTCATAGGTGCAAATTGAACAATGAGAACACCTGGACACAGGGTGGGGAACACGACACACCGGAGCCTGTCGTGGGGTGGGAGGAGGGGGCAGGGATAGCATTAGGAGATATGCCTAATGTAAATGACGAGTTAATGGCTGCAGCACACCAACATGGCACATGTATACATATGTAACAAACCTGCACATTGTGCACATGTACCCTAGAACTTAAAGTATAATAAAAATAAATAAATAATAATTGGCATATCCAGAACCCTTTGCTGTCTTCTGCTACATTTGCACAAATTCACAGCTATTTGAATACCAGTCATTGTCAATCCTGGTCAGCTTTGAAAATACTGTTCCTTAGTTTTGCTCTCTGCCTAATTTACTTGGATTGAGGGGAAACCCAGGAATCAGTTGATTTGAGTACGTAGCCAATGTTGTAAAGAACTAATTGCTTTAACTTCTAATAGAAAAATATCACTATTTTTTTTAAAAAGTTACATAATTCATGTGTAGGAACATAATCCTTTTAGCCTAGAAGTAAAAAATGATATAGTCTTGCCCTATAGCACTGATCATGGCCATATATAATTTATAATAACCAAAATAATGACAATATTTTGGTACAGCATGCTCTATTAATTTGAATGCTCACGAGTTAACACATAATTCAATGTGATATGTATTAGGTTATAGAAAACCATGAGGTAAAAATCATAGGCTGCATTGAACTTTCTACTTCCCCAACTTTGCCTCATTATAGGGAGGGATGCAGCCCTAGAGTTCAAGAATTCCATAAAGACCAACCTGAAATTCTGGTGCCTGGCATCTTGTCACACCTTCTTCCAATACACAAACATCAAGGAGTGTAGAAGTTGAACATGGTCTGTTGTCACTGCCTCAAAGAATCCACTTCTAGCTTGTTCACACTAGGGTGTGAACATTTAAAGAGGGTAGGGAAGAACCACCTGGGTGGATTTTCACTGGGGATCTTATAATAAACTCTCAAAATCCCAGATTGAGACAAGGGAAGGGATGCTCAGTCGTATGTAATTAGGAAAAAGAGAGGGATTTTGAACCCACCCCTGCATCATCTAAGTCAAATAGAGCCAGTGTAACTGTTGGGACCGTTGCAGGTAGGGTGTGCTAGGTACCAAGCCGCAGTTAGGTAACCAATGACTTTTACAAGCTTATTTTCATCTCAGTACACCACATGCTTCATGTGCCACGTGCATGTATGTAAGTTACACATCTAAGATTATATTATTGGGTTACACTACCATGAATTATCTAAGGAAAACAGAATGATCATCATTGTGTGTGCAAAGACGACTTCTGAAATTAATACCAACAAGAGATTTCTTCTTTGCATATTTTCAAGCAGAAAGTGGACTAAATTATATCATTGGAGCATGACGTCTCAAAAAATATTTATTGCCAAATAATTCTTTACTGCTAAAAATTATTTATTGCATGAAATAGAAAAGATCTGAGACTGAAACTTCCATTTAAAAACATGATTTAAAAAAATAGAGTAATTACATAACAATTATGAAACTCAGATGCCAGAGTCAGAAATCAAGAAATTAACTATGTCAAGCAATTACAATATGATTACAAAGGCCCTTATATATTCATACAAGCTTTTTGCATTTTTTGAGCTAATTTTATGAAAAACATCAAAAGCCAGAAAACTAATGCTTAATGTATATTTTAAGGCCAAGAACAATATAGAAAAATTAATTTTCTCCTTAAAGTTTTTTAAGATATTTAAAGTAAACATTTTAAAAATTATTTAATCTGTGACCCAATTTGAATCACTTTGCTCTTCAGATTCCGATGTCTCCACAAAAATTCCGATGTCTCCTTGAAATTAGCTGATACATTATAAGAAATGAATGACTGTCCTGTCCTATTTGGGATACATATAAAAGTTACCCCAAAGGTTTAATTAGACAGTGAAGTACAAAAATACAGATTTGTAAAATATTAAATATATAAACAATATAAATCTCTATTTTGACAAGTGACTTGATAAACTAGGTTAAATAATTGTTAATAGAGTTGGGTAAAGGCAGTGATGTTGGTAAACTAGTGATCCAAATGAAAAGAAACTCGGCTGGGCACGGTGGCTCACGCCTGTAATCCCAGCACTTTGGGAGGCCAAGGCGGGTGGATCACAAGGTCAGGAGTTCAAGACCAGCCCGGCCAATATTGTGAAACCCCGTCTCTAATAAAAAATACACAAATTAGCCCAGCGTGGTGGCATGGTGCCTGTAGTCACAGCTACTCAGGAGGCTGAGGCAGGAGAATCGCTTGAACCAGGGAGGTGGAGGTTGCAGCGAGCTGAGACCACACCACTGCACTCCAGACTGGGCAACAGAGTGAGACGCCATCTCAAAAAAAAAAAAAAAAAAAAAAAAAACCAGAAAAAAAGAAAGTCTTGATACATGGTGTATGCTGCATGTATGTAATTTACACTTCAAAGAGTAAGTCCTCCCACCATAGCTGTTTTCAAGTTATTACCATTTCAAGATACTAACTCCTGTGAATAGGAGGGTGAAGTCTTTAAATTACAGGAAATTGCAATAAAAGCCTGAGGCAAAGATATTTCAAGGGTTTTGGTTAAACAAAAGACACATTGGCTGGCATGAACAAGAGGAATCCACTATTGAAACCATCTTAGTCAATGGCAGGAAGACAGTGTTATGAGTCTACTGGTTACAGAAAATCTTTGTTTTAAAAACTCAGGTTTATCGAATTAAAATTTATATATGCCAAAAGTCATCTTTTTAAGTATGCAGTGTGTTGAAAACATAGATGGTTATATAACAAATACCATCCTCAAGATATAGAACAGTAACATCACCTAGAAAAATTCCCTTTTGTGCCTTTTGAATCAGTATTTCTGCTGCCCTCAGTCTTTGGAAATCGCTGTTCTTTGTCCCTATGGTTTTATATTTTCTAGAATGTCATACACAAGGGAGCAAACAGCATCCTGAATAGGCCTTTAAATCTGGCTTTTAAAATAGCATAATAAATCTGAGACACATTCATGTTGTTATGTTATCAGATTTGTTTCTTTTTCTTCCTAATGTGATATTAAATAGATACAGTATATAACTTTTTGACTATTCACCAGTTTTTGAAATTATGAATCATATGGTTAAAGTCACCAACAGATATACATATGTATATTACATATATGTATAATAATGTATGTATATATAATATATGTATATATACATATATGTATATAGTATACATATAAATCAGTGGATTCTTCAATTTTTTTATTGTCAAAATGATTTTTCCATTATAATTCCTTTGCTTCTCTGTTGAAAGTTTTAGAATGAGCTTGTTTGTTAGTTGCAAATATCCTGTTAGGAATTTTAACTGGATTGAACTTTTGTATTGAATTTTTTGTTTGGTTTGAACAGAATTAATTTATTGTCAATATTGGCTACCAAGCTCTTTACTTATTTACTTCTTCTTTGATTTCTTTTACCAGTGTTTTTTTAGTTTTTGTTACCCTTTCTCCATGTTTTTTTAGATTAAGAATTTAATGTTTCTTGTGCTACTTTAAATGTAACTTTAAAAAATTCTAATTTCCAATTGTTCATTAATAGTGTTGTAAAGTAGCGGGTCCCCCACCAGGGAATTTAAGGGCATATGTTGACTGCTTGAGTCCTGAAGGCTAGATGGTGAGCAAAGTTCATGGTGCTCAGCCGAGGAGCAGATGTCCCTGAAAACCAAAACATCCGGGAGCATATCTAGGTACATACCAAGAAGAACAGTTTCATCACATGTAGTAAGCAAAGAGCCAGAAAAGTAGCTTTGGCCGGGCGCGGTGGCTCATGCCTGTAATCCCAGCACTTTGAGAGGCCAAGGCGGGCGGATCACGAGGTCAGGAAATCAAGACCATCCTGGCTAACGTGGTGAAACCCCGTCTCTACTAAAAATACAAAAGATTAGCCGGGCGTGGTGGAAGGCGCCTATAGTCCCAGCTACTCGGGAGGCTGAGGCAGGAGAATGGCGTGAACCTGGGAGGCGGAGCTTGCAGTGAGCCGAGATCCCGCCACTGCACTGCAGCCTGGGCGACAGAGCGAGACTCCGTCAAAGAAAAGAAAAGAAAAGAAGAAAAAAAAGAAAAGAAAAGAAAAGAAAAGAAAAGAAAAGAAAAGAAAAGAAAAGAAGAAAAGGAAAGGAAAGGAAAGGAAAGGAAAGGAAAGGAAAGGAAAGGAAAGGAAAAGAAAAGAAAAGAAAAGAAAAGAAAAGAAAAGAAAAGAAAAGAAAAGAAAAAAGTAGCTTAAAAGCAGCTTAGAGGAAGATGGTGGGCAGCAGGCGGATCTCTGGAGTTATCCCGCTGCCCTTTACGTAAGTCCTAATAAACTCATCTTCTCATGAAGCTGGACTTGTCTGAGTCCTTCTTTGTTATTTCAGCACTATCTCTTTGGCAGAGGGATGTTCTTCTACACAGGTCTGGGTTTTTCCTGCAACAATTATATATAAAAAATAATTCTGTATATTAACATTATAGTGTTATAGTGCATAGTGTGAAATTACAAAACTCACAATTTATTTCTAGTAGCTTCACTTTTAATAATTTTAATTATTTTGTACTCACAATTTATTTCTAGCAGCTTCACTGCTAATAATTTTAATTATTTTGTACATAATGGAATACTGTGCATAGACCATCCACGAATCAAATAGAGTTTTATTTCTTCGTATCCAATTTGTATGCCTTTTGTTTATTTTTCTTACTTTAGTACACTGGTTAAAATTTCCAGTATACAGTTAAATAGTTCTTGAGGACAGGTTTCCTGTACTTCTTTTCTTCGTGCCTGTGTATAACGTATATTTAACTATATAATACATACAACACAACTATGTTTGTCTTCATATAATTTTTTACCTTTTTTTTAGTTTGTTTACGTAGCCCCTATATCTCTAGAAATGTTTCTTGGATTTACGATTTGATTGCCTTCACTTCTTTTGGAAAATTCTCATTCATTTTGTTTTTAAGTATTTATCATCCTTGTTCTCTTTCATGAATCCGTTCAAGTTAGGCATCCAGAGCTGTCCTTCAGCTCTTGGATGCCATGTTCTGCTATTTATCACTCTTCTTGTTTCTTACTTGTATTTGTTATTCAATTTCTATGTTTTTTATCTTCAACTTTACTGTTCCATTCTTTATTCATATCAAGTCTTCTGATGAATTACTTCATTGGTGTTTGCATTTTGAGGTAGATACAACAGTATATCTATTGAGACATTAATTAGTGCAATTAAACCGAAGTTTAACACATTTTAAGTAAAAATTTATCCCACTATCGCATAAAACTTGTGAAAGTTAAAGTCATCAGCACTTAATATTGTCTGTCATGCGAGGCAATCGGCACTCAAGTGGCAAATGCACTCATTTAACTCTAAATTGGTACTTTAGTTAATCTCTCATATTGATTTTTTTAACCCTTAAACACTGGCAAAGAGAAGCATACACCTAAAGAGAGATTTTTTACATTATTGTTTATTTAGTTAGTTTTTAGAAACAAGGTCTCCTCTCTCTCCCAGGCTGGAGGGCTGTGGTGCAATCACAGCTCACTGCAGCCTCAAAATCCTGGGCCCAAGCATACCTCCCACCTCAGCCTCCCAAGTAGCTGGGATTACAAGTGCCTGCCTCAGTACCCGGCTACTTTTAAAACATTTTTTGATACACATAGAGTCTCAGTTTGCTGCTCAGGCTGGTCTCAAACTATTGGTCTCAAGCAATCCTCTTGCCTCAAGCTTCTGAAGTGCTGGGATTACAGGTTAACCAGGACACCTGGCCTAGAGGTTATTTTTTGTTGTTTTAATTTCTTTATTTAATAGTCTGTGTATTTAAATTTTGTTGACAATAATCTTAACAGCAACAATAGTATCTACTTGAAAGGTATGCATTCTATATATAATTCCTTAGATATAAATTTAAGTATAAATATTTGAAAACTCTTTAATTTTTTAATATTGTGTCCCATTTCTTAAAAAGGAGAGAAGCTATATTAACTTTTGAATTCAGTACACAGTTAACAGTTCTTTCATTTAATATGTGATAATATAAATTTAACAGTGAAACTTTCAAATACTCATATTAACTTACCCTGATAGATTTTATAGCTTTAATATAAAACTTCTCATAAATGTAAAATTTGACAAAGCACAATATTCTCCAGGAAGTTAGAAAAGTAATATAATTTTCTGTCTCTCAGAATGTGTTTTCTAACCTCTAAATATAAATTGATGGACTAATCTTTTAAAATTCAGAATCAAATATAATTGCTTTGGTTTGATCATTGAGAATTCTTTTTCCATTCCATCATTTTATAGTTTTTGCCTAAATAAAATACTTAAGGAAGTTATTGTTATGTTGTATTTGAAAGATGCCTGATGGAGAAACATTCATAGTTCTTTTCTATCCTTATGAAAGGTTATATGAAAACATATATATATGTGTATATATAAACATGTGGATAAAGTACAGAAAATCCTATCATTGCCTCTGACTCAAATGGTAATCTTTAATATAAAGATTTGAAACTTTCATGGAACAGTATATCAGAACTTTATTTCCAATTTGTTTATGTATACTTAACGTATATCCTAAGTATCAAGAAATCACATTCAATTAACATATACATTATAAAACAATTCCTATATGATAATTCTAATAAGTAAACATGATTTTAGTGGTAGTAATTATTCAATCAAATATTCATATTTTAAAGATTAAATCTTCATATTTTAAAGCACATTACATCAGTTTACAATTCGATATTGACTACTGGATAGAATTTATCAATGAAATTTTGAATATGGCATGGTTAATGCAGATCATGTGAATTAAATTGCAAGGCAGAGAGCTTTTAAATTAAAAAAATAAGCTGGTTTATAAATCCAGTGCTAGACAGTTAATAAAAGCAATACATATAAATCTCCCAGACACCTCCCAATCTTGGTATTTTGAAATATTTTCCTCTTTTTAATATTATTTAAATAAAAAAATTATCTGCCTTTAAGCAACAAAACATGAACTCTTGGTAGAAAATTCACTAATTGACATAGGTATCTAGACTTATAAACCTGTAAAAAATGTGAAATAGAAGGCATAAAGTATTTGAGTCAATAAATTACTAACTAAATCTTTTTTTTTTTTTTTTTTTTTTTGAGACGGAGTCTCGCTCTGTCGCCCAGGCTGGACTGCAGTGGCGGGATCTCGGCTCACTGCAAGCTCCGCCTCCCGGGTTCACGCCATTCTCCTGCCTCAGCCTCCCAAGTAGCTGGGACTACAGGCGCCCGCCACTACGCCCGGCTAATTTTTTGTATTTTTAGTAGAGACGGGGTTTCACTGTTTTAGCCGGGATGGTCTCGATCTCCTGACCTCGTGATCCGCCCGCCTCGGCCTCCCAAAGTGCTGGGATTACAGGCGTGAGCCACCGCGCCCGGCCTTAACTAAATCTTTTGATTAAATCAGCTTTATAAAAAAAGTAAACGTAAACACATAAGTCTTTGTATAAGCACCCCTACATTTTTAAAAGTATATTTGCCTTTTCATAAACTCAGTTGAGTAGTGGTAACATTCATCATCACAACTTTTTAGAGGCAATGAAATTGATGTCATTTGAGGTCTTCATCTCATATTTATCTTTTATTTTCTTATTTTGTCATGTTTAGCAAAGGATAGTAAAAGTAGAGGATCATTCAACCCAGAAATACAGGGAAACTGATCCTTGTAAATAGCACCCTTTATAGACTAATGGATATTTTAAGAGCAAGATGTGCTAGAAAGGAAAATAAGGCAATCTCTTAATGCTGTGCCTTTTCTTCCATTACATTTTTAGATTATATATTATCCCTTGTTTATTGCTGTAGCTGGGGAAAATATTTTTATTGAAATAGATTGTTTTTTGAAGTTTGCTATATTAGGTAAAAATAAATACCAAACTTCTCTGTCTTCAGTTTAATAGAAAAAAAAAAATCCCTTGTTACTCTGTTTCTGCCTTACTGTTAGTAGAAAGATTTATGATTAAGTAATTTTAGTAGGACAACATTAAGAACAAAAACATGAACCAAAATACTTTTTAAAATAAATATACACATTTTTACTATATATAGACACATATATAAAAGTATATATACATATATGTATATATGTGACTTCAATAACAGGAAAATAGATTTTCCAGATGAAGAATCTAAACATCTCATCCATAACAAAAGGTTAGGCTCTATACCAATGCTTGAATGAAAACTGTAATATCATCCATTTAAAAAAATGCCAACACATGCATAATTTTAGGCTGTAAAAATGAAAATATTTCAGAATTGATTAACAAATGGTGGAAGTTAAAGTTGTCTCTTCCCGACCTGCACTTTGTTTTCTGTCTCTTGCCTTTTCTCACATTTTATTTTTCCTTCCTATCTCAACAATATACCCCACCTGCAGTGTGCCCAATGTGGACACATACCTGCTTTTTTCAGGCACTGTTTTGGACAACATTTCCCTACTGAGCATTAAATCACTTTTTCTTAAATACGTACTAAAGATTTCCATGGCTGAAAAGCTAGTTCCACATACATTAATAATCCTTGAAGAATTAAATCAGATACAACCTCTACATCAGCACAATATTTCAAGGTGGTAAGGGAGTGCTACTGCTGGGTTTGTCTTCACTTAATAACTTTATTAATGATGTGGATGAGTGAACAAATATGAAAAGAAAATTTATAGGTATTACATACGTAGATTCTGCAGAAACAAATAGGCTGGAAGGTAATGACTGTAGAATGACCTAGAGAGGTTAAAAAAAGAAAATAGTAGTCCAATATTATTCCACTTTTAAGTAAATGAGACCATTAAGCTCTTTAAAATAACCAGTAAATAAAAACTCAAAGCAATGATAGCTACATCAAAAAGTGAGGGAAGAGGGGAAATTATATGTTGCAATGTTACAGAGTACATTAAAGCATTCAGTATATTTCCTGAAAATTTCATAAGCACAGTTCTTAATGTTTATTCATAAATAAACAAAACCAAACCAAAAGCCATAGTTCATTTGTTTCTAACTAAGAGTACAAATTATTTATGCGGAAAAGTACATATAAGCTCACATAAATAACACGAATAATGTTTTCATTGTGAAGATATTCATAACGTTCAAATGACAAGGTCTTAGGAACTCTGCACCTTCATTAATTTTAATCAATATTTAACAATCAAGATTGTTTTCAATAAATCATGATCTAATAATGAAAGGGGGAAACTATTTGTTTTAACTTTCATTTCAGTTTTACCCTTTACTCACAAGTTGAAATTCATTCTCACTCTTTGCAAACTATTTTGAAACACTTCCAGGCAAAATTCATATAAATATTTTATTTTTCCTAATTTTTGGAAAAATTTTAGACTATTACAATCTGAGTTAATAGCCTAGTTCCTTTGTTGATCCAGTGTAAATAAATATTTCTCTTTTCTTGCTGTATTAAAAAACCCACAGTCTCTATAGCCAAGTCTATATCTATATCGATATCTATCTGTATCTGTATCTATCTATGTGTATCTCTATCGATGTATGCATACACAAATAATATCTGTGGAAGAATTTTTTTTCATGTAGTGTAATATCCACAGCTCTTCTACTTTAACCATAACTCAAGTTAATAACATTTTATTGTCTTTTGTTAGTTTTACCTGGAAAAGAAAGCACATCATATACAATATTATAAAATAGAAATAAAACTAAATATAGCGTTTTAGAAGGTAACAAAGTTTTATGTTTAAGGATATTAAATAAAATCTATTTCTTCCAGTATATTTTTTCACAATCTGTCTTAAATGGAATCTTCAGATATCTTAACAAGTTGACTACTAGATTTTGTAGTGTATTCCAATCAGATATCTATCTGAGGCCACTCTTTTTTTTAATAATCTAGGCTTCTGTAGACAATGTGGAAACATTTTTAAAATGATGACGCCCTCCTTTTCCTTCGTAGCTAAATTAGTACACAAAATTCTAAATATTTCCTTAGTTTTAATAATAATAAAGCAATATAAGATTCACCCTCTGTATTCAATTCTTTGTTACCAATTCTGCTACAATGAGAATTTTTGAAATTCTTAGTTATAACCTTTATTTTTGATAATTGCATTTAAAATGCAATGATAAAGCAAATAATTAAAATGCTAGGAATAAAATTGTCCTTTATTAGTTTATCATAAAGTTCCATAAATTTCAGCTCTCCTTGATTTCTCACTATTCTAGTTCATCAATTTTGTAATTAATCATTAAACATTATTCTTTCTCTATATTAAAAATATTAGCAATTAAAAAATCCCTATTTAATATTATATTCATTGTTTTAGTTTGATGCTTTTTTTTTTTAGTGATATGTACAGAAGACAAAAAAATGATGTGCAGCCTTTGTGTTCCATTTATTGTTGCGTAAAATAAAATTTCATCAATCTTGGATAAAAATTCTTAGGCCTATGATTATATTTGAAGGAAACACTAACTTCTGACATGATTATTTAGAACACACATTTTCTTAACTTGTCTTCCATTTTAGTGGAGCTATAAATAGCTTTGGCAAATTTTTCTGCTTTGCTGTTAATTTAACTCAGTAGATTTATTGAAATTTTAAGACACCACGTTACGCAAGATTTAGGGTATGTGACTACTCTTTCCTCCTGTGTGGAGGTCGACATTGCCACAGTCTAATATCATAGTTCCCCTAACTGGTCCCCTCCCAGAAGTGAGTTGCAAGTTCCTGCTGACTTTCAGAATTATTTCTCCATGTTTATGTCATTTTGATGCAAGAGAGGTCAATACACAGGTATGTCATCAAAATAATATTTAGACTATGTCATTCCCACAAAAAACAACTTATATGCCATGTTTTACTCACTACCAAAGTCTTGTTGAATACTACTTGTTTCATTCCTCTAGCCAGGAGACAACCTGGCAGGTATACTGCCTGAGCACCAAGAAGTTATCATATAATTTGCGTTTCACTGACCTCTCTTACCTTGTCAAATTACCCACAATAATTTTGGTAAAGTTGCATCTAACTTGGTATGGACTAAAAATACTTGCGTCGCCCCCAAAATTTGTATGTTAAAACCCTAATTCCACTGAGATGATATTTGGAAACAGGGCCTTTGGGAAATAATTAGGTCATGAGTCTCTCTCTCTCTTTCTCTCTCTCTCTCTCTCTCTCTCTGTCTGGTCTCTCTCTCTGTCTCTTTATGAGGACATGACAAGGAATGGAGGTTTTACCTGTAACCATTGACTGGCACCTTTATCTTGGACTCTCAGCCTCCAGAACTCCGAGAAGTAAATTTCTATTGTTTAAACCAGTCAGTGTATGTTGTTTTTGTTGTTGTTATAGCAGCTTGAATTAAGACACAATTTTCCTAAAACTTAAAAATGTCGGATTGGTGGATAAAATTGTATTTCATTGTGCTTTTTTCTTCAAGCCTTATACCTCTGACTCCAAACTCATAGTAACCAGTGTAAGACATGGTAGAATCTTTCCACTAGTGCTTGGGACACTATTTATAGTATCTACCCAATCTAATTTTAATGAAAAAGTTGAAGGTTGGTATAAAAAAATGTTTATCATCTAGGAGTTCCAGGCTCAATTCAACATACTTGTGATGGTCTCATGTAGTAGCAGTGACAGTCAACTACAAATGGTGCCTGAACAGGGACATTTCAGAGACTATCAGGGACATACAGAGACCTGAAAGGACCTGGAGGGACCTGAAGAGGTCTGCAGGGATAAACAGAGATAAGTAGAGGTAAGTAGAGAAAAGTAAGTAGAGATAAGTAAGTAGAGAAAAGTAGAGATAGGTAGGGAAAGACGGGGACTTGCAGGAACTTGCAGGAACTAACAGGTACCATAGGGACAGACAGAGACAGATAGGAATAGATAAAGACTAGCAATATAAGGTCAGTGCCCTGAAGAGGTACTGGTCTGTGTCCTAAAGAGGTACAAAAGTAGAGACTAGCAAAGACTAGGAGAGATTTGGAGGAACAGACAGGGACAGATAGGGACAGATAGGGTCCTATAGGACTAGAGCGAGGAAGGTCTGCTGGAACAGAAAAAAACTAAAACCAACTAGATGAACGAGAAAGCCCATTACAACTCTGTTGGCAGCGACATAAGGTTAGTGCTCTAAAAAGGTACTGGTCAGTGCCCTAGAGGTACAAAGAATGGGAAGTTTTTAAAACAGGGAAACGAGGAAGAATTTGGCTATTTCTTTTCTCTTTTTTGTTTGTTTGGAGTTTTGGTATGTACCATCTTTTTGTTATTTAGAATTTTTTGCCCCACCTACAGTGCCTATCGAAAATGGTGAACAGAAGAGGGAGAATGAAAATTGCCTTGTATCGTCTTCTTTGGTGGCTACAGAAAGGCTAACTTTAGCTTTGGCTTTCATGGATTGTAAACGTGCACTGGCACCTGTGAGATGTGCAGAGGACTTGGGAGGCTTTCTCAGAGCTTGTCAAGATGTGGGAACTGAGCTTCATTGCTCTGCAGTATTGACTCAGGCAATAGCAAATTTGGTGGCTGACAGATCTAAAAGAAGCCAAGGGTCAAGCCCTAAAGTGGGAAAGTGTCATAAGTGTAGAAAACTTGGACGTTTCAAAAGAGAATGCCGTCAGACCTCTGTGAACAAGAGATCTTGTAACATAGTCCCCCTCTTAACAGAAAAAAAATGCCGGACTTTGCCCTCGATGCAATAAAGGAAATCATTGGGCTAATCAACACCACTCAAAATTTCATCAAAACGGCACCCCCCTGTTGGGAAGCAAGAAGGGGGCCTGGACCCGGGCACCTCAAACTATGAGGGCGTTCCCTGTCCAGGCCACAACTCCGTTTCAGGGGTGGGTTTCCAGAGGCACATGGATTCCCTCTCCCCAGGAACACCTGGAAACGCAGGATTAGATCTCCCAGAGAACCAATTACATTAAATGAAAGAAACAAACTCACTAAGATTCACATTGGTATTTGGGGATCTTTGCCAACAAGATACAAGGGATTGATTTTGGTAAAAGCTGTCTTAACTTACAGGCCCAGGAGTTGTTGATTTTGATTGTGAAGGAGAAATTCAGGTAGTGGTAATGTCACAAGATCTTTGGGTTTTTGAACTGGGACAATACGTTGCTCAATTTTCGCTTCTTCCCTGTAAATTGTACCCTTCTCCACATAAGAAGAAGCGAGGTGGTCAGGGATTTGGAAGTGCAACTAGGAGAGAGATTTATCTATCACCACCCATAGCATCTAGTGGACCCACCTGTACAGTGCAAATTGAAGGTTTAAGGATTGCTTTTTGCTATACTGTTTTACGAGAAGGATAAGCCTCGATTTGCTTTCTCTGTGCCGTGTGTTAATCAGAAAGAGCCTGCTTCTTGTTCTCAGTGGAAAGTTTTACCCCACGGCAATTAACCAAAGAGGCAGAAGCTGAGTTACAAATGTTTCAGCAATGGCGTGCCTCCCGGCTACAGCAAAAAAAATAAAAAATAAATAAAAAAGAAAACACTTTTGATTCTGTTTGGTAGATTTACTAACGTGGGGACGAGGGTATACTTACATCTTTGCAGAAGATGAACAAACCGAGTGGGTGCTCCCAAGGTGTGTACGACCGTTGAACAGGAGACTGGAGGGACCCATGGATCCCAACCATGGACCTTGTTCCCCCAGTATGAACCATGAACCAGTTGAATCTGAATGCAAAGATGGAATGAGGACCACTAGAAGCAGGGAGCTCTCTTCTTCCCCATGCTAGCCTTTCCTTAAAACAGTTTCTTTTGTTTTTTGTTACCATTTCTATGTTCGTCTCTTCATTCAGTCTAGTAATGACGGTCTCAAGTAGTAACCGTGGCAGTCAGCCACACTTAAATCTTAATGCTTTTGAATTCTAGAAGGAACTCAAAAAGAGACAAACAAGTCAGTCATAGTAGTAATACATGGAGAATGAATTGTGAAATCTAAGAGACTGAATATCATGTCAAGCATAAGCTTTTTCAAAGCAATTAAACTGGGCTTTTAATGACATTACTTAGACTTTCCAGACAAAATGTGTAACAATACAGCTAATTTTAATAAAATGACTTTGAAATCCCCAAACTCAAATATAATCTCATGAAGTAATTGTTTGTGATAACACCTTAATATGTTTTATACCATCATTATGAAAAACAGTGCAAGAGAAAGGAGAAAAAATTCTTTATTGTGAGTTAAAAACTTTGAAACCTAAGTCAATCATTTTTATTGTTTCAAGAAATATTTCCCCACGGCTACTTTAGTAGCAAAATCAAAGTCAGGAGAGCCCAGGCTTCTGTAAACAAAGTTTAATTGTATCCCCTCCCCCTTTCTTCTCTGTCTCATAATTTTCTCAGTACTTTTTAAGGAGCGAGAGGCATCCCCATGAATGACACTGTTATAGGTTCTAAGGCAGAGGATGTGATGATGATGATCTTTGGGAAACGGTGAGGTGAATGTTGTCCACGAAGCTGCTTTCTAGTAGGGTGTCTGTGGGAAACTATACCCTTTCTGTGGGGTCTTCTGAATGTAGCTAATACTATTTTTGTTTGGGCTGGAAGTTTTTTATTATTATTGTTTTTACACTTTAAGTTCTAGAGTACATGTGCATAACGTGCAGGTTTGTTACATATGTATATATGTGCCGTGTTGGTTTGCTGCACCCATTAACTCATCATTTACATTAGGTATTTCCTCTAATGCTATCCCTCCCCCATCCCTCCACCCTACGACAGGCCCCTGTGTGTGATGTTCCCCGCCCTGTGTCCAAGTGTTCTCATTGTTCAATTCCCACCTGTGAGTGAGAACATGCGGTGTTTGGTTTTCTGTCCTTGTGATATTTTGCTGAGAATGCTGGTTTCCAGCTTCATCCAAGTCACTACAAAGGACATGAGCTCATCCTTTTTTATGGCTGCATAGTATTCCGTGGTATATATGTGCCAGATTTTCTTAATCCAGGCTATCCTTGACGGACATTTGGGTTGGTTCCAAGTCTTTGCTATTGTGAATAGTGCCTCAATAAACATATATGTGCATGTGTCTTTATAGTAGCATGATTTATAATCCTTTGGGTATATACCCAGTAATGGGATGGCTGGGTCAAATGGTATTTCTAGTTCTAGATCCTTGAGGAATCGTCACACTGTCTTCCACAATGTTTGAACTAGTTTACACTCCCACCAACAGTGTAAAAGTGTTCCTATTTCTCCACATCCTCTCCAGCACCTGTTGTTTCCTGACTTTTTAATGATCGCCATTCTAACTGGTGTGAGATGCTATCTCATTGTAGTTTTGATTTGCATTTCTCTGATGACCAGAGATGATGAGCCCTGTTAAGTTCTATCCTCTCCATATGTCCATGGGGCTGTTGGAAATATTCTTTTTCTGGGCTTCATGCTGTGCCCAGAGCATTTCCTTTTTCCTTCTCCTTTTTAAGGCAAGGATGCATCTGTTTTCATAAGGTTTGTGATAAAACAACACTCAAGTTTTGCAAGTTACATGATTGTCATCATCATCGCACTAATTTTTTGTGAAATATGCATTTTAATTACTTCCAAGAGGGTTTATTTCTAATGAAAAAAATTAAACAATAAATAATTTTAGACTTACCCCATGCAAGAAATGACAAATTCACTGAAGCAAACATGTTTAGGCTACACTGTATGCAATCTACAAATTGCCTGCTCAGTCTCAGTTTCTTGCATATATTTCTCATACATCTAAATGTTAATTTCCACACTTCTGTCTCTCTGAATCCCTGGCAAATGGCAATGGCTAGTGACTTTGCATTCACCTATCAGAAAAACATGAATCCGGACACACTTCCGGGAGCGTGGGACGTGGTAGGAATTTACTGGATAATAGGAACTGATATGTTATTTTGAGAGTGCTAAAATTCTCCCAGTGAATGTAACTTTGCCTATATTTTATATAACTTATTGGTTTTGGTTTGATAATTAAAAATATCAAAATTATCCTGGGGCAGGAGCCAAGGATGGTATTATACAGTGAGAAGTGAGTCCCACATGTCAGTCTTGTCATTTTCTTCCTCAGATAAAGTGCAGAATTTTGTCATCAGTAATATGAAAGAGAGATTTTACAGAAAAATTGCCAATTTTTGTCCATGAAGATGAGGGCAATATGCTAAGTATCAACGGACTAAAAGATGGCATATATTTTTTAGTGGGACATCCATGCAAGACTGCATTTCTTACCTGTTGACTATTACAGTAAATAGAAAATAATTATTTTAATTAAGCGACTACAATTTAGGGCATTTGTTGTAGAGATTTACAAATGTTTCACATTGCTTGACTTCAGGGGGCGCCATTTTTACATCATCCATTTCTAATAGCATGGCCAAGAGTATACTCCAAGTAACAAATGAGGTATAGCATATGAGACAAAGTAGAAACACTTAAAGGGTTAAAGAAATTTTCACCCGTATCTCTATGATGCAAAGTAAAGCAAAAGACAAAGAAACAAGCAAAAAAGAACAAGTGGTCGCCAAGCTGGACTGCAGTGATAAAACCATGGCTCACTGCAAACTCCGCTTTCTGAGCTCAGGCAATCCTCCCACCTCAGCCTCATGAGTAGCTGGGACCACAGGTGCCCACCACCACTCCTGGCTAATTTTTGGGTTTTTAGTAGAGACAGATTTTTGCCACATTGGCCGGGTGGGTCCCAAACTCCTGAGCTCAAGCAATCCACCCACTTCGGCCTCCCAAAGTGTTGAGATTACAGGCATAAGCCACCACACCCGGCCGCTGCATTTTTTTTTAATGGGAAATAACAAGCATATTCATTACATATAAAATGATATATTTAGAAATTTTGTAGGCTTTATAAATTCTGTTGGATAATGGAAAATTTTTTATTGTATTTTTTGTGTATGAGAACATAATGTTATAAAGTAAAATGTACATAGAGGGAAATGGGATTGTGAGGATAGTAACCATAGGTGAGGAGATGGATGAAAGAAAGGTCTTACACTGCTGTAAGGAGCTGTTACTATATCTTCTTCATATTTTTATAAAACATATCTTATTAGAAGACTTAAGTTACTTATTTTTTTCTTGTATGTATATATTCACCTCCATTTTGAAGGCTATTAGTCTGGGAAACCTACAAGAACATTGCCGTAGGGAAGCTCAAGTATGTTAACAACAACAAAAATAGTTCTGTGAATGCCTTTACATAATATAAGGTCTACATATTCTCTCTAGATCTGTGCGCCGTAAGACTGGATTTTGAAAAGCTGAGGCATAGACTGATAGCTCTTTACCACACTTGTTTTTTCTTCTTTCTGGATACATAGCTTGGCTATATTTCCATGCAACTGTGTCCCGGTTAATGTGTACCACTTTTAGAGGGTGGTACATATAAATGTTTCTTCCAGTTCTTTCAACATGTGTCATTTGAAAAAGGAGAACTCTGAAGCCCTCTAGGAAGTTGGAGCTACAATACTGGAGGCCAGTTTCCTGAATTACTCCCTGGTAAAAGCCACCCAGACAAGAAATGCCTTTATTTGAATGTTATTAATGAGAAACACATTTTAAACTTTCAGCCACTTTAACTTTGAGGATTGTTTGTTAAAACAGCTGGTGTTACCCAAACTGTTATAGGAGTCTACTAAATATCATTTCATTTTTTTCCCTTCTCAAACTCAGAATGAATTGGGAGATAGCCGTGGGCATTAAAACTGTTTCAAGAAGTGCAACTTAGCGTTCAGGGCTGACCTCATGAGCTTCCAGAGACATCAGAGTAAGTGACCCTTTTTCTAGTTTCGAAGCTCTGTTCTAGTTCTAAGCATGCAAATAAATTTTAAGCAGGATTTCTTAGCCTGCAGGAGCTGAGGATGATTAATAAGTCCTGCTGTTATGCATAAATGCACTGACCTATACTGTGCCCTTCAGTCAAATTGTATATTGTTTAATCGTGATAAATGAAGTGCACCAGGCACAGATAAGCTAGTCCCTGGAGTATGTCCAGATACACCTGAAAGAAGAATGACTCAAGCTGGGTGTGTAAAGCTACACTTTGGAGGATAGAGCTTCCCACAGGTGCAATGGAACTCTCACTTCTCACTTGCTCAGAAATTATGATCTGCAGTGTGAGTCTCCCCTGGTAAGGAAACGTGTCCAGCTCCTTGAAACATGTTCTAGAGAACAGCATTCATTACCCTCCCATGAACTTAAACATGCTTCTTGGCTCCTGTGCATTTTAGGTAAGTAAGCTTTGATTTCCCCAGGTGGTGTCGGTGTCTAGTCTTTTCATAAACTTGCACTTACTATTAACATGGAGAGGACATCCACAGGCCGAGATACATTGCCATGTCTTGCATTAAAAGCAAATGAACCTGAAGTTTTTTTGTAAACAACTTACGAAGTTTCATTTGATTTGATTTGATTTTTAATAATTCCCTGAATTGCTGTGATAATTAGAGTAGTGAATTCATTTCTGGTATGTTTTAAAAGTAATTCAAGGAAAATAATTTTGCAGAATCCTGATTTAGATAATATGAAGAGTGAATAGGAAAATGATGAAATTGTTGCTGCTTTTTACAGAGGCTTAGAATCATGGAAATCATTTGCTTTCAGGTATAAAAGGGAATAATTTCATTTTCTACTTTTTACTTTAAATTTCTGTTATCTATGTCTACATGCTTCTGTCCATTTCTTCATAGTTTGTTTTTTAAATAATATGCTTCTACCATTCTCTGAAAGCTATTTTAATTTTTCAGCTTGAATATAAATTGGTTGATACTGGCTGCAAATTATTTTTGGTATTCTAATTTGTCTATTTTTCTTTTTCTTGAAATGGAATAAATAAGCTTCACACACACACACACACACACACACACACACACACACACAAAAACCCTAAACAAACAAAAAAAATCACACAGCACCAGCAAACTACTAGGATTTACTGTAGGATAAAAGCTCTACATGGCCCTGCATACAAACTTTCTGCATACTTCTGCAAATTTTTATGCATTACTCAATCCATTAAAAATCACCTTGGAAGAAACTGCAAACACAATAGAAACTAAATGAGATAGTCACAGAGAACAACAAAAATAGTAATTTAAGCTCCCATACAACATCAAGTGTGTTCAGTCTATTTTTGGTTCTTCGGGTTCTCTTTAAAATTGAATTGAGTTTGTATATGCATATGTATGTAGGAGTGGAGGATGGAATTAATTATCCCAAACATCCTACACTCACTCCTCTAATATTTCTTTTGTTAACATGCAAATCTGTTCTCTTCATTACGGTGATACTGCATTTACATTACAACACAATTAGAGATCATTAACTTTCTCCTTTATAATCAGCCATTTTCACAGGCCTTTGATATACAAGCACCTATAATATATTCTTACTCATCTCACACTTTCATTTACCAAAGTGTCAAAACAACATTTTTACATCATTGATATTTGTTTTAGTTTCTGCAAGCTGGCTGTTAGAAGATGATTACTTCTCTTAAATTACCTCTTACCCTCATCTTGCTATCTTTTTAAAAGGAAAGAAAAAGCACTATAAAAATCAGACACTTTGGGTTCTGAACCTTTTATTTTGTGTGAAAAGATACTTATTTATGTATGCTAAATCACACTGATGCGGAAGACAAACTGGCTCTTCGTTATTTTTTTTTTTGGCACTTTATAGAGGAAATGTGTGGAGAACAGATCTTTCCTAAGGTATTATATTCATGTGCCTTAAAGATTAAGAATACTCAATGCGCCAAGAAGTGCTATATACCAGAAAAGTTTGTATCAATTAATGTATCTAAATTAAGTTAAAGTTTCTTTCAATTTAATGTGCTTGCAGATGTAAAATTGCATGTTTAAGTTTTGCAGTTATGTACTAAATCTGGTGCTACACTTCTAATGTCTAAAGGTTTTATTCAATTTCAATTTATTTGTTTTATAGTTTGCCAGAATGTGCTTATGAAAGGCACTCTCAGTCATAAAAATAAATTATAAGCAGACTGGCACGTAACTATTTTTTTAAATAATAAACTTTCTGATTTTAGAGACTTGTATTCTTTTATAGGTCCTGGTTCTCTTTCACTCTCTGACCTATAAGAACCCATACAGCGTGCATTGCTGTGTATGGAAAAGCAGTAAAGGGAAGTACAGCCACCTTTTAGGTCCCATGAATAGCAAAATCTCTTTGACTAATCTCTTGTTTCAGGGTACGTCCACTCCTTGTTTAAAGAATGTAACTGGCTGGGCTTGGTGGCTCACTCCTGTAATCCCAGCACTTTGGGAAGCCAAGGTGGGCAGATTACAAGGTCAGGAGTTTAAGACCAGCCTGGCCAATATGGTGAAACCCCATCTCTACTAAAAATACAAAAATTAGTTGGCCGTGATGGTGGGTGCCTGTAGTCTCAGCTACTCAGGAGGCTGACTCAGGAGAATTGCTTGAACCCAGGAGGCAGAGGTTGCAGTGAGCCAAGATTGTGCCACTGCACTCCAGCCTAGGGGACAGAGTGAGACTCCATCTCAAAAAAAAAAAAAAAAAGAATGTAACCACACTCAATAGTCACTAGCACATTGTTCTGAATAGACTATATACTGAAAGATATCTGCTGGATATAGAATGACCTCAGGAAAAAGTCTAGACACTATAATCCATCTCACTTGCCAGCATTTAGCGACCTTTCAGCTTCATTACTGACTTTCACCCAGTGTCCCTCAGGTGAGTGACTTGAGTCCTCTTTCATAATATTTGGCAGGAGAAAAGATGAGGTCATTGCTCCATCAATCCCGTCATGTCATGTCTGCTCATGTGTCATAGCTTATAAATAGTCACATGGTTCTGTCCAAGTGCAAGGGGGGCATTGCAGGTAGAGGTCCGTCTCCATGTGCCTTGAAAAGAAAATAACCAAATATCAGGGGAAAACAATAATATGAGCCATAGTGCCTGATATATACTATGACATCATAGAGATTTAATGAGTATTAATCAGGATTCAATGGCTGCAGGAGACAAACAGTTTCACAAACGAGGGCAATTAACTGGCTCATAGGCAATATCTCAAGAAAGGTGGGGTATTGTTATACTTCATGTGTTGCAGAAACATAGATGCTCCAATTTTACATGTTCTTTCTGTGTATGTAACATTCTTTGCCTTCTGGGTCTCAGCTTTATCTCTCAGGTTAACGTCTGTCACAGCTGTAGAGATAGTCACTGTCAATTCCTAGTTTCACAGTCTCCCATTTTCCAACGGAGTCTTACTCTTTCTTTGTTTCCAGTTCAAATGTATTATTGAAGAATCCTGGTTCTTAATTTAGCTTCGGGACCTATTGAATCAGTCTGTGGAAGCTGGAATAATATGATTAGGGCAGCAGAAATGAAGAATGCTTCTTTAGACCAATCACTATGTCCATGAGGCAGACTAAGGACTACATGACCCTAATAAATTCTAATTTCTAGAGCTTCTTATCTGGATCCTGAAGCAGTTTCGGCCTTTATACTATGAGAGACTGAATACACTAACAGACAATGGTGGTTCCACACACAGAAAATCAACTCTGACCTCTGCAGCAACCAGTCTGCAGCGATTGGTCCAAATGCTTAGGAATTGGTGGGTAACTTCCAGCTTCCCTAAGTGTTTCCCTCCAGCTTCCAATTTAGAACCAACCAGAGAATGCTAATTATGCAGCTTCACCCATCAAATAGGATGTTTTGCTTCTAGTTATCCAACCTTTAGATTCCCCATGACAATAATTTCCAACCAGGGCATTCCTGCAGCCTTCTGGTTTTCCCACGATAAAGCTTTCTCACTGCCTGCCTGCCTTTGATTCGTTGCCATATTGCAAGTGATGGTGGCCAACTCCCTGGCTACAGCAAGCTCTGACTGAATAACCTGTATTTCTTTTCATTTGAGCAGTCTTAGCTTATTTTTATAACTATTGAGGAAACGTTGTAGCAACCCTTACACTAAATGAACTTAATTATGCCAAACCTTTACTTACTACTTAAACAAATACTCTTCCAGACAATGTTACCAAACAGTGTCCCCTTTGTTGTGAAATCTTGTAGATACTGTTTAATTAGTAGAATCCTCTTACTTTCTTTTCCCTGTCAGTTTTACAGTATCCAACTGGTCCCGTGTATGATAGAAAACATTTCTATAAGGTAACACAGTATATTTCAACCCACACTATTACTATTGATGAGATTACTTTGCTATTCACATCTCATAACATTAGCAAAAATGCACAAATCTTAAACTGCCTTCTTTTTCCCCTCCAGGATGAAGGACAACCACATATTTAGCTGACAGTGATTCAAACTCTCATCTTGTCCAAAACTGACTTAAATGGCATAACTTTAATTAACTCTGATCTTACATTATCTGTTGACAGTTTTCACCTAGAATAGAGAAAATTAACCTTGTTTTGGATATTCTCTTATCTCTGAAGACTCCATCTGCCTGGGTTGCTGAATCAATTTTTGTAACTGGAACTCACAATCCAGCCTGAGGCAAAAAGTGAAGAGTATATGAGAGAGAGAACATTTATGTAGATAGTAGACAAGCACTAGAAATTGTGCATGATTTTGGAATGAAGGGCTCTTAGGTTCATTTTCGACTCTTAGCTGCAAGTATAGAAATTAAAAAGAAAATTAATGTTTTATCTGACTCCTTAAGAAATTATAAGTTAATTTAAACATATCTACTCCAGTGAAATAGAAATGAAATCTAAAGTTAATTCTCAGGCATATTGCTTTGCAAGAAATGCTCCTCTTCATAGAAAGCTGCCCAAGTAAACAAAATACTCCCTTACTGTAAACATTTATTCCTCTTTATGAAAAGTTACTTGTAAAAGAATTTTAACTAGGTATTGAGATTTATTTGACAGTTCAATGATAGCCACTCGGTGGCTCCTAAATCCGTACAAATAACATTAGCAATCACACTGTGTGGATCTACCTAAAATACTAAAGGTAACTCAGAATCAGTGTTACTAAGATATCGTGGATGAGTTTGTCTAGAGAAGAGCAAGCATGCCTTATCTGGAAATTCTGTAACCACCACAATGCTGATTAATCTGTAAAAGTGGGTCAAAACTTTCAACCACTATCACAGGCACTTTAACCCCCTATAAATGGACATTGTACAAATACCTTAGTCCCAAGGAAACCAATATGTCCTGGAGATTGTTTGTGAATGTCCCTAGTGGAGCAAAGCCTAAGTATAAGAATCTTTTTGGTGTGTTTTCCCCACCTGGGATCTCCTGTCAACCCTGTCAGCTGAAGGAAGGGCTCATTTTACAAGGAAGTGTTTTTGACGATTTTGCATGGTTGTCTTTATCTCTAAAGCATAATTACACTTATAATCTGAAAAGTATATAAAAGATAGAGATATTAAGTTGTTTGTTAAAAATAAGTAATCTGAATGTTCAGAATGACTTCATCTCCCTTGTTCTATAGTGCTTCTTTCAGTGTTACTAGCCATGTGATCCTCAGCTTTAAATCTTACAGGCTTTTTCTTGTGAAGTGGTAACTGTAAGAACCATGAACTTGGATCTAGTTACTACATTCGCCAATTCTTCATTTTGTGGTAGTTGTTGTTATTTTTCTTTATGAGACAGGGTCCTGCTCTGTTGCCCAGGCTGATGTACAGTGGCATGATCACGGCTCATTGCAGCCTTGAACTCCTGGGCTCAAGCAATCCTCCAACCTCAGCCTTCTGAGTAGCTGGAACTACAGGCATGCACCACCATACCTCACCATTTTCTTTTTTTGTATATATACATTTTTTTTTCGGTAGAGAATCAGTTCTTCATTATTAAGTTTATAAAATACCAGCCAGAGGCCAGGCGCAGTGGCTCACGCCTATAATCACAGCATTTTGGGAGGCTGAGGCAGATGGATCACTTGAGGCCAGGAGTTCAAGACCAACCTAGACAACATGGTAAAATCCTGTCTCTACTAAAAATACAAAAAAATTACAAAAAATTAGCCAGGCATGGTAGTGCCTGCCTGTAGTCCCAGCTACTTGGGTGGCTGGGGCATGAGAATTGCCTGAACCCAGAAGTCAGAGGTTGCAGTGAGCCGAGATCATGTCACTGCACTCCAGCCTGGATGACAGAGAGAGAAGCTCTCAAAAAAATAAAAATAAAAATACAGCCAGAGATCGATTTAACTGTTAACTATTATTTGATGTAATTAGCTACATACCTATCATATAATTAAAATTCAGTATTGAGATGGTTGTCATAGGGACACTTCAAACCAGATTAAGTTTATTTTAAAAGTGAATTGAGAGATTTTACTTTATAAAAAAAAAACCAATTTGGTTAGTTTGCCATTTAGGCTTCTAATTTTGATCTGAGGCCTGCTAACCCTGGAGATTACACAAAGACTTTGTGAGGCGTACTGCGGCCAGGCAAAGACTTTTAAAGAACAGGTTTCCAGGTGTCACATTCGAATACTTCTTTCATCATTCTTGCTGTCCCTCTTTCATTTCTTCTTTTTCAAAAGAATTCTTCTCCCACAATGTTTCTTTTTTTAAAAGAGAAAAATATATCTCCACTTTTTTTAACTTTACCTTGGTGCTTTGTCCCCAGGTGTTGAAATTTCCAGGATGCAAAACGAAGGGGCAATTCAAAACATTCATCTCCACTTCTCAAAAGTAAGTCACCTTGATGACTGGGTAACAAAATCTTGCTAATCATTTGTGTTTTTTGTTTTGTTTTGTTTTGTTTTAGATTTTTAATTACTTTTAAAAATTTGAAGAAATACCTAGTTGAATTGTCAATGGACATCTGCAATTTTTGTTGTCATTCTTCAAAGGAGTTCAAAGAATCAAATGTCATTGTTATAACAAAGCCCTTCCAATCCTATCCACTTATTTCTGAGAACAAGATTTCTCAGTTCTTAGATCTTATAAAAATAATGATATAGGAATAAGAATGATGTGGAACCTGCCACCTTCTAGCAATAAAAAAGGTTCATTTATAAAAACATGAATTTATAGGCAAAACATTAGGAGGTAAATTTCAAAAAACGCTTTTGCAAATAATTAAATTTTAAAATCTGTCACATGTTTATGTTTTAATTCAACTTTTAATAAAATTTGAATGTATGGAGGCATTTTTTATTTTTTCCTCCTTATCACTCTGGGCCATAAAGCTCCACTTCTTTCAGAACATGTGCATGAGATATTTATACAGCTCTTCAGGTAAGGTTACTAATATGCAGCCCTGTGATGCCACCAGTTATAATTCTATTACTGCATTACTACTCTTTCAATTAAAAAGAAATAGTAGAAAAAACAAAGCAAACAAACAAACAAAAGGCAAAATAATTGCATTTCAGAGGATGTCTGTTCCCGTGTAAGGTGCGCCTGTCCTTGCTTCAAGGGGAGTGGGTTACTTTTTTTTAAGTTTTTATATTTTCAAGATTTGGGGTTTGATACAACCATTTTTTTTTTAACTTTAAATTCTGGGATACATGTGCTAAACGTGCAATTGTGTCACATAGGTATACATGTACCATGGTGGTTTGCTGTACCTATCAACCTGTCATCTAGGTTTTAAGCCCCACATGCATTAGGTATTTGTCCTAATGCTCTCCCTCCCCTTGCCCCCCACCCCCCGACAGGCCTTGGTGTGTGATGTTCCCCTCCCTGTGTCCATTTGTTCTCATTGTTCAGCTCCCACTTATGAGTGAGAACATGTGCTGTTTGGTTTTCTGTTCCTGTGTTAGTTTGTTGAGAATGATGGTTTCCAGCTTCATTCATGTCCCTGCAAAAGACATGAATTCTTTCTTTTTTATGGCTGCATAGTATTCCATGGTATATATGTGTCACATTTTCTTTATCCAGTCTATCAATTGATGGGCATTTGGACAACCATATTTTTTGTTGAGTTTTGTTTCTTTAGTGGCTTAGCCATCTCTGCTGGTTTTAGTTAGTTCCAGCTGAGTCAATGGCTCATCTTAGACTGCATTTCTACCACCAACCTCTGCAAGGAAATACTCCATAGGACTTCTGGCCTAGACCTGAGGTTGCCATGGATTCATATTGAGCAAGTGAGTTCCATGTACACATCCCAGTCTTTCCTCAAGTAGCCTGCACGCCCTGTCTCCACCCTCAGTTTAAGAACACCAATGAGGTTTTTGAGATGTTCTTCTTACTTTCTGCCAAAGCAAGATATCTGATAGAAGGAGAAACCCTGTATTGACTCCCTGGCTTTTTGTTTATTCCAAAATTATGCTCTGTCTGGCTGACACATTGTGAAATTTAAGGGGAAAATTAGACCTTTTCCTCATTTCACTTTCATTGTTTTTTTTTTTTTAAATCTATTGTGTATTTCATTCATTTTGGGGGGGGAACAAATTCTACAAACTGCTTTAATATTGTCCTTTTTTTCTAATATTCACATTAACTTTTTATGTAAAACATACCAATGCTTTTAATAAAGCTTACATAGGAATAAACTATTATAGACCTGCATAGATATAAGTACCCATGTATTAATCTACATTAAAATAATGGATTTTATTCTGCGAAGACTCCAAGTTGCTCCTGGGTGCTAAGTGAAGCACTTAGGGAAATGTGTTCAGTCTTTGAGGTCATAGGAACATTAGATTATATCAAAGGAAACCTGGAGCCATCAGCTAAGTGGCCCTTCTGTCCTGTAGATACATAAAAACTAATGTGCTCCGCTATGCGGCTCACTTTCTGCTATTAGATACTATGAGGCACTAAGAAAAAACTACTGCCTGCATCATATCTTTCTTCGGTTTGAGATAAAGAGAATGGCCAGAACTGTATACAAGTCATGAAAGGCCCTGGTGTACATTTTTCAAAGTAGTGCAGATTGTGTTGAAATTATCAGTTTATCTTGCATATAAAAAAAACATATATACACTTTGAGTAAAATATAAAAAGTGGTAAATATCAGGAAAAGTTTGTTTTACTGTAACCATTTCTTGTTCTATTCTATTTGAGTATTTGCTCTATATATTTGATATACTTCCAGAATGCATCCTATTCACAAAGCAGGCAATTACTCTATCAGTGAATACAGTTGCAGAGTCTCTCCTCTATTCAGCTTCATTTGTACCTCCACTCCAGCCACTTGCAGAAATGGCGGATGCATCAAAAAGACTGGTTACAGGCCTTGCACCCTCCAAGCGGCTAATTACCAAGATGTTAAGTAAATGACCATTGCTCTTTATCATCCCCAATGGCGTATAAAAAGGATGTTAAACAGGTTGTCTCATGTTCCCTATACATTTATTCATTCCCGTGTTAAAATACGTCTTATGGGAAAAACAAAATTCACCAAAGAATGAGGAAGCGAACATGTGTTAACAGAGGGACTTCTGGCTAATTTTACAAAGAAGGATAAAAATTCTCAAAATATGTGTGGGGTGGATTGCGGGGGTATTACATATTCATAGCATGCCGCAGAAATCATTTTAAGTCTATCAAAAACAACTATATTGTGCATTTTCAAATAAGCACATATAAAAGATGAGCTATAAGAAGAGAGAAGGATGCTAAAATAAATAAGTAAAAGAGAAAAATGGCTGGGCACGGTGGCTCAAGCCTGTAATCCCAGCACTTTTGGGGGCCGAGAGGTCAGGAGTTCAAGACCAGCCTGGCCAACATGGTGAAACCTGGTCTCTACAAAAATACAAAAATTAGCTGGGCATGTTGGCTCATGCCTGTAATCCCAGCTACTCGGGAGGCTGAGGCAGGAGAATCCCTTGAACCTGGGAGGCGGAGGTTGCAGTGTGCCAAGACCGCATCGTTGCACTCCAGCCTGGACAACAGGAGTGGAACTCTGTCTCGAAAAAAAAAAAAAATAAAAATAAAAGAGAAAAGTAGGTGAAAAGAAGTAATTAAATGGTAAGGAAAGAATAGGTCAGGACAGGAATCCAGGATGACTTTACTATATTTGAACCATAGAACATTAACCAAAATCTTATTTTTCTTCCCCTCAGTAGTTTGAAGTTGAGCAATATCTGTGTCTTTTGCATCACACTCTGAAATTGCAAATTATTTCTTGTCCTTTCAGATAAATGATTATGCAAAAGAAGCCCAGAACTGGCACAATTTAGAAGGTTTGAGGTTGCTCTCATGTGTTTGTAGGGTATGCTATCATCATCCCATAGCCTAAGGCTGTAGTATTGGACTCTCTGGAAGCAGCTCTGAATGTGATAGGATGGAGATAATTGAAGATACAAGCAGCCATTATGTGTCTGAATATTGGTTTACTAGAAGAGCTAGATGTGTAGGAGCACATCCTTACTTGACAAATGTCTGACAGAATGACCTGGCACCATTACTGTTTTAAATGTGTAATATGCTATCTCAACTGGGACATTTTATGAAAGCTATAGGTTGTGACCTACTGTTCATTACACTTAGTTTCTGAGGTGCCAAAGACTGATGTGTGAGCCAAAGTTCATTATTGTTCTTCACTGGATCTTTGCATTTATTAGTCTGATGTTAATGGGATTCACTCTTGAGTTGGATTGATGTTCAAGGTTAGAGCCACAGATGAGCTCCTGATCTTGACCAGAAATGATTTGCCCATTGCCAATTAGAAGAAGAAAAGGGCAAGGTGGAGGTTGAACTTGGAGTTAATAGGAATAATAGATGCTGAGGGTACAAGATGAAACTCAGTAAGATAATACACTCTATTCTTAGACTGGCAAATTTACATAGTAAAGAGAACTTTTATCATTGTCATCCAAAGAAAATATAATCCTAAGAGAAAAAGTCCAGCTAGTTTTTTTTTTCTTTTTTGTTACCTGCTCATAGGATATAAACTTATTTCTATCACACACAGGTATCATTTTCTTCTATTTCACACAAATGTGTGAAATAAAACACATAGAAGAAGAAATAAAACACTTCTTCTATTTCACACAAATGACAAAAAATGTCCTTCAATTATTTTGACACACGATCTCTCAAGATACATATCCTTTTATATCAACTATAAATACAAATTTAAAATTTTGATAAAAGAGAAATAACTGGAATAAAACAAAGCAGTATTTTTTAAAACTATAGCTGTTCCCCTAAGATATTCTCACACTAAAGAATTTTTCCCAATTCTTCTCCCCCACTGAGAAGTACAGTCTTCAAAAATTAGTCCAGGTATTAGTGTTTACCAAGGAGGAATATTTTGAACAAGAATAATCTGATGCTACTTTTCATTTGTCAAGTACATTTTCTAAATTATATTCTAATAAGAGAGAATATGCACATTTGCATGTCATGATTCTTATAAATATTTACTGAGTACTGTCTCTCTGTAAAGAACTACAGTGGGATGGATTTAAGATATATAATACATAATTTTTCATCTTCAAATTGTTCACGTTTTGTAGAGATAGTAACTTGTGCATAAATGACTAGAATGTTAAGTTGCTAAGTGACAAGTGACAAAAATGTTTAACCTGTAAAATCTTCCCCTTGGGAAATTGAGGAATAAAAACTTCCAACTAAAGGAACAAAGATTGTCATGAGCAAAGTTGTATAAAAAATAAATTAAATGTAGGATAATAAAGGTAGTGTATTAAAGTGAGAAGGGTTAGGGTTTCTTAGGTGACAGACTGGCTTGATTTTGTGACTTGTGTGATGGAAGCAAGTTATGTAACACCTCTGAGTTTCCATATCTTCATCTGTGAAGTAGACATAGCTGAACCAACCACATGGAATTGTTGCGAGGGTGAAATGCAATGGTGTGTGCAAGTTTCTAGGCAGTGTTGGACTGGATCTACTATTACGCTATACAAATGATACTTAGAATTTTTACAGTTATGCTTAATATTGTCATAATTCCAGGAAATGAGAAAAATCTCAGCAGAGGTACAAAACGGGCAAGCTCTGGGCAAAATGATCTTAGTGGGTTTATTTCAAAGGATGCTTGAAAGTAATCTGTGGAAAACAAAATTGACAAAAAGTGCATGTTGAAATGGAAATTAACGGGTCTTTGAATGTTAAGACAAAGATAGCGGGCATGCTCTTTCATCTGTCTATCCCTGGCCCTTAGCATGCCTGGTGCTTTTCAGTGCTCCAGCTTTACGTGTTTAATCGTTTTTGTTTCATTCGAAATAAGTGTTCTCATAGATATAGAAAACCAGCAGGCAATAAAATATATATTCTGAGCTGTGATTTAGTGGTATTATTACTTAGCAACAGTGTGTAGGATGAATTACAGAAAGCAAAAGTAGGGCATAATTATAATCACTAAGACTAATTATCAATATAAACTTTTGCCAGAACAATTGTAAATATATGGAGAGGTGATGCACATGAAAAACACATTAAAATACCCTAGGATTTTGCCAAAATAAGCTGTGTAATAAAACAAAGGGAGAAGAAATTGAAGAATATGATGAAGTTTAAATTGAGGTTCAAGGTGTTTTGCATGAAGAAAGATGAGAAATTTAAATTTGAGATATGATGAGTTTATGGTAGGAAATTGAGATACCATATTTTGCCAGTTGGACTAGACCTCACAAAAAGACTCAAAATAAGTATGCAGAACGCATTAGTTTAGATATATTTGAAGAGACCATGGGAAAAAAGGAAAAAGGGAGGAGTTTAAAGAGTCAAACAAAAAGATGATGGAAAGGCAGTGGGAGACATAAAAGGGAACCAGAAATCTTAAGAGGAGAAAGTGTTCTGAAGAAACACACAAAGTCAATTACTTAAAAAGTTGAGAATCACTGGCAGTGCTGGATGATCGTGACTTTTTTCTCTATTTCAGTAAGCGGGCGATGGACATTAGAATGCAAGAGATGGATGAGGTATGGAAGTAGAAGGAATAAATGTCAACTATTATTTTAAAACATTTGCACAGAAGAAGCAAAGTAGGATAAGAGCTTAAAAATAAAGGTTCTGTTTATTTTCATTTTGTAGTCGTAGGGAAAATGTGAGCATGTTAAAAGAAAAGCTGAGTGTAAAAAGGGAATGAGAGGACAAATTGAAATAGACATGGGTTCAAATCCCAGATCCCACTGGACATCTCTGAGGCTTACTAGACATCATCTGTAAATATAAGATAAACACCTAATATAAAATGTGTTCAGCTATAAGAAGTTTGAGTTAGTGTATATGATTTTTAGAAAATCAATTTATCATATACAATAAAACATATATTAAATTAGACAGTTTGATGCATATTGACAATTGTATATCCCCTGCACATTTCCATCATATATGAAAACTTCTCACATGCCCTCACCATCTCAATCCCTGATCACAGGCAACCACTGATGGAGGTTCTGTCATTATGTACAGGATATATCTTTTCTAAATTTTGTATAAGTGACATCATACATGTGCATTATTTTGTTTCTGTCTTCTTTATCTCAGCATCTTGTTTTTTGAAATTTGTTCTTATTGAGTACATCAGTGGTCAGCTCCTTATTATTGCTTAGTGTATTTCATTTTAGGAATAATGTTCATTGAATTTATCCATTTTATCCATTATAATTTTGAGGGAAATTTGGGGTTTTTCCAGGTTGGGGCTAATATTAAAGCTGCTATGAACATTCAGGTACGACTCTATGTATAGATATGTCTAACTGTCAGCTTCTACATAAACATTTTAAAAATCACTATCTCTAAGAAAACTAGGAAATCAAACATCTGGAATTCGGCATTGGCTACCAATTGTAGATGAAACATACTTTTTCAATGATTTAGACACAACTGTCACAGCTTACAAAATGCATCTTCACCAATTAGTTACCTAGTTAGGCTCTGCAGACTTAATTGTTTATCTCTGACCATAGTCCTAACCCAACTTGGCTCCATAGTTGCTGGGATAAGATAGATTGATTTTAGCTATTGGTATCAGTATTCTACTTCCCACATGCCTGTCGAAAAATGCTCTTAGAGTTTTAGAACTGGAATGGCAAAATTTATTTCCTGAGTGATTAAATGGCTCCACTCCTACTATTCTAGGTCACCTTGTTCCTTGTTGAGAGATAGCCACATCCTGAATGTGGCTCTTTTCTCTCAGCTTTGCACCCACTGTCAATAGGCAAATCTCAGTTGCAAGAAACTCTTTAGGTAGAATGGAAGTATTATTCTTTCTGCTACATGAACCTGAAGGAAGTATTCTCAGATTATCCAGACCTAAGGAAGGATACATTCATCTATAGCTCCCTCTCAATTTACAGAAATGTTTGGTTGGTAGAGAGTCTTGCCTAAGTATTTAATCTGGCCCAAGGTAAAGAAATACTGCAACCTCAGATCTACTAGCCAAGGGGAGCTGGGTTGTTTTGAAAGGCACTGTAATGTGCCCCCTTTTTCTTACACAGCAGTGGGCACGATTAGGAGGCAAAAACTTATGGAAAGGAAAACTTAAGTTCTTCCTTATAAAAATTTAAAACATGTATCTCCATGGAGGGCCTGCAAAGTCTTTATAGGATATTTTGCCTTTGGGAACTTCTTTTTTTATACTACTATTTCAATCTCCTCACCTCCCTCTCTGTCTCTATTTCTAATTAGATAGATCATAGATACAGGTATAGATAAACATAGATATATAGATGGAAGGCCTTGATTGAAAGTGCTACAACCTCCTTCCACTGTTGAGTGGAAGCACCTGCTTGAGGGATGTACCAGTTTAGTTAGGAGGAGGAAATGAGGAGGGGAGTCTGATGGAGGAAAAAAATAAAATGTTCTGAAGTGATTGAGAGCACAGAGAGTTTGGAATAGACCTGCAAACAGGGGGCCCTTGCTAGGAACTAGGGCACATCCATGAAGTGACTTTGCTGTTGTGTTTACATTATTTGTCTTTTTCCATTAGATACTTGCCACGGTTATATTACGCATCCACAATTTCAAGATGTTGCAGTTTTGGGATGCATTGTTTTATTTCCCCCGAGAACACAGCAGCCTTGTGCAAGAGGCATTGTGCATGACTAGGAGAGGAAGAAATAACAAACTCCTTAAGAACAACAGGAGGGGGAAACGGGGAGTAGTTGTTTAGACAACTAATAGTTAATTTCCAGGCCTTGCCAGGTCAGGAAAGGAAAATCCCTAGGTGGGGTTCATACCTGTAGTCAAATACAAGTAAAACCAAAAGGTAGGGCCTAATCCAGGCACATTTATTTTTCCCCAAATACTTTCAAAAAGAGAGACCATTGAAGGAGTGAGGGAGTCTCAGGGTTTTAGGCTACATATGATTTTCATCCACCTTGTCTATGCAACTCAGGTCCAGGATTCCTTCCAGCCATCACTAACTGAACCAAATTCCAAGGAGCCACTGCTTCACATTGCCATGCTCCGTGTTTTGCACAGAGGCTTCAGTTTTGATCAAACATGTTTTGTTTTTGATTATCACACATTCCACTCCAAAACTAAATATTATTTCCCGAAAATAATTTGTCATTTTAGAAATTGATACAACTCTGAAATGATTTTATCTGTTTGAATACTTTGATGATCATCTCAGACACATAAGCAGAAATTTAACATAAAGAGTTAAAGATTGATAATAAATAAAATTGTTTTTCAGATTCATTGAAACATTCTTAATTTTTCTTCTAAAAGAAATGAGTAAAATTGATTTTGTTATTTAATATCTCTAGAGGTGCTTATTTTAACTAGTACCTTATAACTAGAAGGTATCTGGGTCTTCAAAAGAATTTCATAGCATACCTCTGATCATTTAACTTGGCAAGTTTGTCTTTCAGAATATGTTGTAGTCAGATAGTCGAGAATGATCATTAGTGAATTCTCATATCCATCCATCTATTTCAAGTTGTACTTTGCCATAAATCCAGTTCAGAAATCTGTGGGAAAACTTAGCACTTCTGAAATTTTAGAAACTAGTTAAAAGGGATTGAATTCAGCCTTTCTGAGGCACTGAAGATAAAACTTAGACTTATATTTGTAATTCAACCCAAATGACAAATTTTTCAGTTACAGATTTTAATCTGGTTTTTAACTACCTCATAAAATTTTTACCAGTAAGTTCTACATAAAATAATTCAAAAATCTGATTGTCAGAACCACTGCAATTTCTCTATTATGAATGTATTTACAAGTCATCCTGCATGTAAAAGAAGCAATTTCATGTGGATAAGTAAAATGGTTAAATTTGTTTGTATTCTATACATCTATACATAATTACATGTACATATACATAATTAAACTTATACCCTTGTCGATGATGAAGTGAACGGTTAAAATAAAGTATGCTAGTCTTCACTTAATCATGTTATTTTAATTCAGCATAAAAGATAGATACAGTCATTATCTAACTAGTTAATTTGATTTTTTTGGTTATTCTTATCCACAAGTAAGGCTTTTAGATAGATCTGAAATGGGATAATGGTGGAAGATGAGGAACTACCACTGATCAAGTAGCCATATTAGCAATGATGCAGTTTGCACAGGGAAAACAAGAAGGAATAAATAAGCAAATGGGAGAAGAATTACAGAGAACAGTATCCAAGATGCTTCAGTTCAGATAATATTTTGTTTCATTATGAGAGCCTGCACTTAATTTTCCACCAGTTTACCAAGCTAGCGTGACCATCATGACCTTGTACCATCTTCAGATTCCACGAATGGTAGATGAAGAGTTCTACCCATCACTTCTAATAGGCAAAGATAGCACATGCCTACATGCACTGATTTGGAAGAAGGACAAGGCTAGAGATGGTGAGCGTTCCGCTTGAGCTATGGGCTATTAGCTTGTGGTAAACATGACTTAATAGTCAGTGATATGGACTTCACTGGCAGGTCTCATTCAGATAATCCCACAGTTCTTCTACTTCTTAATATAATATTTTCTAGGATAGGGGGTGGGGTGTAGTTGGGGGATCCATCAGGTGAGTTGAGAAGAGGAATGTGATAGGAACTTTTGTCACTGTTGGAAAGTGCGTGGGTGGTGACATTGAATAGATTCACTCAGGGAGACAAGTTAGCATATCTTTCATCTTTTTATAAGCAGCTGAGTAGAAAGAAATTGAGCAGCAGGAAAGGAGGGACAGGATACAAGAAAGTGTCTTTTCTTCCTCTCCATTCTTACAATGTCCTGATTCTTCAGCCCAGAGCTTTAAATATTTTTGTAACTACTTTCTTGGGGAACTGTCATGTTAACAGTAATTTTGTATATATTGAGCTCCTAAAGCTATGGATGCTTTATAAAGCTACAATGTAAATTTATTTCTCTCCATAATCCCTGTCACTTTCCCTGTCTCCACATAAAAAGCAAGAGACTTAACATTTCATTATTAATTACAGCAACAGCAAGTTGGCTGTCAGAGTCAAACCTCCACACACTCCCCCCACCAAGCTGCTGAGCTTCCAGCCATTTACTCATTAAGCTTATGATGATGATGGAGTTTTTAAAACCTGCTCTTTGTAATGGACAGTAGACCTTAAAAATCTGTCATAAATTGCTCAACTGAGGAAATCAAATGGCAAAGAGAGTGAACCAGTGTAAGAGCAAACAAATTGCACCATAAAAGAAAGTAGTGTCTTTAACTGAGCTTTTATTTTTACAAAGAATGTGAAAGCAACTTGGAGACTGTAAGTGGATGCTGTGAGACTGTTTAACTAAGAGCAGTTATTCACATTAAAGAGGCTGAACACATAAGGAAAAAAAAAAAAGAAAGAAAATCAGACCAAACAAAAACAAAGGAACAAAACCGCCTTAGAGTGTTTTCGTTTTTCAAATGATATGGTACTGCTGAGTAAAAATGACTAGGTCCATTTTTAAGTGTATTTTTTTCCTTAACATTTTAAAACCAGACTACATAAGATAAAAGCATATTTCAAGGTGAATACCGATCAAGTTAAGGATCTAAGCGTATAACAGATTTTTCTCTCATATTTCATAAGAGATTTTTCAAAATGCACATTAATTCTGATATTTTTATTCATTTATTCAGGAAATATTAATGAGGACTGTTGAAGTCAAAATAGAAATGTAAAGAGGAATCTCTAAATTTAACATTTAATTAAGAAATAAATAATTTGCAAATCAGGGCATATATTCAGACCGAGTGGTCTTCAGCATGTCTGAAGAACGAAGAGAAGGCTGGAGGTTTTACTAAAAAAAGAAATATTAATTATTGCTCTTTGAGAAAGTTCATTAGCATTGGTAAGGTTCTGGGAAGCTGGAACGTCTGACTGGTGACTGATGGTGGGTAAAGTAAATCTTAGATTTGTAGCAGGTTTGTTTGGCAACTATTAGATAAAACAGTTGTGAGGTTACAGCAGGCACTTTCAGCAGCCAGACTTGCAGTGAATTACATTTTGGGAGAGCAATGTTTTGTGTCCTGAGTGCTTTTTGCCCCTGCCCTCTTGACTCTGTTTTCACTGGGTATGACGAGAATGCCCCAATTCAAATAATCAGCTTTCACAGTACCTATTATGGTCCAGTTCTTTTCTCAAACACTTTGGAATTCAAGAATAAACTAAACAGAAGAAAATCTGACCCTGAAGAAGAAAGTAACAAATAAGTCATAAGTATAATGGATAGGTAAGTTATATTGCAGATTTGAAAGAAATATGTGATGAAAAATAAGAGAAGTAGAGCAGGAAAAAAGAAATTAAGATGGTAGGTGTGGTGGAAGGAGAGGAGGCAAATGCAGGCTCAACCAGAAGGTAAGAAGTCAACAAACATTTTGGAAGGTAGGAGTTGTCAATATGGACAACATGGACATCTGGGGGAAGAGTTCCATGTGGAGTGAGGTTACCCTAAATAATTGAACTTGCTGGAAAAAAACACAACTCTCAATTTTACTACATAGAAGCTCTTGTAAATGAGAGCAGATGAGCTGTTACTTGTGTTGTGTCCCCAAATGAAACAGCTCATTCTAACATGGGGTAGTGTGCATCAAAGACAAATCATGCCATCTCACAATAAGTATACCCACCAAGAACCTTTTGGAGACCTATATTTGGCACTAAAAATACCATTATGAAGAAGAACTTGTATGCCTAATTGCACCCATGCTTTGGTCAATCCTCAATTATATATACATTATAATCAACCACATACAAAAGTCTAATATGTGCATTTACCCTGTGATTCTGTTTTATTCATATTAATAGAAGCATGTTTCTACCACTGTGGTGTCATATTATTCAATTATTTTGAGTTTTAAATCCCAGGGACCGACTTTACCTGAGTATTGTAGCTCTAAAGTTGGAAAGAAAAAATAATGCTGATACCATAATCAGATAGACATAAACAAAAGTGGGAAGAAATCTGCTATTGTGATGAAGCCTATATCATTTAACACCTGAAACTTTGACCAAGCAGAATAAATGAATGAATAAATAATTAAATAAATTAATAAAATGATTCTGGAATTGTAAGCAAGGGAAGATGAAATGATCAGTAGCAAATAACCAAACATGAGCTGACATCATGAAGAAAATAGCAAATTCATGAATTATTCTAAAATCGAAGCATTTGTTAGTCTTAAGTGTGAATATCTCTCTATGAAATTCTTTAATCTGGCCTTACAGTATGATTTACAAAGCACAGTTTCTATTTCTAAGAGCCTCTTACAACTCAAAACTTGCCTTACAAATTTTCTTAGAAGTAATCTTGACAGCAAACACATATTGTTTGAACTTTGTTTTTCATATTTTGTACATTAATTGCCATTCACGTTTTAGTAGTAAATTCTACGTGGTCCCAGGTGTGTGACTGTGCATGCAAGTTATATCAGAACAGGCCTTCCCAGCTTTGTCTTATCGTTATAATATGCAAACTATTGGCATAATTCTACATCTCCCTAAAGATTTTTTGAGTCTTTTGGGATTGATGGTCTCTCTCCCTCTCTCTGGATGCTGCTTTAGGACACTTACTAAGTATACTACTGTGTCTTTCTCAGTGATTAATGATGACTAGATTAATTGGCTTTCTCTTTCATTGTAAGTTCCCCTTTAACATTTCTGATTTTAATTGTGAGAAATAACCCTGCGCATGCATGTATTAGAAGTCAGGGAAGATCCTCTCGATCCATCCCATCAATTTCCCAGGAGCAATTGGCATAATTTAAATCTTCATCTAACTATTCTCCTTCAATTGTAATTGGTGCCACCTATTTTTAAAGTAGCCTATTCTTGTAACATTAACGTTATTTTGATAATTTATTGCGACCCCATTGCCAAAAACAGGCACAAGGGCGCCATAAATAAAGCAGTCTGATAATTGCTTAAACAAAACTGGGCCCCATGGACCAGCAATAAACTGTCATTAAGGTTAGGCTGGAGAAGCACCTGCAATTTCTCTGGATAACCTCTTTTATTTCTCTGTGTACACTACTGCTCATTTCAGAAAATGACAGTTTTGAAAGATATCAGCAATTTGTTGAAACAAAGAATGAGAAAAACATGGTCTTGGAGGTATAATTTACTTTTACATTTTGAATTAAAAAATAGAAAAAGATATGTTGAAAAAAATTATCATATGAAAACCATAAGATTTCTACTGTAGAGCTAGAGCTATTTCACAGTTTAAAAGCTTGCTCCCTTTGTGGTAACTTTTATTTGTTATTTAAATTCAAGTTAATCTTCCCTGACTTGTAGTACTAAAAAATAGTACTCATGGTCTTTTATTGTTTTCATGCACAATTTAGATAATGTATTTTAGTGTTGCAGCTTGGCTCAGCAATTTTAAAGATTTAGGTTCTGAAAGTTGTTCATCAATAAAGTGGCCTATGTACCTCATTTGCAATGTGAAAGTGTTAGAAATATGAAAGAATTATATTTATTTTATAATACAAAATATAGAAAGATTAAAACTATATTTAAAACCAATTCAGAACACACAAGTAGGTATCACTTAAATGTCTTTTTCAATGTCGGTGACATTTTTAGTTGCTTTTCTTTCTTAAAATTTGCTCCCAAAGTGGCCATAATAATTGATATTTTATAAAGTTGGGGAAAAAAACAAAATGAATGTCTTCCTTTTATATTTATCAGAAGGTTATTTAAATGAATTCTTCTTGAATTTGATGGAAGCATTTTTTAAATTATGTTAATTTTAACACATCAGATGCATGTTTGAATACAAATAAGATCAAATAGGTCTTGAGTCATATCTGCAGGATCTTAATTTTAACATCATAGAGACAAAGATTTTAGTTAATCTTTTGTTTTGCTGTCAAATTTCCCTCTAATTTTGGACATGACACATTTTATCTTATTGAGTTTCAATTATATATGTATAATTATATATATAATTGAATATATATGTGTACATATATACGTAGATATATATATATATGTTGGACTCATGAATGTACATGAAGATACTAGCTTTGAATGAAACAATGTCAATTGCAAACTGCTGTTCATGCTTAATATAAATTCAATTATGAACCGAAATCCTTTAAGACAAAACAGGGAACCAGGTACTCTTATAACTTTTCTCCCAATAATTTGATTTTTTGGAAAAATTTAGTACCATATAATTTTCCCCCAAATATTACCTTTATTAAAAATAATAGTAATAATTCTGGAGAGTTATTTACACTGTGATTTATTAAATCAATCCCTATGATTTAATGTAGTGATGAAAGTGGTCTTTATATTTAAAATGTGCATGTTATATTGCCAGTTTTTACTGAGCACATACATTGTCGGCTAATACATACTCCTTTGTAGGTGAGTGTTTAGCGAAGAAAGCCATTGCTCCATTGGCAAATTAGCGTCATTAGTTGAAGGAGCCCAAGGGTTTAAATTGCAGGAGGTTTGCAGGAAGCATGTGCGCTGGCAGAGCTGTGTGGTAAGGCATCTGCAATAACCATCTACATTATGCTTCCATTTAGGTGGTGTCATCACTCTGTCACTTTCATCTATTCCATAATTTGCACAAAAAGAAAGCACACCACAACAACTCTTTAAATTCCAAAAATGTATGGTAAACTGTCAGTTTCTCTTGTATGAAGTTGTTTATCTCAGGATTTTACTTGGCGTGCAATTTCTCAATAGACGTATCCTTCCTTCTGAAATGCAAAGGAAATCCCATTGATCAATAGGGGTTGCAGTACGTATCAACATCACAACGGAGACAGCTTAATTCCTCAGATTAGCATTTGGCTCAGATCAGCAAATGTTTTCTGAGAAATTACTATTTATACATTTAAAAGTATCCAACTTCCCTATCTTCCTCCTATCAGCTCAAAATATAAGCCCGGGCCATGTGGCTGCATCTTAATCACGTTCGAGCTGGAGAGCCATCAGTTGAAAGCCTGTCTCAGTTCATAGATACGAGAGATTGTAATATTTTAACATTTCCTCCTGCCAAGTTGCTAAGCAATAAAACTATCTTGGCACTTTCCTGCCAGTTCATCATGAAGAACTACTTTAGTTTAGCTTAGTCTCTTGATGAAACAAATGGAAGGCAGCTGCACCAAACGGCCTTTCAGAAACGTGTTGCCAAACAAATCCCGGGAACTTTCACCCCTTTGCATAGCTAATTTAGATGGCTTGAAGCAGAGAAATCCCATGTTAGTATCAGCATAGAAAATCAAGTCTTAAATATGAGTGATTAAAAATTATACAAACAATAGCTCATCATAAATTTGCCGAGTGCTATTGTCCCATATTACCTTTCTCCAAGGTATACCTAAGTGTGATGATTTCTCAGCTAAAAAAAGGCACATTTTTCATACCATAAAGTCAACTTAAGTCAGACATACTAGACAAGCTACTGGCTAAATTTGAAATGTATTTCTACTTAATTTTTACTTAGCTTTTGAGAGTTTTGATTACATAAGTAATGCCAAAAGAATGCCACACAATAATTTCAAACAACAGAGAAATGTATACATTTAAAAGTGTATAAAGTAAAAAGAGAAGTAAGTTTCCTTTCGCATTCATCCAATCCTGTATATTTGTATGTGTTTTTTCACAACTGCCTCTGTGCATGTGTGTATGTGTATTTGTGGCTGCATATGTATAAACTAAGAATTTTAGTCTATAAACTTACAGCAAATATTGACACATTTATTTATTGCTGTTATTGTTTTTATTAAAATTGAATCATATCCTGAGCCCCCAACTTGCCATTACATGAACTAAGTTCTTCCCATCTCAGGAATCAGAAAATCCCAAGAATCTTTATCACAACAGAATGTTCTGGGAGAGTCCCCTTGGATTTAGGACACACAGGTCACCAAGGAAATGGCCCTGTGCAAACTCACACCATCATGTGAAGTGGACATCTGCATTCTAGTGCTACACAGACTACACCATCTGCTTCAGAGAGTTTGCAGGTGATCTTCTCTCAGTCTGTCCTCCTCACATTTCAGGTCCTTCACAGAGCCAACTCCTGTTCACTGTTATCCTCAGCCTGAAATCACAAAGCTTCCTTATGTAGGCCTTCTTTATCAACTCAGATTAAATTAAAACCTTTCCTCCCAGTGGACAACAAGGCACTTTTTAATGTATCCATTATCATACTTCTCAAATTTATTTTTGCCAACTCTCTGCTTCCTTACTAAACTATGGTATCCATAAGCGTAGCTTACAGTGCTCAACATTTATTCATTAATTGGACAGATACTCACTGAGCTTCTACTATGGTGAATTGATGTGCTGGATGCTGAGAATAAAACTTCTATTTGAATGGCATGATTCTCTCTCACTGTCCCTACCTTTGAGACAGATGTGAATAAAAAAGCCACACATTATTACTTAATTAGAATGATAAGTGTTATACTATCTATGTGAGTAGTTGGAGCAAGTTAGTCTAGTGAGAGAGGTGAGTGTTTCAGGAAATTCTCTGGAAAAATTTGTATGTAAGTTGAGACCTGAGAAGTAAACACAACTTCATTAGGAGAGAAGAGCATCCTTAGTTCTTTAGTGAGACTGGAAGGTGTGTGGAGTAGAAGCCTTAGAGAGGAGGAGGTGGTGGACACACATTCTGAAAGAAGAAGTATTCTAAAGCCAGGCTGGCCAGCAAGGATTTTATATTACCGAATCTTTTGGGTTTTTTTCCATGAGAATACTGTGAAGCCATAAGCAAGGCAGCAATATGAGTAGATCTGCAATTAGAACATGATGGTGGACTTGGCCAAGATGGTGAAAACAAACAGAATAGAATTGAAAAATATTTTGGAGTTAAAAATAGGAGAATTTATCGATTCACTGATTGTGGGTCTGAGGCAAAGAAGATAAAAGTTAAAAAATATAAGAGGAAAAGCAATAGTTAACACTCATAATGCACTTGCTAGGTACTAATCATTAAGTTTCTCACATGTATTAGTAGATTTAATTTGCACAATAACCATAAGAAGTAGGTGCTATTATTACTCAAACATCATCGATGAGGAAAGTAAATCAAAGGGTTAATAAATAACTTGCCCAAAGTTGTACGGCCATAGGGTGGTTTGGTTCCAGAATCTATTACTTACACATTACTCCTGGGCTTTTGGAATGAGAAACTGAGGATGGTGTTGCTATAAACTGGAACAGGGAACATTGGAGAAGCAGTGAATCTGGGTTAAGGCACAAGATGATCTTTGAACAGGTTGAATTTAAGGTGCCTCTGAGATAGGCAGCTAGAGATGACAGGTCTGGCATTCTAAAGTTGAATATAAACAGAAGATATCATTTTGGGACTTATCAAAGTAGAAATGATAATGAAAGCCATGAGATGCATGAAAGCATTCAGGATTACAGTATAGAGTAAAAAAAGAAAGCCTATATGAAGTAGAGGAAGGGGTATTGGCCTCATTGTCTAGGGAGGAACTGCTAGGGTAGTAGAACAATGGGATTATGCTGTCACAAAAAACAAAGAAAAAACATAATTTCTTAAATCATGGTCTGTCACTGAATCTGGTTATAAAACCTTATCTTGCACTAGAAGGATCTGTAGCTTTTCCAGCTGAGAATGGGGTTCAGGATACCGAATCAACACTAGAAAAGAGAGAAACTGGGGATGAAGAAAACTCAGCTAAATTTCCTATAGGAAGGAGAGATTTTGACAGTGAGTAGTTTTTCAAAATTCAGTTCTTACATCCTACCATTAAACATAACTCTGAGTTTAAGCAAATTTGGATGCAATCATAACAAAATCAAATAGGACCATGGCTCAATTACACCTGCCAAAAATGTGGGATTAAGAAGTGTTTAATTAGTTCTTATCATTTTGGTTTACTCAGAATTAGTTATACTAGATCCATTATTCTTTTTTCTTAATAAATTTTGTGTGATAATTATAGTCCTTTAAACAATTTAAACTTTCTTCTTCCTTCAGCACTCAGATGTATGCTGGGAAGAGTCTACCAACGTTGCTGGCAAGTCTGATTCTTTTTTTGATATGGACCTGTTGGTCCATATCATCTTTTCAGAAGAAAAGCATTTAATTGCCAATGGGAGGAGAAGCCCATAATGTTACTGTAACTTGGGTATTATGTTAACTGTCTGTTTTAAAAGAAAGTAGCGTTAAGATAGATCAGTAACCAAAATCATAGGCTTTTTCTGTGCATTGAACTTTGTGAAAATGCTGTATAATTTTGACTTACTAGTATTTTTGAACAATGCTTAACATACTAACCTTACATACACTCTAGACCAAAATAAGGCATCATAATTTACACCTTAATCTCAAAAATTAAGCATGTCTTTGGTGAATGGTTTTATATATACATAAACCTAAAACATATAAGACAAAAATTTATGTTTGGAGCCTGTGTTCTGTAAAGAGAAGGTTGATTTGTCTTTTAGCTATCGTATTTGGAGTGGAACTATAATACAAATGTATAATATTCTTTTTTTTTTTTTTTTGAGATGGAGTCTCACTCTGTTGCCCAGGCTGGAGTGCAATGGCACGATCTCGGCTCACTGAAACCTCTGCCTCCCGGGTTCAAGCAATTCCCTGCCTCAGCCTCATGAATAGCTGGGATTACAGGTGCCCACCACCATGCCTGGCTGGTTTTTGTATTTTTAGTAGAGGCAAGGTTTCACCATCTTGGTCAAGTTGGTCTGGAACTCCTGACCCTGTGATCCACCTGCCTTGGCTTCCCAAAGTGCTGGGATTACAGGCGTGCACCACTGAGTCCAGCCTATATTCTTGTTTATCAGTTCAAAAATGCTCTGCACTGTTTTTGACTCTTTAAAAATAACTTAGATTCAAATTTATAGTAGAAGAAAAAAAATCTTTCAGATAAGAGGTGTTCTCCAGAATGGAAGAACGACTTGGCATGTAAGAAATAGCGTCAGTGTCCTAATGCATATTGTGACTGTTTGCATATACTTCTGTTTGTAAAAATATCGGTTTTATTTTCAGAGGATTTGTAAGAAACATTTAAATTTTCATTGAAATAAATGACAAGTCATACTGTCACTTAAAAAAAAAAAAAAGACCTTTGTCAAGGAGAGTGCAGTCAACCAGTAAACTGCAGATTCTCAGAATGTTTATTGACGTACTGATTATTCATTCTGTTATACTCTAACATCTGTATATTTTTACCAGTATTCTCAGACCACTTCTACCAAAACATAAATCTGTGATTGTGATCTCTGAAAGTCAGTCCTTTTATCTACTCAAGTAAGTGCAAATTTTAGAAAATAATTTTCCCTAGAAATATAAGTTGTTCTTTTCTTAATTTATCCACTAACTGTTTAGAAATATAATTAGCTTCTAAGATTTGAAAAACGGTAAATTTTAAAAGTCATATCTATTGGTTAAAGTTTAAAATACTTCCAGGAAATAAGCAGAATTGAGTTAATGTTAATTTTATCCAACTAATACTTGAAAAGGATCATTGATTTATATTACTGCCAGCTTAAACCATTTTAATTAATGTACTACTAATCATAACAGTGTTAGTTACAATTTTGTCTTCAAGTACAATAAAGACACATAGATTTGAACTCTTTTGATTATTTTTGGCCTCTTGGTCAATGCCTCATAGTCAAAATTTTAATTAAGATTTTGCACTAAAAGTAAAAAGAAAATTGGGATAAAAATGTGCAGTGTGTTTTATTCATTATGTGGAGGCATCTTTCCTATATCCAAGTTTAACTAATACTGGTCCTCTACCTGCTTAGATTAACTGGTAAGAATTTTATAAGCATTTCTTACTATCTGTTATAAACCAAAAATGGCAATCTTTCCACATTTTGACGTAATAATTTTGAGCTTATTACAAATTAAAATAAAAAATTAAAAACAAATATTACCTTATAAAAATTCAAACGGTATGTATTGAATATTAATTTAAATTACTGTTATTAATATTACATGAAATACGCATGTTGTAAAATTTTAAATTACTATCTGGTTAAATAAACTATACATATTCTGTAGAGTCAAATCAGATTTTGGCAATGTTGTAGAATTTAACTGAATGCCCAGATGGAGGAACTTGATTATATTATATAAAGGGGACTACAATCCTAGAGTTGGACTCAAGCACAAGCATTTCTCATTATTTTGCAGAAGAAGACACTAAGGTTTTCAGAAATTAAATTGCTTTTTGGAAAAGGTGGGAGATTCTGGGAACATAGAAACTTGAATCCAGTTTTCTTCAACTCCACGTCAAGACAGTTGCATTGTGTGAGAAAATAGCTACGGCCATTTGTGGTAAAATCACATATATGCAATTATGTGAAACTAATTGTGTATATGTATCTGTGTATGTGTGCGTGTACAATATATAAACTATCAATATTTATCAAAGTCCGTATAGCTGCTAGCAATGAGGGGGATCTAGGATTCTATCACATGATACCTTTTTATGAGGCCTTTGTTCTTTCCAGTACATTTGTCAGCTCGTTCATGAAAGAGATTCTTAATTATTTACTGAAATATCACAAAAGTGATGGTGAGCTAGGTTGCCACATTGATCCTGATAGGTCCTTGACAAATTCATATTGACTCTCCACAAATAAAACTATAAGGCAGTTTTTCCCATTGTGATGCTTTTGTCTACAATCTTAATTGTTAACTCTTCCAAAGAATAAACACACAATATATCAATTTTTTAACCCATTTAGGTAGAAATATGGGTATATAGAAAGGAAGAAAGCAAGGTTAACGGTGAGCAGTGGCTAAATGAACAAGAGAACATTCAGTTAAGTATTTCATCTCCAAAATGGTATAAACTGTGGCAGAAAGTACTTTGTTGAATCAATAGTTTCGAGACAGACATACAGTAGGGACATCGAAGGTACAAAATAGAGCACTGATGAAGGAGTGAATTATCATCTTCACAGATGAGTAGAGAAAGAGAAGGTCTAAATATTGAGATGAGAATATAGAAATTTCTGATGCACAACACAGCTCAGAAATTCAATCTGAATATATTCCAATTCAGTGCCTTGCAATAGATCCATAATGATCGCCTATCTTTCCAGCATACAAAGCAACGCATATCATTTAAACATTTTTCTAGCATGAAAATGTGCCTGGGTTATGCAATACACACTTTACCAAAATATGATTTTGGTGGCTGTAAGCACTTGATTGTAATGACCTGTAAAATGAGCAACATTTTTAACTCCGAAATTCTAATCAATATTAGTTAATGAGGTGTGTGACAACTTATAATGCTTTTAAATACTCTTAGTGGCCATCATAATACAAATTTTCCCACTTACAGCATATTTAATTTTAATCCTTGCAATAATATAAATGAAATACATCTAAAACACTTTATAGTAAGCACTCAAGTAAAAGTCCCCATAACATGGCCTTAAAAAAGGTTAATCTTTTAACAATGGGGTCATGAAAACATTTTTGTTATAGATATTTTTATGTTCCTCCTTGTATCAATCAGGATTAAATTTTCAAATATTCATACCATTTAACAACAGACTGAATAAATAACAAAGTTGTTAACACAAAATGAATAAATGTTTTGTATACGTTAAAAATAGAAGATAGAAAAAATAACTTGGTAATGTGTTTAAAATATTTTATGGCCTCTACCCCATTATGTTATTCCATTTTCTCATAACTGTAGACCTTTAGCTACCAAACAGAGGGAAGGGGCATTGTACACTAGTTACCTAGAAAACAAATCATTTATAGGTCTTATTTTTGGAAAAGGAGATATCTTTTAATTCAACTAAAATGTAAAACATTGGAAGTGTCCCCCTATCAAGGCTTAGTTTTACTATTGCTTAATATAGATGAAGAAAAAATAAATCATATACTAAACTCGGGAAGCTTGGGTTTTCTCTTAAAGTAAGCCATGCTGTGATTGTTCCATCTAAACAGTTATATCAACTTTACTTTGTATCATATGAAAACAACAGCCTGCTGAATGACTATGTATTGTCTATTTCCACCTGCTAAACAAGATAAGACCACATGAAATAGGATCAGCTTAGCCATTACCTTCAGGAAGCTTCAGACATATTGTTTATTGCAAATGGACATATATTATAAATGTATATACAGACACATCTTTGTGATATTACTTCCTGAAGTATGTTCTTATGGAAATTTAACTTTGTTCATCCAGTCAGATTTCCAGAAATGTATCTACTGTGACAATTAATATCTTATTCTCCAACTCTTTGTTTTTCTCATTCTGTACTTACTTTGCTTTCATCAAAGACATTTTAGCAAAATTAATTTCCAGGACCATTTTCTTAGTGAACTAATGCCATTTGATCACCAATGGCCATTTTCGTTTTTATCTCGAGGATCACATTGGGCATTTGTCTCTGACTTTTCACTCAGTTTATAATGCATTCTTGTTCCCTTTGGAGGATGTTTGTTCTTTTTTTCTCTGCCCGCTCCCAACATTAAAATCCAAGGTAAACTCTTAATTAAGTGGAGTTGACAGAAGTCACATTTTCTCTATAAAGAACAATTGGAATCCACTGGATTTGCCCTATCAAGAAAAAAGAAAATCATATCTCCAAGAGTAGGTATTGGTAATTAATTAATCCCTAATCTTTTTGAAAAGTATCTGTATCAGTCCATTTTCATGCTGCTGATTAAGTCATACCTGAGACTGGGTAATTTATCTTAAAAAAAAAAAAAAAAAAAGAGGTTTAATGGACTCATAGTTCCATGTGGTTGGGGAGGCCTCACAATCATGGCAGAAGGCAAAAGGCACATCTTACATGGTGGCAGGCAAAGGCAATGAGAGTCAAGAGAAAGGGGAAATCTCTTATAAAATCATCAGATCTCCTGAGACTTATTCACTACCACAAGAACAGTATGGGGAAAACTGTCCCCCATAATTCAATTATCTCCCACCAGTTCCCTCCCACAAGATGTGGAATTATGGGAGCTACAATTCGAGATAAGATTTGGGTGGGGACACAGCCAAGCTGTATCATTATCAGATATTGTATTCATCTGGTAGTGGTCAGTAAATCTGTGCACAATCTCAGAGTTGGCTGATTTTTGCTTTTCCATCCTTGCTATCTCACACCAGTGGTTTCCATCCTAAAGTACACAAACCATGTTATTTTTCTGCTCTTTGATTTCCTAAGCAGTATACCAGCTACTTTAGGACTGTGTTCCTGTACAGTGCCCCTTTTCTTCACGACCACCTACAAATCTATTAAGTACTTAAAGACTTTTTTCCTGTGATGGGGATTTTGATGCTTGTTTGTTCTTTCTATGCCAATTTCATACACCTCTGAGTCTCATCCATATGTCCCAACTGCTCCCTCTAAAACTAAAAGCTACTATTTATTAAGTATTTGTTGCATTTCCAAAATCACTCTAAGTACTTTGTCTACATTGTCTCATGTAATCTTCACAGTTTTCTGAGTTGTGCATTATATGTTGCTACTGTCCACATTCCTTCACTAAAGTTATGGATTTTAGTTTATTTTAATTAAATGGCCAATGAAGATTTTGAGAAGTAACTAGTATCACATAGCAGAGGTGGGAATGCATTTGAAGAGATCTATATTAATTTTCTAAGGCTGCCATAGCAAATTTGCACAAACTTGGCATCTTAAAATAACAGAAATTGATTTTTTTTACAGTTCAGAAGGCCAGAAATCTGTTTTCTCACAGTTTGGGCCAGAAGTCAGAAAGCAGCAGAGTTGGTTCCTTCTGGAGCCTCTCAGGAAAAACCTGTCTTATTCCTCTTTCCTAGCTTCTGGTGGTTCTTGTCACTCCTTGGCATTCCTTGATTTCTTGATTAGTTGTATCAATCCAATCTCCAACTCTGTCATTGAATGGCCTTCTTTCTTGTATAACTCCCCTGCATCTTTGTATTCAAATATTCCTCTCCTTTCTCTTTTAAAGATACTAACCACTGGCTGGGCATGGTGGCTCACGCCTGTAATCCCAGCACTTTGGGAGGCCGAGGCATGCGGAACATGAGGTCAGGAGTTTAAGACCAAACTGGCCAACATGGTGAAACCCCGTCTCACTAAAAATACAAAAATTAGCTGAGCGTGGTGGTGCACACCTACAATCCCAGCTACTGGGGAGGCTGAGGCAGGAGAATGGCTTGAACCCAGGAGGCAGAGGTTGCAGTGAGCCAAGATCTTGTCACTGCACTCCAGCCTGGGTGACAAGCAAGACTCCGTCTCAAAAAATAAATAAACAAAAGATACTAATCATTGAATTTAGCTCCCACCTTAACTAAGTAGGACTTCATTTTAACTTGATTACATCTCAAAAGACCCTATTTCTAAAAAGGGTCACATTCATAAGTACCAAGGATTAGAATGTGAACATATATTCTTGAGGGACACAAGTCTACCCACTAAAATGTGTAATTCCAAATTGCATGCTCAATTTTACAGTATACAGCACTAAACTACATCCTACTGCTTTACTGGGTGACTCTCTTTTAAAGGCCTGCCATGGTCTTTACCGTAATTCTTCAATTTATTTTGCTTGAGTTGTCCTATATGTTTTTCTAGACCCAATCTCAAGCCATCCTTAGCAAGAATCTTAAGAAAATCTCCCAAATTGTATAAGTACTCAGTCAATGCAGAATAAGCAATGCTTTCCCTGATTAGTTCTATTCTGTTTCTTCTGCTTCTGAACCTCTAGAAAGATCTCACCTGAGTTTCAGTAGAGTCTCTATACATCCTACATGAATGATCTAATCTCCAACCTCAACAGACTTCAAGTCAGTAATAAGTAAACAGAAAAACTTTGACTCATGTTTAAAATATTTCACTTGCCTTGGCCTCCCAAAGTGTTGGGATTACAGGCGTGAGCCACCACGTCCGGGTGGATCACAAGGTCAGGAGTTCAAGACCAGCCTGGCCAAGATGGTGAAACCCTGTCTCCACTAAAAATACAAAAATTAGCCAGGCATGGTGGCAGGTGCCTGTAATCCCAGATTCTCGGGAGGCTGAGGCAGAGAATTACTTGAACCTGGAAGGCAGAGGTTGCAATGAGCCAAGATCATATGACTGCACTCCAGCCTGGGTGACAGAGCAAGTTTCAAAAAATAATAATAAATAATAAAATAAAATATTTCACTCATAAATTAATTGATTCAATAAATGTTTCATTCAAGTACGTACACATTAGTACATGGTTTCAATGATCCTTGATTTAAAACCTTGGAAATAGCTTTAATTCTATATTACATTTACATCGACATCCACTCAGGTATGAATATTCTGTAGAAAAGTTTTGGTTTTTCCCTTTCCATTCTTTTGTGAAATGTTTGTCTTCCTTGTCTGCTAACACTTTTTAATATGACAATTATCATTAATTATTCACAAAGTGAGTTAATATTTGCTACATATTTAATGTCTAATTTGTTTCACTATTTTAAACGTACTGTACCTGGCTTCTGAAAAGAATGCAAAGCCCTCAGAATCAAGTGCATAATATAATATCCTTATGGTTTTGCAGCCTACTATTCGTTCGGTACTCAATAACTAGCAATGAACAGCAAATGTAATTATATATATGTATATATATAGAGAGAACATTTATGTATATATAGAACATATATATGTATATATATAGAACACACACACACACACATATATATATATATATATGAAACATAAGAATTTATGTATAGCTAAGCTGAACATTTGGCTATCAGATAAAACTGTAGCTTTACAAATACTTAAGAACAGAAAAACTGAGATTGCTCCTAGATCTGGGGTGGCCAAAAGAAATGGAATCAGATGTTTTTGTTAATAGGTAATGCCCCAAATCTTATCAGTCATAAGCACTGGGCCAGACAGACCTGTGCTTAGATATTCTAATATGGTATACCTTTACTAGTACCTTGGTTAGAAAAAAAGATATCCCCTCTAGGTGGACAAATCAGAAAAACAGACCAGCTGTTAACAGGTCAAGCTTAAGAGCACATGGCTTGGTGATGGTGGCAGAGAAGGAATTTTAGACTCTCCGGCTCCCTCCACAAGGCACTATTGTGCAGCACACACATTGCACAACCTCACGGAGTAGTCTTGGCCTTAGCTGAGGGGATGAAAAGAACTGTTTAGTTAAGAAGTGAGATTTAGCAGCTTACATAAATCCTTAAGGTGTTTTACGCACTTTTTGTACATCAGTGCCTTACATTAATTAATCCATTTAATTCTACCTGCCATGAGTCTACCACACCCATTTTACTCATGTGGAAACCAAGGCACAGGGAGGTTAAATGGCTTGTCCAAGGTCACACAGCCTTTGAGTGGTAGATTCCGGATTCAAATACATGCAGCCTGATACTGAAACTTTGTTCGTGAACACTTTACTGCCTTTAAACTGATGAAATTAGAATAAATGGAAATTCCTGGGACTAACTATTAAAAAAGTGTAATAAGCTGTAAGAAGGAGGCATTATTAAGTAAAGGAACTCACTTTGGGAAATACCAGCTTAGAACTTAATAGGCTTATGATAGTATTTATAAACAATCAAAGGATCAAGTTGATAAGCCATTCTGTGACTTGTTGATAAATATCTTATCAGTTTTTGTACCCGGCTGAAATCCTTCCTCAAGAGATTAAATCACCAAAGGGGTTAACTCTTTGTTTTGTGTGCAATTTTTCCACTGCCAATAATTTTGTTCTCTGAGCAGTGAAACAAGTAATTCCCAAATTAAGAGCATGTTAGGACTATAGGTCCTCATTTTCCTAACTGCAAAGAAAATTATTTTAAAAGTAATTTTCCCCTCAGAAGCAATTCCAAGACTGAAGATTAAATATACAGAGAAGCAATGATTCAGGCTTTTAAAAAAATCGCTTTTTAAAGGAGTATAAGTGAAAACAGTTAAGTAAATATATTTAATTACCAAGATTTTATTGTATCTTTTACTCACATAAAAAGACTAAAATAAAACGTTTCTGGTTTTCACAGTAACTGATCTGATAATGTCAACTTTTGAAAACAGATAGTTATGACTCAAGGCTTTGAGAATGTAAAGAGACGCCCTTCACATGTTGAGAAATGGTACGATTTCACGTTATCAGTGCAGTTCGGTTCTCAGGGGGAAAGGTAAGCCCATAGCTAACTCCAGCTCCAAGCTGCTATTTCATGATAACAGCTCACGGAGCTGTGGGCCTGCTAAGCCTTTCCCACCTCGTTCTGGAATTCCTCTATAGCCCATCCGTACTACCAGGAGACTGGATCCGCAAAGTAGACACTTGGTCTCATGAAGCCACTGCTGGGCTCCAGAGAGAAGGAAAAACTAAGCGGTTTTAAAACCCCCACCCTCCTTGGTTTACCTCCATCATTAAAAAACAACAATGACAACGACAACAAAAAACAAAACTAAAACGACTTATTGTTTATTAATTATGTTGTGGCAGACAATATGCTGAACATTAGGCATAATTAAATTCTTTTTAAAAATTGATAATTTATCTCTGTTTTATAGAAGTGTGAAACTGTCAGGAAGACAGATGAAATGATTTGCCTGAGGCCGTATCATCAAACAAGAAATTCATATTCACCTTTCTGGAATTCTTAGGATAATGATTACATGTGTTCAATTGTTAAAAATTGGCAGATAAAATTTTATGTATTTACCACGTACAACATGAAATTTTGAAACATGTATACATTCTGGAATGACTAAATCCAGCTAATTAACATAGGTATTGTCTCACATATTTACTTTTGTGGTGAGAACAGTTAATATCCACTCTCAACATTTTCCAAGAATACAATATATTACTAACTATAGTCACCATGTTGTAAAACGGATCTCTTCAAGTATTCCTCCTATATAATTGAAATTTTGTATCCTTGGACCAACGTCTCCTCACCCTACTCACTCCTCAAATATCCCTACCCTTGGAAACCACTGTTCTCCTCTCTCTACTTCTAGGATATCAGCTTTCAAGAGTGAGATCTTGTGGCATTTGTCTCTCTGTTCCTAGCTTATTTCACTTAACATAACGTCCTCTAGGTTCATCCATGTGCAACCCCCTAGGTTCATGTCCTTTTTTAAGGTTTAATAGTTTTCTGTTGTGTACATATGCCACAATTTATTTACCCATCCACTTCTTGATGGATGCTTCAATTGTTTCTGTACTTGAGCTATTGAGGACGATGCTCCAGTGAACATTGGAGCACCGATATTTTTACAGGGTGGTGATTTATTTTTCTCTGGATATATATACCCAGAAGAGAAAGTGCTGGGTCATACGATAGTTCTTTTCTTTTCGTTTTTTTCTTTTCTTTTCTTTTTTTTTTTTTCAGAAACCTCCATACTGTTTTCCACAGTGGCTGCACCAATCTATATTCCCAAATTAAACTTCAATGTGCAGATGAATTACCTAAAATTCTTTATAAATTGCAAATGCTGGTTTAGAAGGTGTGCTGATTTTGATGCATTTTTAAGACCCCCCTCCCATCCCGTGTGATGTTCCTACTCCACTCACTGATTTCCCATGTATTATCTAGGGTCTTAACCACATTGCTTGTTTTTCTATTAGAGTTTGGAACTGGGTCACCCATGCTCTGAGGCTCTATGAAACCCTGAAGGGAGAGGTAAACATATAAGCTCTGCAATCCAACTGCTTGGTTTTGTATTTTGGATTTGAAACTTAGTAACCATTTTCACCCAGAGGAAATTCCTTAAGCTCTGTAAGCCTCAGTTTCTTTATCTGTAAAGTGGGAGTTACAGTAGTATTATCTCTCACTGTATTTTTAAAGACCAAATGAGAAACTTGATGTAAATAGGAACCTAATGCCTGGTACATAGTGAAAGTTCAATATATACATTCATGAGTATTTTTAAGTAAAACATGTTCATTGCAACATTATTCACAGGGGCCAAGATATGAAATCAACCTAAATGTCTGCCAACAGATGACTGGATAAAGAAAAGATTATATATATATACATATATGTGTGTGTGTGTATATATATATATATACACACACACACACCCACACACAAACATATATATGTATATATCTGTGTATATGTGTATATATACACACATACATGCACAGATATATATGTATATATGTATATATGTATTACAGGCGTGAGCCATCTCGTCTGGCCAATTATCATTATTATTTTAGAAATTTATCAGTGATGCTTTTCTGTTCAGCTTTAATGAGGTGTAATGACAAAAAAATTGAATATATTTATGTATGCTGTACACTGTGATGTTTTGATATATGTATATATTATGAAATGATTACCACAATCAAGCTAGTTAACATATACATCACCTCTCGTAATTATCTCTTTGTGTAGTGAGAACATTTAAGACCTACTCTCTAAGCTGATTTCAATTATACAATATAGTATTACTAACTATAGTCACCATGCTCTACGTTAGGTCCCCAGAAATTACTTTTTCTGCATAATTGAAAATTTCTATCCCTTGACCAACATCTCTCCATTTCCCCAACCCCAGTTTACACACACACACACACATACATATACATATATAGTGTATATATACACATATACATATATACATATGTGTATATATATATGTGTACATATATATGTGTATATATACACTATATATGTATATGTGTAAAATTAGATGGGTGTGGTGGTGCCTGCCTGCAATCCCAGCTACTCAGGAGGCTGAGGCAGGAGAATCACTTGAACCCGGGAGGCAGAGGTTGCAGTGTGCCGAGATCATGCCACTGCGCTCCAGCCTGGGCGACAGAGCAAGACTCCATCTCAAAAATAATAATAATAATATCAAAAATAAAATAAAAATTGCTTAGAAATTTCAAAATACAATACCTTCCACTGAACTTCCTTAATCCACATAGCACTGTATTTTTCTGTCTATTGCATTGCCACAAATTTAGCCACTTAACACAGATTTATTATTGCACAATTTCTGTTGGTCGGGAGCCTGCCACATTTTGGCCAAGTCCTCTTCTCAGGGTCTCATAAGGCTGTCAGGGTGCTGGCCAACTGCATCGTCATCTGGAGGCCTGACTACAAAAAGATCGGCTCAAAGGCCCCTCAGAGTGTTGGCAGCATTTGTTTCCTTGTGGTTGTAAGATTGAGGTCCCTCTTGCCTCACTATCTGTCAGCTGGGAGTGACCTCACCTCCTCCAGGCTGCTATCAGGTTATGCCACAGGCCCCTTCCGTTTCTGTAATAAAGAACTGCCCTCATATTGAATCCATATCACACCTCAGATTTATCTGATTTCCCTTCTGCTTTCAACTAGACAAACTCTCTGCTTATAGAAAGGCTCATGTGATTAAATTGTGCTCTATTTTAAGGTCAAGTGTGCTATGTAACATGACCAAATAATGAGAGTAAAATCTATTATAGTGACATGCCCTGGAATTATGTAGAAGCGAAACTATTGCTGGAGGGGTAATCTTTGGGGCCAACTTAGACTATTGATTATTCCATGTTCAAGGAGAGCTGGCATATAATTGGAGAGCTAAGAACCGTCAATATCTCAACATCTAAAAAAATAAAAATTGTAATTGTATTTAAAATGTTAGGAAACATAGTTAGAAATTTAGGGTTTTAAGCAGATATAAAGATCTTTTAATCATGCTACCACCTAATTACAATATTAGATAAAGAAGAACAATTAAGCCTAGTCTATATGTTAGAGAAATATAGTAATTTTTTCTGGAATGATTTATTATGTGCAGACTTTGGGTTATTGGAATAGATCATTGACCATATATGTTTTAAAGTACTTAAAAATATTTTATAAATAAAGTTATTTTTATACAGAACAGAAATAGTTGATATTGAATCAGAAATACTGTATTAGCATAAGTCATATGTTTAAGGAAATATATTCCTAAACAATAGGAAGAAACACAGGCAACACTGATGTAAAAAAGATTTACAGACATGAGCTGCATGCACTTGGTTTATGGACTAGAATTCTATGCCTTCTAGAAGCAGAAAATATGCAACGACTCATTCTGCCTTATGGCCATTTCAGAGCTTTTAATCTAATAAAACCTATATGTCAGCCAGTAGCATGTCAGGGTCTTATTACTCTGCTTCCTTAGAGTCTGATATGGGAGGTTAAGTCCCTGCACATATGTACCCCTTGGGGTTCCCTGAGGTGGAGCCGTGCAGGTTTGCTTCTTTGCTTACTGATATATATAAAAAAGATAACATTAAATATTCTATTCCTGTTTCACTTATGCGTTCACTAAGAATGATGAAAGTGGGAACTGTGTGGCATGGCCTAGGAATTGTGCATGAGCACACTCTATTTTACATGTCTCATCAGAAGTCAGTTTCTAACCTTCTTCTGTCTGTAGACAAGCATATCACCTAAGCTTTCTCAGAGATTAAAGGTATACCACCTAGCTTAAATGGCCCTACTAATGAAAGAGAGGTACACTTAAATTGCATCTTAATGAGAAAAAATATGAAAAGGAGAATTAATAGAGATTTCTCAAATAAAATCTAATGAGCATAATTTTTATTATTGAACAATGTTTGCCTATAAAGTCTTACTCAACTTGATGAAAAAATGCTAAGATACATGTTAAGGAGTCCTCATTTTAATACTTTATAAAATTGTATATACATATACTTAAGAAAGAAAAATAATGGCATATTTGCTGTCTTTAAATCATTGAGAAAAAAATAAAAGACTACATGTGTCATTTAATTTAGCTAAAGAAGGAAGGTGACTGAAAAATACAGTTTTTACATAAGATACTAAGTAGCTGGCTGGGTTTTGCTAATGTTCCCAAATTTGAAATCATTTTAAAAAGAACACTCCAATGAGCACCAGAGAACTGAGATGTTTTAAAATAAAATTATAACTGCACTTAATCTCACATTGTCTCCTTAGCCTTTTGACATTTTAATTGCTGTGCCATTTTTCACTGAGATGGCAAGCATTTTTTACATATGCATAATGTAGCCTGTGTTAATGCATATTGATTAAAGTAGACAGTGATGCGAGGATGTTGGAATTTTACCCACTGTGACCCTATTGAATGTTTCTCTCTGCTCTTTTTGTTTTCTTTATAACCAGAGGGGGAAGAAAAGCATGTATTTTCCAACAAGTCTCTATGCTATCTGAACTCTAGTATTAACAGGTGAAAAGTGACATGTTTAACAAAAGAAAGACTAGAAAGCATCTACATCACAAACTTGTAAGTCTTTCATTTCTGCATTGGAGACACTATAGGAAAATCAATAACTTCCTTTGAGTCTAGTGATCTAGCTGCTTACAAGAAATTTACATCTCCCTGACAGGCAGTTTGTAAGGTCTGGTTCACCTGGGTCACAGGAGTACACATAATTTGCATCTTGAGCAATTTCTCTCTTTCCTTCTACCTGTTCCATGAGGAAAGAAGATTGAACCTGGTCATAAAGAGAATCTCATTACGTCTCAGCTGAGAAGAGTAATTTTGTAGGTGTTCTTGGATTGCAAGAGTATCATATAATGATAATATTTTCTCATAGCTCTTCAGACCTATGCACACACCAGGAAATGAAAGTAACATACACCCAGGCACATTTGAAGCTTCTGAGCTGTCATTCACCAAATGAAATTTAAGTGTTCCATCAAAGTCATTTGCAAATATGACCTCAAGATGGATATCCAGATTCTTTGCTAACAAAAATATACAAGAAGATAGACATTTAGCTTACCTCTCATAAAATCTGAAAAAAAAATTCCCCTTCTATTTTATTTTGCCCTTCAAAATACACAAGATCTGAATGTCAAATAAATGTTTATATTATGATATGCTAATAATGCCTGGCATATATTTTCCTAGTTAGTTCTGTAAGCTCAGTTAAAAACAAATAAAAACCAAGGAGGCAATGCTGAAAACTTTTTGAATCAAAAATAGAATGCAATAGCATTTAATTATAATTAAGTCTTTAATATGCTTATTTAAATCTCACATACTTTTAAGCATGGGTCTATTTGCAAATTCATCTAAATAAATATTTGGCACGAAGTCTAAATCCACTTTATTCCAATGTTTTTTTTTCCGGGATAAAGATTATAATGAGATTCAAATGTAATAATTTTCATCCTGTATTCATGAAAATAATTGTCTAGGTGTAAATGAACGTATTATTACAATTCACTATGTGTACTCATACCTAGTCGTGAGGTCCTCATATATAAAATAGAGGGAGAGTACAACTTTAAAGTGTTTTATATATCCATTTCATATTTTTTCTCTTTGCAATTTGGGATGAATCTCCTTAGACAAATGGTTATGTTATTAACGCACCAACATTAACCTAGAAAAGGCTACTTAGTACTACTTAACTTGAATACTAATCACCCTGGCCTCAGTAGCCCACCATATCTTGCAAAGTATTCTGAAATAGTATTGGTGATAAACACCATTTGGAAAGGAAAAATGGCTGTATCTGTGTTTTTACATGCACACTCCCCTCATTATTTTTGCATATGATAAAATAGATAATATTTACTGAGCACTTATCACAAGTCAGTTGTCTTGTTAAGTGATGCAGAAGCATTTTCTATTAGTCCCCAGAAAACCACTGGGAGGTTGGTACAACACAGCTCCATTTTATCGAAGGATCCATTCATGAAGACCTTGTACTCACAAAATGAAAGATTAATTTCCCGCAGGAGCAAATAAAAAGCTGAATGGGGGTGTTCTTTAGAAATATCACGGTGGTAATTCAGCTTGATTTAGAATGAATTTCTAAACCTATCTCTGCTGCACTGTATTTGGTGGCTTGCTTCCCAATATTAGCCGTGTACACCTTACTTTTATATCATTATGACAGAATACACTTTTTCTTTGCATGATGACAATACATGTTTAAATAAAAGTCTATGCATCAGCAAAAGCACTCACAGGTGTTCTGATCCACTTGAACACCTGCTTGATTTACAATATGTTGACAAATTAGCTCAGGTCATCATTTATATTATCTAATGTACTAGTGCTACATACAAATAATAAAAACAAGAATTATAATGGTGTCCCTTCAGCTTTGAAATTCTGTGACTCTTCATAATAGCTTTGCATTATTTTAAAATTAGCATATAAAATAAAACTTCATTATTTAAAAATTTGAGCACAGTTAAATTGTTGGCATCGGTTCCTCTATGTTTTTGAATATACAGGTTCCTGAAAAGGTCCATAGTTTTAGCAGAGCAGACTTTACAGCAGTGGTGAATTTTGAGGGAGAAAACAGATGAGGACTGTCAATGTGCAAAACAAAGACCTAGTAAAAAATCAGCAGAAGAGAAAGAAACTATCAATGCACACCACTCAACAGCAAGGACAAAAGAGAGACAGGACAAGAGAGGATCTGTTGACAATGGTACACAAAGAAGGAAATAGAAAGAAAATACTGATTTTCAACTCTGGTTTAATATGGTGACTTCTTATCCAACTGCCTTAATGTTGAAAATGAATAGTTTTCTCCAAATTTCTTAAGATCATGAGGATATGCCTACACATTTTCATTAGAAAATGGTGCATGGGTAAAATTTTCTTTAATGTTTTGTAGTGTGGTAGCATGTTTTTCTGCCAGGTATATTAATAAAACCATATTATATTGCGTCTTTTCTGATCTATAATTATAGCTTACATGGTTCAGATGAATTTCCTCTCTGGCAGCTCTCTGACTTAATCGCTGCTGGTAAACACTATCACTCATTTTTTACCCACCAAATAAAATTTTTCATCTTGACGCATTTTGTCTGCATTGCACATATTTAAATACTCAACAACTACCACAGCAAAAACTCACTTCGGTGTTTACCTTGTAGACAAATGGCTTATCTATTTAGCTTAAATTCATAAACTTTGTTACAGCGTTATCAACTGGATGAGTTTAAATATACTGGAATCAGGTTTACCATGACATAATTTAGATAGTTTAATAGTTCATTAACAAGATATTAACAAGATCAAAATTATTACTCCTTACTGAAAAAGGCAGCTCTATATACAAGGACATAGTCAAGACAGTAGCAAAAAGGGTCTGTGTGTGTGCGCGCGTGCATGTACATGTGTGTGCCTGCGTGTGTATGATTCTTTAAGGTAATGTTAGAGACAACAAACGGTAATAGACGGAGTAAAAATAAAATATGTACCAGGCCAATGAAAGTTAGAAAAACTTCACCTATCTATTGCAATATACGTTGCTCTTCTGTTCTGGCTCAAACAGGTATGTGTTCCAGAAAGTTGCAAAACTCCTCAAAGACTCTTCAGTTCAATAGGGTATCCATCATCGGACCCATACAGTTGAGACTGAAAATAGATTCAGTCTGGCAGAAAAATGTCCACAGAAGGCTTTTCTCTTTTTTTTTTCTTTTTAGAGAAAAACAAGATAAAGCAAAACAAAATAAATTATTAACATGCTGCTTTGGATATGTTAGATGTGTTTCCCAAGGGACACTGTGGTATCTTCGTGGCTGGATATTTTCAGAACATCTCAGTGTATTTTCTTATTTACTGCCCTTGGTTCTCCTAGACTTTTGAACATTGAGTAGTCACATGAACGTTGTTTAGCAAAAGGAGGTGAACCAAGTAAATCATTCTCTGAGATAAAGAAGTCCATGGGAATTGGCCTTACCTCACAGAAACAAACCAAAATGAATTGTAATATTAATCTTAGTGCATTCAGGCTGCTATAACTAAAATAGCATATACTGGATAGCTTATAAACAACATAAATTTATATTTAACAGTTCTAGAGGCTGGGTAGTTTAAGATCAGGGTGCTGGCTGATTTAGTGTCCGGTGAGGGCCCCTTTCCTGCTTCGTAGGTCACACCTTTTGGCTGTGTCCTGTGTTCTCACATGGTGAAAGGGACCAAGGAGCTCAACTCCCTTGGGCCTATATTATAAGGGCACTAATCCTATTTATGAATGCTCCACCCTCATGACTAATCAGCTCCTAAAAGACCCTACCTCCAAATACCATCACCACAGGGGTTAGTTTTCAACATACAAGTTTGGGGGAAAAGCAAACATTTAGATCATGGCAATATTCAATATCAGAAGCAGAAGATGATTCATGCTAGAGGGTCCTCGACAACTGTGTTTGGGAAAGTCATGCATGGCTCTGCACGGAGTCTCTGCCTGGCCCTCATTTAACACTCATGACCCTTGGAATGCACACGCTCTGTGACCTTGCCCAAATCCTGAAGCTTTCATTCCATAATTTAAGGGGAAGATATAAAAGTGTATAGAATTCAGCTGTCATAGAAGCTTCACTATTCTCATCCTCTCTCTTCTCATTTCTTATATCTTAACTATGATTGCTAACCCCAGTGAGCTCTTTGTCAACACTATGTTATGGAGTTCCCCTAAACCTTTTTGTTTCACCTCTCCTCTTCGGTCCTGTGTTCTGAAAATTAAAGATAAAAATTTTAGATGATTTAAGAATCCTTATGAAAAAATGAGCTAACTCTGGAAATTTAAAATACTAAAACACTTAAAAGAGAATATCATATTGCAAGAATAATCAGAAACAACCTAAAGAAAAATATCTGGCTGGGCATGTTAGCTCACACCTGTAATCCCAGCACTTTGGAGGCTGTAATGGGAGGATCACTCAAGCTCAGGAGTTCGAGACCTGCTTGGACAACATAGCAAGACCCTGTCTGTATCATAATAATAATAATAATAATAATAATAATAAATTGCCAGACATGGTTGCACGTGCATGTAAGAGGCGGAGGTGGGAAGACTGGATGAGCTCAGGAGTTCAAGATTGCAGCGAGCTATAATTGTGCCATTGAATTCCAGCCTGGATGACAGAACGAGAACCTCTCAAAAGGAAGGAAGGAAAGAAGGAAAAAAGATGGGGAAGGAAGAAGAGAGAGAGGGAGGGGGGAAAAGAAAAAAATCCAAACACCTCAAGTGTGGTTAACTGCAGTTGGGAATTCACTTTATATTTGAGCTTTCTGAAATCTGAGATACTAGAGAAATATATATTTAAAAAATAACATGCATAATAACTTTATTACATTTATTTGTAAAGACTCATATGTTTATTATAGAATGGGGGATTAATCTTTCATTAAACTGGTCTTGTCGAAGTCACTACAACATTCAGTTCCCAGCAATGTCTGTATAATGACTTCTTATCAGTTTATGTTGCTTCAGCATCCATTTTGAATACTAGTATTGCTTTCTCATACTAGAAGCAGGGCTCAGTCACCCTTTACACAGTTTTTCATCCTACAGCATACCCAAAGGGCTGAAACTGGTGGTCATATATAAAAATTTAGAGGCATCTCTTCTGCCTAGCAGACTGAACACTGCTTTCTTGCCCCTTTCTTTAAAGGGACCATTCAGTCATTTGCTCTGAACTTTGAAGGCCCACACCCTAATCTTTATACAGTGTGCTAGTTGCCACCCGTTTCTCTCTCTTTGTCTGACTCTTCATTTCTGCCTGCCATGACTCCAGGATAAAGAACTGCCCTCCAGACTCATTATACCCTCCCACACACCCTTACTTGGATCCTGGAGTCTGCAAGGAAAAGTCCTTGAACTTGTTCCTTATTTTGGTGTTACATTAAATTTGCACTTTCCATCTGAAGAATCAGGAGCTGCCTCAGGTTGGGTTTTCCCTGGAACACTGGGGAGAATAAAAGGTCAAGCTCCCAATGCCAAAGTGTTGACCAGGCAGGCATAAACCAGACACAGGTCAGACAAGAATCACAGGTGGCTTGCCAGTGTAAGTTTTCCCTGGTCGCAGGTATGATGTGTTTATTTTTAAAAATAACATCATGCATATATTAAGTTTATTTGTAATAAACTTACAAATAAAGTTTGTATACACCCACATCCAACTCCTCATCATTTGCCCTTAGTGCAGGTTTGTCAGCTGCTCTAGTACTGGACCCATAATTTAGCTGGGGCTCCGACATCATGGAATATTTTATTTTCCCTTACCTAGCTCTCAATACACCCTATAATGCAGGCTATTCCTCCGCAGTCTCTTTTGTTGGTTCTTCCTCTTCCCTCTGACTTTTTTTTTTTTTTGAGACAGAGTCTCGCTCTTTCGCCCAGGCAGGACTGCAGTGGCGCGATCTCTGCTCACTGCAAGCTCCGCCTCCCGGGTTCATGCCATTCTCCTGCCTCAGCCTCCTGAGTAGCTGGGACTACAGGCGCCCCCCACCGCTCCCGGCTAATTTTTTGTATTTTTAGTAGAGACGGGGTTTCACCATCTCCATCTCCTGACCTCGTGATCCGCCCACCTCGGCCTCTCGAAGTGCTGGGATTACAGGCGTGAGCCACCGCGCCCGGCCCCCCCTGACGTTTTAATGTTGCATCTCAAGGTTCAGTCTTCGGCCCTCGTTTATCCTGTTTATATACATTTGGTTGGACTTCTCGTCCAATGTCAGGACTTTCGATATCCTCAATATGATGACAACTTCCAAATACATATTTCCAGCCCAGACTCCCTCCATTCCTGTATATTGCATGGACATAACACAAAGAATCATGTATCAATATTTACCACTTGGATGTCTAAAATGCATCTCAAACTTGGCATGCACAAAACTGCACCTTCAATCCATGAACTCACACACACCCATCTATTTGTAGTCTTACCCACTTCAGTTGACATTCACAACCATTCAGACCAAAATTTTTTAAGTTGTTCTTGAATTTTCTTTTTATTTTACATGGTACACCCATGCCATGGGTAGAATACTGCCCCAAATATTCATAATTTGAACATTTCCACCATCTTTGTTAGAATTATCCTGACATGAGACACCATTGTCTCTTGCCTGAAGTATTGCCATTTGTAACAACACCCAGGATCACACTGTCAATGAGATTCCCAAGAATTAGAAATTTGATCCAGTACTGAGCTTATTAATAATTTCAAGGGTACATATAAATGCATAATACAGGTGAAGCAGGAAGAATTCCATGACAACCAGTATGACTCCCTAGGTCATTTTTTCATCTCACCGTTATGTCTTTCAAGTAATAGATGAGACTTCTAATAAAGTACATGGTCACCTCACTTACAAAGAAAAAGCCATTTAGATTATAGAACATCACAATTTCATACTCATATAGTTACATAATTCACATTATGTTAATCAGGAAGTATGTCCCATGAATCTGTAGATTCCAGGTTTATTTACCAGAAGCAATTACAGAAGAAGCAAGTACATCCTGCCCAAAACTTTTCATAGTAATCTCCTCCTAGTGTTACCAGGGGTCCTTGCTCCCAGAGCTCCCAAGATGGTGGTGGGCCACTTCCAAAATGGCGGCAGGCCACTTCCAAGATGGTGGCAAGCCTCATGTTCTCTGACTTGGGGTTCTTGGCCTCAAGATTCCAAGGAATGGAATCTTGGGCCATGCAGTGAGTGTTATAGCTCTATTAGAAGTCGTGGGTCACAGAAGAGAACTGTGGAACCCAGTGACTAGTGTTCAGCTCAATTAGGACGAACCCAAGCACTTAGCTGTGCAGGAACAATGGCAAGACTTTAACCCGATGGGGAGCGACAGTGGGCGCCTCGCTGAATCAGGAGCACAGCAGGCACCCTGCTGGATCCTGAGGGATGGAAGTCAGCGGAGGGTCCCTAACGGCGGCAAAACAGCAGTGGTGGACAGCGAGTGAAAGCTCAGCTCAAGCCGTAACAAACACGGACCAGAAGAGTGCAGTTGCAAGATTTAATAGAGTGAAATAGAGTGAAAACAGAGCTCCTATACAAGGAGGGGACCCCAAGGGGGTTGCCTTTGCCTGCTCAAATGCCTGGGTTTATATCCCGATCCTTGTCCCTCCCACTGTGCTCTCAGGCAATAGATGATTGGCTATTTCTTTACCTCCTGTTTTTGCCAAATTAGCATTTAGTGAGCTCTCTGATTGGACAGCTGTGAGCTCAGTTGCAAGCCCCGTGTTTAAAGGTGGATGTGGTCACCTTCCCAGCTAGGCTTAGGGATTCTTAGTCAGCCTAGGAAATCCAGCTAGTCTTGTCTCTCACTAGCACAAACCATGTAGTTTAATTGCCAGGAGGTCTGTCATTAAACATGACAATGTTTAATAGGAGATTAGACTTCTCACTGAATGTGTTTGTTTCCCAGGAGCACTGCCTTGCGAAAGGGAATTAATTCATCATTTCATCGCAGACCTGCTGTGTAAACATTTTCATCTCACCGCATAACAATGTCTCTGCTTTCACTTTGGCCCCGACATTCTATTCTGAACACAGCAGCCAAAGGGGCTGGTTAAAATGTTGGTCTGATCATGTCATTCCTTTGCTCATCACCGTGCAACTAATCCACATTTCATTCAGGCTAAGAGTCAAACTCCTGACAATGGCCCCGAAAGCCCCACGTGATCAGTTCTTGTTACTTCTCTGAGTTCATCCTCTGTTAATCTCCCTTCACTTTCTCCATGACAGGCACACTAGCCTCGTAGATGTTCTGTGGATTTGTTAGGTGTGTTCCTGCTGTGCTTTTCATAGATACACACAGTGACAATTCCTTTACCTCTTCTAAATCTTTTCTGAACTCTTACTTTTTCAATGGGTGAATGTTTGATGACCCTATTTAAAATTGCAAATATCCAGCCTCCCAACACACATACACATACACATACACATACACATACACACACACGCACACACACACACACGCACACACACACACACATTCCAAGCATTTGTGGTCAACACTCTGTGTTTCACTTGTTTTTTCCTTATGTCAGAGGCCTTTGAACCACAGCAACTCCATCTTGAGTAGGGGCTGGGTAAAATAAGGCCGAGACCTACTGGGCTGCATCCCCAGATAGTTAGGCATTCTAAGTCACAGGATGAGATAGGAGGTCAGCACAAGATACAGGTCATAAAGACCTTGCTGATAAAACAGACTGCAGTAAAGAAGTCAGCCAAAACCCACCAAAACCAAGATGGCGAGGAGAGTGACCTCTGGTTGTCCTCACTGCTACACTTCCACCAGCACCAGGACAGTTTACAAATGCCATGGCAAGATCAGGAAGTTACCCTATATGGTCTGTAAAGGGGAGGCATGAATAATCTGAATAATCTACCCCTTGTTTAGTATATAATCAAGAAAATAATATAAAAACAAGCAACCATCAGCCCTCAGGGCTGCTCTACTTATGGAGTAGCCATTCTTTTATTCCTTTACTTTCTTAGTAAACTTGCTTTCACTTTACTCTGTGGACTCACCACGAATTCTTTCTTGTGTGAAATCCAAGAACCCTCTGTTGGGGTCTGGATCAGGGCCCCTTTTCAGTAACACTTATCAATTATCACTTTTTTAAAAAAAATACATAATGGCTAGTTCCTATCTTACACTGTTAGAATGCAAGTTTCAGATATGCAAGGATATTTATCTCTCTTGTTCGTTGATGTATCCCAAATCCCTGGAAGAGGACCTAGTTAGATAGTAGCTTCTAAGTATTTTTTAATGAATATCTGACTGCACTGGGAATTATATAGCTGTTCATTTATATTGGACATCTGGTCATCCCTTGAATAGAAGTCAATGGGTTTTTTTGCTTATGCCCATACCATATTGTCTGGTAGTTGATTAAGATGATTTTCCCTAGAATATATTTCTCTTAAAAATATTTTCTCCTTCTAAATTACCAGCAACCAAATTAAGATGCTTCAAGTATTTTGCTAAAAAGATTTTAAAAGTAGGTCAATTAGAATAAATCCAAAGAATAGCATTTTTACTATCATGCACTGCCAATTTCTTATATGGCACAAGTTTGCCAAATTATGCAAAAATATGTACACATGCTTTTAAAATATTTTGACAGATTAAAAACTACATAGTAAAACAACTGTAAAATGATTACCAAGAAAAGCTTCATTTCATAAAAATGCTGTTTCTCTAATATATCAAATTTGAGATACACTGTTAATTCAATGCTCATAATTGAAAAAATTCTTACTTTTAGAAATGATCGCTCCCTAGCGAGAAAGAATATATCTTACATTTTTTTAAAAAAAGCAAAAAATGATGGCAAAAGTCAATTTGAACCCAGTTGAAGTAATCATTTAACTGATAAGTAATACTCTGTAAATATCTGTTTCTTCAGTTTCAGAAGAAACTTCAGTTGTTGATCTTCAATTCCTATGTTTTATATGAAAATATTTTGAAAAGAAAATAAGTGTTTTCCAACTGAGCATAATAAAGGAGGCTAAACATGATTATTCACACTTTGCAGTAATATACCTTTGACAGGCATGAAACATACATATGGATGAGAAAAGAGAGACCTCAATTTGTTTAGATTAGACCCATTTCAATCAGCAGGAGAAAACACATGTAAGAATGGATGTGGTTTGTGAAACACTGTGTTAGAATCTCTCTGTTTATATTCTGAAGGATGCTAGTCATGTGAATGATTTTAAGCAGCAGAATATATAAATGCCAATCAAGTAAATCACTCACGAAGAGCCAAAGCATCGCTGAAAGAAAGATACCCCAGGGAATTGGAATGACCTTACGCTGCCAAACCAAAGCAGATTGAAAAGTTTAATGCCATGGACAGATTTTGACAGTGGTAATGGTATTGGTGTCCTTGGCTCGTTCCTACTCTGGGGAGTTATAACTTTAAAAGCTTTGATTTTTGTTTATCATGACAAGTTCTTCAAATATATAGCTCTTTGGACTCAATGGCTCTGCCATGCCCCATTTCTCTTCTGTAGGCCTGGAATCAACTATGAGAAAAGAAAGCATAGCCATATATATTTTTCAAAGACATAATTTAAAACTATAATTCTACTTTGATACTTACAGATACTATAAATTTATAGTGCTATAAATAGTTAATAACATCATGATGAGTATTAAATACTCTTATTTTACATAGATTTGGCTATTTTCTTTTACGATGTATTATGTCTGTGACTCCCTTAGGTCTGCTTTGTTCATGACATTAAAGTTAAGCTTTGAAAATCCATATTCCATTTCTAATAGCTTTCCTCTGGCACATGAGTACACCTGATCTAAAGGGTGACATCATCCTTTACTTTCTCAATCATCTTGATTTTCCTCAAACTCTGGTCAAAACACCACCATTAGATGGGCACATTTTCCATCATTTTTATAAGGTTCTTTTTCCTCTCAATACATGTAACTGCCACATATAGCAACCGAAGGATGATAAGAGAATTTTCATGGCACCCAAGGTGAGAAGCTGAGGATTGTCAGAGAAAGGTGGAGTGTTTATTTTTCTTTCTTTTCTCTTTTGATTCACTGTAGTTCTGTACCAATATCATCTTTGTCCTAGCTGAGCATGCCTCCTGACTTTGTGGAATAATGTGCTATATGTTCATGTGCATAAAGATAATATGTATATTTATAGTATGCATTAATTTGAATGAATCGAAATTAAAATTATGTGACTTTTTTCTCTCATGTCCCCTCTTCCGTTATTACACTACTAGTCCTCTCTAAACCCACTGACACTGTCCATTGTTCTGAATTTGATTCCAGAGTTAGAGCTCAATTCTCTGCCTAATATAGTATTTTCTGTTTACATAGTGATTGCTCATATATTTTGCTCTTGTCAGAAATCTTTGACGGACTTATGCTGCATAAAAGTGCTGAAGGAAGAAGTCATTTAATTTTAAAATAATTTGTTTACTATGCATTAGAGTCTAACAAAGACAGATGGATACACATTTATGGTAATAATGCTTATTTCTCTCATTTCCTTCTCATTGTATTAAAACTAAGAGCAAATAAGCACAATTCGGCTTCTGTTTGTGTGATTTTTACTTTTCAAGTTCTTTCCATCCTGACTCTCCTTGCAGCTTTCACATATGGACACATATTATTTGTGTTGAACATGATTCAAATACTGTTTTGAGTTATGTTGTACAATGTCTGATATATGTCATATATAAAAATAAAGGGTCTAATATATTCCTTCAAAGAATAATCAAGGTAAGTAATGTGCGCATGGGGCACACACTGTTCAAATAAATACTACAAAGAGACAGCAGTCTTTGCTGTGAGGCACACATCTTCCCTAGTGACCTCCCCTTGACAATAACTACGCTCCACTAAGGATGAATAAGGATCATTTCTTTTTCTCTCAGATGAGAAAACAGTACAACTACACTAGATGCATTTATCTTTTGTCTTTGCAACTGTCTTTCTGCTTCTTTGTCCATCCAATCTCTGTTTCTCTAGTCTAATTCAGACCTGCTCATTTCCCTCTCCTCCTGTCCATGTCTGTCTTCCTGTCTCCCTCTCTCTCTGCCTTTCTGTCCTATTTTTGCCTCTCAATTTCTCTCTACTTTTGTTTTCTTTTGGTTTGTCTTTCTGTCTTTTTTTTCACTTTATCCTCTTCTACTCATATTTATATATGCATATAAAGAGATACAGAATTTACACTTTATAAGTTGAACTCATTTCTGTTCTGCTCTCTTGCATAGTAAAATATCAATCACACTAACCTGCTTACTGAGCCGAAGTTCTTCCTTACAGTTGAGAAACCTTCTATGCGTCTAAAAATGAACAGTCGTATCCATAACAGTGACAGCATGCATTTGATTTGCATAGTGCCTTTTCAGTCAAACTGTTATGCAGCCTAGTTAGACCTCTGACTTTGAGGATGCAGACAGAATTGTTTAACACAATGACCTTGACGAGCCTCACAGTAAAGTCTCATTCTGAGAAAATCACACTTGAAAGATAAAATAATTTACACCTAGCATTCTAGAGTATAATTACACCCATGATAGACATTACTTTTCAGGGCTGAATCTATGGCTACATTTTATAATGCAAGGGGAAAGAGAGAGATAGAAATGATTGTTTGTTGAGTGCATATCACTGACTAAGCACAATGCTAATTGATATATAATATCTCATTGTATTCTCTATGTCACATGCTTATCCTTCTGAGTTACCTCTGTTTTATACACGAGAAAACCAGAGTTCTAAAATAGTACATTAACTTGTTTAAGGTCACAGATTTAGGAAGTGGTATTTTTGAGATTCCATCCTGAGCCATGTGTACTGAAAATATAGGTTCTATACTTGTTAATATATGTCTTCCATATATTCCTATGAGGGTCCTATTTCTTAAAGTTATATAACTTTACTGCTTATTTAAAATATGCCTAATTGAAATAAACCACTACAATTTTATTTGCCATTACAATCTTTGGATTAATTTTCCAAAAAGCTGACACCTAGCAAATTGTGAAAGGGTGAAATGTGTAGTTGAATAACACACCTACAAAGGCAGAAAGCTGAATGTCCCTCAGAATAGTAGAAACAATTACTGGGGCTGTGGAGGGGGAATGATAATAGCCAGACCTGCTTCTCTTGAATACATTTTATTGAAGATATCAATATTCAAAGGCAAAAGATAATAATAATGATCAAAAACTTTAAGTTGTTCTGATTTTCTCGATGTATTTTCTAGGTGTGTTAGTTTGAGGGAATTGAATGTATTGAATAATTCAATTGACTTTTCACATTTCACATACTAACATTTCCTGAATACTTTTAAGGCAATTGTACTTCTTTGACATTTTTAAGGCTAACAACAATCCTAAATTGTAGATATAATTTACTGTAGTTAAATAAATGATTACCTGAAGCTGGGAGGGTTTGTTTTACGTTCACTTAGAGAAATGGCAATTCAAATGATGAGTTAACTTATATATAAGCTTCTTATATATAACTTATATATAAGCTTCTTTTTTAAATTTTCAAACTCAGTGCTTTCCTCTAATTATCGTTCTTCCCAGTCTACTTCTGAACTCACTTTTCTATGTCAAAGTAATATGTCTCAGTTAACATTGTACAATCTAACCTCTGGCAGCAGAACCACGAATTCACTGAATTTGGGAGCTGGTGCCACATTTTTTGTGATAATTATGATCTTAATAGTATGACTTTTTTCTAACTTCCAATTAGATTGAACTTTAAAATTAACATTTATCTTATTTTACTTATTTTGTCCATAGCTACTGTTAAGTAGAATTTTAATTAAGCAGCAGTTGGTAGCAGTTAGTTTTAAGTTGTTAGAATTCGTGATCATCTAAAACCCAAATGTTAGTAGACACATGCTTAAAAATAGGTGCTGTCAGAGGTCCACAAATACTTGGGTCTTTTTGCCAGTTTTAACAGTTAAAATTAGATATGCTTCCATGTTATTTGGAAAGAAACAATCCAAGAATATCTAGTCCAAGAACTTGCGTGGTCCACTGAACAGCATCATTGACAAGGAATCAGGCCTTTGCTTCTATTCCTGGCCACATGCTGCGAAAGTCATTCAGATTTATCATGCAGATGACTGGCTTTGCATATCCCTATCATTATCACTAACGCTGAGATAGCAATTCCGACTTACCACACAGGAATCTCTAATGATTAATTGGATAATGTTCGTTAAGTGCTCCCAGCTACTTAGAATAAATGTACTAGATGGCTATTAAGCATTGTTATTATAAGATGTTGCTTAGATGTAATACCAGTGACTGACTGCTCCATAGTTATGAGGAAAATTACTTCCTCTGATAATATGAGTGTAACACATATTGACTTAAAATATACATTCTTTGGCATACATTTAGACTTTCCAAATGAGCTAAGCAAAGGGCGGCCTTCTATATGGTTTGTTAGTTGCTTATTTAAGAGTGCATACTATCTGTGTGGCACTTTTATAAGCACTTCATCCTTACGATAATACTGAATGCCAATGATATATCCTCACTTTTTATAGGAAGGACACAGAAACATAAATGCCTTGCCTGAGGCCACACAGCTAGTAAGTGGTAGGGTCAGAACTTAATCCTTTTAAAATTGGCTTCAAACCACTCATGCTTAACCACTCCCTTAGACTGCATAGCTCCTATATTTACATTTGTATTGTGTTTATCCCTTTGCTCAAGAAAGTGGAAGTGTTTGGTTATATATCACCTGGAAAACTTGCTGATCTATCTTTTTAAAGACAAATTGTGCAAGGTTAATCCAGGAAGATCCCCTAGGGAAAATCAGTTAAGGCGAATTGAGAGATAAAGAAAGCAGGTGTAGGAGTGAGAAAGGTAACCTGAGTTCCTTGTCTATGTACAGGTGTCATCACTTCCTATTAATTGGGGAAGACATTTTAAGTTCATTGTGATTTTGAATTTAGATGCCTCCAATTTTTTGAAAATGCAGAAAACAAATTATAGAAATGCTATGTGAAGTTATAGCATCTGGGAAAAAGAACAAGTATTTTCTTCTCTAATGTTTCATCAAGTGAAATGATTTGGGCTGTAAATAAAGTGCTAGTACAATATATTTTCAATGATAAAAGAAATTATCATCTCTCCAAACAAGACATCCAAGGCAAACTAACTTAATTTTAAATTCAGCACCTCAACAGCATCATCAAGGATCCACACTTTTTCCCTCTTTATTCACTAGACTCCTCAGCATGTTACCTGAGCCTCTTATCTGCTCCTTGAAGATGACTGAAGCAGCTCCATCTACCAATTGACACACATCAGGATCTGCAAGAACAAGAACTCAATCTTCCTTGTTTCTCTCTTAAAGCCCCACAAGAAATCATTTCCCTTGTATCTCATTGGCTGAAACTTTGCAGCATGTTTGTTCCTAAAACAAATAGCAAGAGGGCTAAAAGGTTCACAGTTAGCTAAATTAGTCAAGATTCACTTCTTTCATCAGGAACTGGGAGGTCTCTTTCCTTAAATTCCGTTGCTTTGTGAATGAATGTGGTTTTCGGAACATAAGTCATAGTCTCTAAACAGGGAAGAGGGATGTCTATTGGGTAGATGACTGTATACTGTCTACTGTTACTCTTATATTTTATTGAATGCATTTCCTTTTTTCTCTATTTTTTAATATTTGCATGGTGAGAGTGAATGCATTCAATTGATTTTAATTTTAAATATATATTAATGCAAATTTTACATAGCAAAATGAAAGAAATTTTTAGTTCATTAGATGCTGTGTCATTGTATTGTACTGAATTTTCTCCTAATTTTGTAATTCTGAGGATGACCCACAACCCATCTTTTCTCAAACTCAAATACAGACATTACCCAAGACTCATTAATCAGAACCAATGACATTTTTGTCTGGTTTGTGTTTTCTTCTAGATGTCAAATTGACATGTAAGGATTAACATATCCACAAAACAAACTTTATCAAACTAGGCTGCCCATTTCTATGTTCTGTCCTCTGTAATACATCATTTACATTTTGCTTTATTGATTTTTATTTAGCATAATACTTTTGGCAGTGGTGGTGGCCTGTGTGTACATGTATGTACATACATGTGCTAAATGTACACATTTAATTACATATATGTGATTTATGTTATATAATTATATAATTTATATAATTTAAATTTTATAATTATATAATTTATGTAATTATATAATATAATTTACATTTTATAAATCTAATATAATTTATATAATTTATATAATATAATATAATTTATGAAATTTATATAATTATAATACATACACTTTTATATAATATAAATATTAATAACTATTAATATTTATTAATAGTTATTAATAAATATTAAATAAATACTAATAACTATTTCAAATGCTTTAAAATATTTGAAATAACCTGTATATAGAATTAGACTTAGATATCTAACCCTTATATAGGATTAGGCTTGGATATCCCAGACATCCAAATAGAATCCTATATACAGATTAGATATTCAAATATTTTGAAGAATTACTTCGATTTTTACAACCTTGGTTAACTCTTCCTTCCTATGAGATGGTATGATGTAATTTTTACTACTTTTATTATACTGTTTGCCTGCTGTGTGCTGTAGCTATTCATATACTAAAATTGTTACTCCTACCACATACACTGTGATAGTAAAAGCACAGCTAACACTTACATAATGTGTAATTTCCTTAGTATTTTCGATGTTACCATAATTTTTTGCAATGCTAATTAGTATTTTATGATAAAGTACGCTTAAAGAAATGTGGAGAATCCTAGTCTAGAAAAAATAGTTGAGCCTGTAAAAGCTGATATGCCACATGCCACTCCAAGTGGAATGGAGATAGTATGCTGCATTTCCCAAACATGTTTGGCCAGGAATCACTTGTGGTTATACTCATAGAATTACTAGTATTCTGTGAAACACATTAGGTGAATATAAGTATTGTGATTTGTAATGCATGCAATGCTTTAGGAATAAATATCATTTCATTTTCACAAAACATTTGAAGTAAGTAGATCAATAATTGTTAGTATTCTCATTCTATAGATGACAAGGTTGATGTAAAAAATGTGGCACAAGATTCATTGGAAATTCAAAATAAAATGTCCTCAACTTTGACTAAATCCTGTGTTGTCTTCATTACACTAAACACATGCTTAAAGCTCTACTTCTCTTGTATTTCTTTCAGTACCTTGCGCAGTACCTTGAACTTTGTAAATACTTCAAAAATAAAACTTGCTTCAAATTTCGTCTAATTTAATAGTAAGTTAAAATTAAAGCAAAAACAAGAAGTATGACTATGTCCCTAATAGTTTGTCAACACATTGATATAACAAAATGGTTTGTTTAATCAGTTCAAGATCCAATGGCATTTCTAAAAGCTTTTCAAAACTGTAATTAAGTTTTGTTTTTTAACTAAACTACAAGCCTAGAATTTAGTGAAAAATCAGGCAGAAATCATGAATTGGAAAATATGTCCTGACATAGCTTTAGGTAAGAAATGGAATGATTAATATAGACCGACCATAATGAATACAAATGGAGTTCTACCTGTTCTATTAAGTGAACCATGGGAATCAGTCAATACCATTTATCTTGAGGATAAGTAAAGACTGAGTCAAAATACACTAAAAAGAGGGTATATTAATGTGGATTTCTAATTAACCGAATCCACCACACTCTGGTCATCAATGATAAAAAGTTGCAAATATGCTTTATATATGCACAACCATACAGATAACTAATGTCAACTCAATTTGCAAAGCTATACATTTTAATGAACTGTCTTTAAATTGTATTAATTTTGAAAGAAATTTTGCTGTGCCAGGAATATAAGACACTAGCAACCATCTCAAGGCTCTAATGACTCTATTTATATCATTTATTAGTCTTCCACATTGTTATTATTATAAATGTCCTATACCTACTTACCTAGAGTTAAATTAATATTTTAAAATAAATACTAATGAATTAAACGCCTAATTATTTAGCACATACAAAAACCCTCATTCTCAATCACATTTCAGATTTAAAGAAATGCTTTTACTTTGTGAATTGTCTCGTAAATAAATTTAGTTCTCTCTTTTAGGTTTAATAGGGTTTCTAAACATGCCTGGTTTAACAGATTATCAGTATTTGTTACACATTGTGTGTAATAGCATTAATTTAGAAAATTTAATGTACAGACACATTTTTCTTCTTCACAAATAGTAAACCATCTATCCATGTCAGATGTAGAAAAAATTGTTTAAAGCAAAATATGGTAGCTTCTTCTGTGTCTATCAGGTTATTCTGTTAAATGCCAGAAGGACTCAGAAGTTCAGGATCAAACAGAAAGCTAATATAAATCTATTTGGAAAACTTGAGAATGAAAAAAAAATATGTATATATATATATAAATGCATTTCTTTGCGGATTTCCCAGGCTTGAGTTTTCCTAAGTATCAGAAGGAAATGTAAATTTTTTATAACCAAAATTAAGAAATATATGGCGTTAATTAAAAAGAATAGAAAATAAAATAATGCAGCTAAAGATTTATAGGTTGAATGGGACATGCCTGTAAAAGGAATCTGTATAGGTGGTATCTATGTAGGTCAACCTACAACAGAGAGCGTGAATGCTGATGGCAGAATGAAGTCTAATCAGGGTAAGGAGAGAAAATTCTAGATATCCCTGATGGCTCATCTCCTCCACCCTTTCAGTGACTTAGCAAGAAACTGGATCAGCTCACCTGAACTAGCGCAATAAATAGGACCAGAGGCTGAGCTCAGGAGCTTTCTCCTTTTAACTCGGCCACTTCCTAAACCAAGAAGCACCAATCATCACAGGGTTACTAGATGTTTATTTTCTTCCTTTCTCCACTCCTAAAAATGTGTAGATCATTATAGGGCTGGTATCTCCTTCCCGGAACCCTTTCTGTGCTGAATCCAGTCCAGCTCAATCTGCTTTAACACGTCTCTATGGATTATTGAGCAACTGGGGCTCATTTGAGTCGTCCTAGTTCTCAGTGTATACATTATCTTCAAACAAACTCTATCACATATATACACTTCGGGGTATTAGGGTGTGAATGCCCATATCATCCTTATAATCCAGGACAAACTTTGTATATCTGAATGCAGTGGCAAGATTTTCACTTTTCATATTTGAATGAAAGATTCAAAACCATGTAAACATGTAAATCCCTTCATTGTTTTGTTGTTTTGTTTCTTTTTTTGAAAGTCTGTCTCCAGATTAAGTTTAACTGATCAATATATAGTATCTTAATCCATGTGTTTTAGGAAACAGTCTTTCTGATACTTTAAATAGCTGTGTTCAGATGATCACGTTTGTTATATAACATTCTCTGCTCAATTATCTTCTATTTTGCTTTCTTCCTGCCTTCCTCACCTAAATAAGCCAGCAGCTTTGTTTCTCATACCAAATGCTAGGTGTCATCTTTTTATTCCTTCCTTATCTATTCCAATAGCAGAGTCTGGTTAGTTCTACCCCAAGTGTCTTTTCAATCCTTGCACTTGGTATCTCTCCATTATGAATACCGTATTCCAAGCTACTGTCACTTTCTGCCTAACTGCCACCCTATCTTGTCTCTCTGCTTCTGCTCTCCTACCAGTCAAACCAGATCTCTTCCACAGGGGAGTGGGAGTGATCATTTAATCAGATCATATCACTCTTCTGCTAGGAGCATGTCCAAACTCAGAGCCCTCATAGAGTTGGGGCACTTTCTACCTCTTTCACTTCCTCCTGTATCACCTCTGACTTCCCTCACTATCCTGCAGCCCCATTTGCCTGCAATGCCTTTCCCTCGATATCTTCATGCTTTGCCTCTTTGCTCATGCCTCAACCAAGCTGCCATATGATCAGACAAGCTACCCACACTACTGATTCACACACAGGCATATGCTCATATCTGCTACCCTCCAACCCTGCCTTTTATTGTAATCAATAGTATTTATGATAACCTGACATAATACATATTTGTTTCTTGCTTCACTGAATGTAAATGGTATTATAAATGGCATGAAACAGGGATTTTGACTTCCTAGGTGGTTACTCTACCCTCAGTACTTAGCACGTTGCAGGTTCTGCAGAAATCCTGATTAATGGAAATGCTGACACAAATCACATGATTATTTTATGGTGAAATCACAAATTTCCCTACCTATTTTTTTCACACAGAAGTAGCTTTGCTTTTTTCTCATTAGTTGTATTTATCTTCTAAATGAAATGAAAATATATTGCCGAAACAGGAGTAAGTTTCCTGTAATTTGGGTGTGGGAATCCCTCTGTAGAACTTAGTGCCTGAAAACCTTGCTTCACAGGGGAAGGAATAATGAATCTCATGTTTAAATTATGTAGCACAAGTAGATATAGTATCAACCTAAAAAATTTCACAAATTCTTTGAAAATCCAACTATTCAAAGAAAATCCATATTCAAGCACAGACTTTAATCTGGAGTTACTCTTCTATTGGATCTCTATATAGCTTTGAAACTGATTAAAGCTGGCTTTGATTTCCACATTTAGAAATTAATCACACATGGCTGGATCACGGCCATGGGGGCTGCTATTCTAGAGCAACCTCTCTCTGTGAGACTTGGAAAAATATGAGGAGAGCCACCCACCTATCACACCATCAAACACTTATATAGACACACAACTGAGAGAGGGGTTGCTTCATGTGTTCTTTTCTCTAAAAACATCCTCTGGACATTTCTCTTTTAGCTTCAACGACTCTGTTGGTTTTTAAGTAGATAGAGAGATGGTTTGACAAATTAAAAGGTAGCTAGCTTACTAAACATAGCACGGTGAACACTTAATTCCAATCATAAAATAACATTTTACTATGTTCAAATTGTGAAAAACAGACGATAGTAAATGAAGATATCACTACTGATGGTGAAAGAAAGAGAAAGTAACACGATTGCTGTTGACTTCTCCAGCTGCATCTTCCCTCACTGGCATGTATCCACACCGTGTTTCAGGAATACCAAGATATTTATTATTTCCTAAATAGTCAAGGCTACCTCTCATCCCTTAGATCTAATTGGTCATGCCTCTCTGCCCAGCAGAATTTTAACACCTATCCTTTCTCATGCTAACTTCTATTTAGATTTCAGATTAGATCTCAAAGTTAAACTCCTTCAGATGTGGACTCAGCTCAAATACCATGGATACCAGAGATATCATTGACTTAATTATTCTTATGCTGATTAAAGCCTTCCTTGGGTTGTTGTGATAGATTATTGTGATAGGGGATATCAGATATCCTCAAAATTATAAATACCTATGGTATTAATAGTAATTTTTTTGCAGAAAATTTACTTTTGAATATCTATGTATTTCTAATTTGTAAAATCACTTTTCTGTTATAAACAATGAACATCTCTTTATGCAACAGATAGTTTATTCATCAATCTTTGTGTCTTTTTCTGATTGTTTCTATTAATTAAACTCTTAGAAGCTGAAACTGCTAGATAAATGCTGTTAACATTTAACACATATTGGCAAGTTGCCATTCTGAAGAGTAACACCAATTCATACTCTTACCAATAGTCCTCAGGGTACCCTTTTCCTCACATACTGTGAACTCTAGGTATTATCAATCTTTTTAACTTTGTAAAACTGAGAGTCAAATAAACTTGTTGTTTTGTGGTTCTACTATACCAAGAAAAGATATAATAGACATGAAAATGTTGGCATCTTTATGAGTCTGGAATTAAAGGAACTTTCCCTTTCTGCTTTCTAATTTGATTTAAGGAATATATTGCACTTTAATAACAAATGCACTAAAATGATTTGCATTTGAAAATCTCTTTAATATTTTAACTCTGAAAAGACAGACTTGCACAATGGTTAAGACTGTGAGGTGAGGACTCAAGTGGGTCTGAGTTCAAATTGAAGCATATGCACTTAAAATGCAGTTTTATCATCTGGAATACAAGGGTGATAATCCTTGCTCTTCTAGGATTAAAATGATCTCATAAATGTTGAGTACTGAAAGAAGTATTGGCACATAATAGGCAGTTAATAAATAGTAGCAGTGAGGAGACTCCTGGTAAACATAGCATTTCAAACTTACGCATTCTTCCAAACAAAACAGAATTCATCTATGTACATGGACATGTATTTCTTACGAGGTTTTCTTCCATAGATAATGAATGTAAGAAAGCAAAATTAATTTGCTTGTGATTATTTGTGTTGTTATCAAGTATGGGTTTATGACATACTATAGAGTATTCTTTGGAGGCAGGTTATTGCTTTCATCCAATAAGAGGAGATTTAGTACTATAAATAGAAAATGCTTAAAGCTTTTCAGAATTTGTCTTAAAAGTAATTAAATTTCAGTTTAAACTATGATATTTTGCTCATTATCGTAAAGTTGGAAGATAAATTAAAAGTTTCAGAAGTTATTTTAATACAAATCTAAAATTCAATCATTATTCTTCTAAAATGCAATAAATTAAAAGATTATAACGGCTTGAAGTTTACCTTAATAACAACTTTTTAGTTGATGGTACATAGCTCCTGTGGGTCAGAATATGTTTTTAAAGTTTCTCAATTTGATCACATTAGCATTTGCACTGGATAAAAATGAATGGTACCACAGAATTAAGCAACGATTTCAGAAACAAATTCAAAATAAACTCACACTTAAGTGACTAAACAAATTGGCCTTCCATCTATTAATTTAGCACCTATAGAGTTCTAAAGTTTAGAGATTTAGGAAGGTACTAAGAGTGGCAAATGTGTGTCATCTGCATCTTAAAAAATAAGAAACATTAATTCACCAAACAGAGTGGTATTACCAAGTAGAGGAAGCCACTAACACATGCAAACAGAGTGGGTAAATTCACGGTGACTTCAGAGTACTTGTGGTTGTTGTGTGGGAAGCCTAACATGGAAGACCATGAATCCAAGTCAGAAAGATAATTAAGGATGAATTATGTTAAGGAGATTATATCTCATTAATTTCCCTCATTTATGAAGGAACTTGGACATTCTTAGAAATTTTCTCTCTCCAATAACATCTACTGCAAACATGGATCACATCATGAATGCCACAGGAAATAATCTAGATCATAAACCATTCCACTGGCTAATTTTGCTTTTTTCCCTACCTAACTCACCCTACAGCCACTCACTTTCCTCAGTCCTTTTACATTTCAGCTCCAGTTTCAGGAAATGACTTTGTTATCTACTTAGAGAAAACTGGACCTATTGATAGAGAACCAATTAATCTTTTCTTCCCGCAACCTACAACAAACTCACCTAAGTCTACAGTGACTTAATTTTTTTTCCTTTTACAGTACATCAATCATCTATTTGTGTCTGTAAGACTATCCTTTTGCCAAAGTTTTCAATACTCAATACAAAAATCACAGTTTTTAATTTTTTTAATTTTTTTTATTTTTTATTTTTTATTTTTTGAGACGGAGTTTCACTTTGTCGCCCAAGCTGGAGTGCAGTGGGGCGATATCAACTCACTGCAACCTCTGCCTCCCGGGTTTCAAGCGATTTTCCTGACTTAGCCTCCGAGTAGCTGGGATTATAGGCATGCACCACGATGCCTGGCTAACTTTAGAGACGGGGTTTTGCCATGTTGGCCAGGCTGGTCTCGAACTCCTGACCTCAAGTGATCTGTCTGTCTCAGCCTCCCAAAGTGCTGGGATTATGGGCATGAGCCACCGTGCCCAGCCAGTTTTTGAATTTGAATGCCCATAGAGAATACACTGCAGTTACCCACAGAATCTATAATTGTTTATGACTTTATATCTAGTTGTCTTGCTTGTATTGAGTCAGATTATTTGTTAGACATCAAAAGGCACATAATTTGGGGTACCTTGAATTACGTTATCTCTTTGATGTATCTGACATTGACTACTTAACTAAATCCTTCCCCTGTGTATGTAAACCCCTTCAGATTACTTACAAAAATAGACACACAGACCCTCTGTTGGACAGCAGATCATCCTCTCCTCCCTCACAAGCAAAATTATCATGAAGCATTGCATATCGTCTGAATCTCTGTTCATTTCTTTCTCTCCCACTAACATTTGCAATTGGCTGTAATTTCCCTTCAAATTCCTATTAACTTATGAAAGTTGTTGATAGGGTCACGTATAAAGTTCCATGTGAACAAATCTAATAAACATTAATAAGCTTTTTTTTTTGCATTCATATTCCTAGAGATACTTGATGACCCCCTTCACCTAGAAAGTCTTCCCTCTCCTTTATCACATAGAAGTCCCCTATTCTCCTCAGCATTCTTCCCCATCCTCCTTTACAGTCTCCTTAGACATCTCATCTTCTATGGAAACATAAAATAGTGAAATTCTGAAAGACTCATCTTTGCCTTTTTTTCTTAGAGATCTATATTCTCTCCCCACATAAGCACATTTATGTCTAGAGTTCTATTTGCTATTTTGTGCCAATGTTCCCAATATTTATATTTCAATCTCGGGCTTATTTATATTTTTTATTTTGAGATTCTTTTTAGTTTTATTCGCATGCACTTAACAATTTCCAAATACTCTTTGGTGTTATGTTTTATGGCACATTTAATATAATGTACACAAAAGCAGACACTATCATCTTGCCCTGTTTCTTCCATCAATATCTGTCTTTTTTCTTGGCTCCTAATTTCAGGGAATGGTAATTTCCCTTTCTGCAAATTAGACATCTGGGAGTCATCCTTGATCTCTCTCTCTCTCTTTGATTCCTCTGTGCCCCATGCCATCCATATATGAGTACTTAAAATTTTTAATCACATATTAAGAAACTACTCCCAAATCATCCCGGAAGTCTTGCCACATCTCTCCATACTCACTACAATCTTTATATCCCAAGCTATCTTGATCTCTTTCTGGCAATATCTTCTATTCTGCTGCACTCCATGCACTCTGACTTTTTCAATCTGTTTTCTAAGTATATCACTCCCCCGCTCCATCTTTAAACCCTATAATTAGTTTTCTTTGAATTTAGAATAAAGACTAGGTTTATAGTTTTTACGACCTGAACAATTAGTCACATTCTCTTATTTCTTCTCTCTGTTCAAATATACTGATCTTTCATTTCTTAAATTTTCCGAGCCTCTTCCTACTTAAGGAATTGTATTCACTTTGTTTCCCTTGTTTAGATTCCTTTTTTTCTAACCTAGCTTTTATCATTTTTCAGTTTGCAACTTAAAGTCTCCCTCTCTGACTTCCCAGGTTTCTCAAGTCACCTCAATATATGCATTCCACATGTTGGTGTTGTAATTGTACCTTTGTTTGCTAAGTGATTTGATTACAGTCCCTTTTACCTACCATAAGAGGATTGCATCAGCGTTACCACTGTTTCTTCAGTACCTAGTTTGGTAGATGTTTGTTTCTCCATAAATGCTCAGCTAAAAGAATATTTTGCCTGTTAGAATGAGCTGTATTGAGATAACTATGCAGGGTGGGAGCACAGTTAATTTTTGTTTTTAGAAATTTTACACAATAGGAAAATAAAAGGAACAGATGGAGTGCGGGTGTTCTAAAAATAGGGAAATATTTTTGGAGGCTATATTAATAGCCCAAGATCCTGCCTGGACTGAAGATATTGATGAAGGCACAGCAGTTGGGTTATAGATGAGAAAGTGCAACTGAGAGATACTTAGATTAATGTAGTGATTGTTTCTGACTGGCTGGGCTGGACCCAAGGTAAGAGAGGCCTCATGAGCAAATGATCAACACTATAAGTTCTAATGAGTTGTAGAACTTTCTCTACAACTGATTAGAGCTTATAGTGCCAATAAGAAGATAGCGATGAAGCATTTTATGGTGAATTCTCAGTTACATTTTCCAAAGGCGGAACTTTAGTTGTTTAGCATGGAGAAGTTTAGAAGAATAATAGAGATAAGTACTACATGGTGCTCAAAGAGAGAAGTGGACTGATGAAACAAATTTGACAGTCATTGGTACAAGTTGCAGATAAAGTTATGAATGTGGCTGGGAACACATAGAGACTGGCTTTGGCTCAACCACAGGAATAATCTTAGAAGGAGAATGAAAGAATTTGAGCCAAAGAAAATTAAAAAGAAATGGCTACATGGGTAGAAATAAAACAGCAAGAAATTTGGGAATAAAAACCAAGCGAAGTGAGAGACATTCAAGGAGAGAGTGGTGAATCAAGATGAGGACTAAATAAAATATTGCTTATAATATTTGGTGATCAGAATTTGTTTTTAGGATTATCAAGTGTGTTGTTATTGGAGCTAGACAGGCAGCTATAAAGCCTGTTGTAAAGTGCATGGGACAGAAAAGAATCAGAAGTTATAGCACAGACTACTTTTAAAATATTTTTTTCTTATAAAGAAGAAAGAACTATATGGTGGTAACCAGATAAGAAAGCACATGGAAACGGGTGATTTCTTCTCGTGAAATTTAATGAAACCAAACATTTTACCCTTAAAATACAGCATTTACTCTATTTCATGCAAGTCACTAAGAATTCTCCCTGACCTTGCCGTAAGAAGGAAGGGGCACCTGTAGGTACTACTGCTAAGGATCAGCAGGGACAATCTCACTCAAACCCACAGGACACAAGAAATCTTACGAGCTAAACAGAATTGACTGAAAGTCAAGTGCAATGTTAAAAAATCCCAGAAAGCCATAAGGCATTCTGCGAAGTCATCAAACTGAAAGGATAAAGAAAGCAGTGATACAGTCAGAAATATCCCCCAAAAGCAAGAGACTTGACAGTTAGAAAGGGTCCTTTCTACACGAAAATAACTAGAGTAGAGTCATTAATGGCCTATTTTTATTTTCTGTCCTAATATATGAAGAATGGCTAGTTTGCAAAGGAAGAATAAATACCCTAGTGATAAAAAAAATTACAAAGTATGGAATTAGAGAAACCTGGGTGTGACCTTCCAGTTGTGTGGTTAAGGGTATGATTTTAGATAAGGCATGAAATGTTTCTTAACTCGGTTTTTTTTTGTTACTTTATTAAATGGGCAACAATGGCTACTCTTAAGACTGTAGAGAGGACTAAGACAATAAATCCAAAGTTTTTGGCATGTAACACACGCCTAAGAGATAATAAAGTTATTCTTGATAGAGTCCTAGATTAGAAGTAGTGAGATGGGTTCATAAAATTGACCCTTGGTTTTTGAAACTAAAAATAGTTTTCCATTTCCAAAAAATATATATCGTGTAAATATCACTAGTAACACGTATAACAACATTTTTTTCCCCTGAGGCAAAGTTAAGGCAAAAGATAATTTCAGAGCCTTAAATATCTCTTGCCTAGAGCTCCTTCTTCAACCATTCCTCAACAACTATAGCGAGATCTGTCCTCTGTGTCTAAAATTTTCATAACTAGTAATTGTGAAACTAGTGGTCCAAAGCAAATGAAGAATAACTGCCTTGATATATGTATATGCACGACAATGAACACAGCAAATCCTGAGAAAGAAAGAATGGATTGGAACAGAGAAAAATAAATCCTCCTGAGAACTACATCTTCTTCTTATTTAGAACTCCTGTCCTTACTTCACATATGCAGAACCAGCTCAAAGTCCGGATGTAAGCCAGCCATGCCCCTTACTCTGCTGTGAATATCATTCCCCCCAACAGTAGTCTCAGACTCTTCATTTCTCCATGTGGAAAATGTTGCCAAGTCACACAATACCTAGTACACAGCACTAAAGTCATTTTTTAAAAAGCTTTTAAGTTCAAGGGTGAAAGTGCAGGTTTGTTACATAGGTAAACTTCTGTCATGGGGGTTTGTTGTACAGATGATTTCATTGCCCAGGTATTAAACCTAGTACACATTAGTTAATTTTCCTGATCCCCTCCCCTCTCCCACCCTACCCTCTCTGAAAGGCCCCAGTGTGTGTTGTTCCTCTCTATCCATCCATGTGTTCTCATCATTTAGCTCCCACAGTTTATCTAAAGATGTGTGCTTATAAATCTTCCTTCTCCCTTCTACTTCTGGCAAATAAAATATTCTTTTTGTTCATCTGCAGAAAGAAACAGAGTCCTCCTTCTCTCTCTCTCTTTTGTTTTTTTTTTCTTTTTTTTGAGAAGGAGTTTCACTTTTGTCGCTCAGGCTGGCGTGCAATGGTGCAATCTTGGCTCACTGCAATCTCTGCCTCCCAGGTTCAAGCGATTCTCCTGCCTCAGCCTCCCAAGTAGCTGGGATTACAGGTGTGCACCTCCATGCCTGGCTAATTTTTTTATTTATAGTAGAGGCAGGTTTCACCATGTTGGCCAGGCTGGTCTTTGATTCACATATCAAGGCATGTTACAAAACTATTTATGCAGAAATGGCACACGTGAGCTGCTGGCATGTAACCTGAATCCTAAATTGGTTGGGAGAAATAGAAATTGTGTACCATAGAATCAAAGACTTTTACCTTGACATTCACAGTGTGTCCCTTTTCATGTAGATGACATTATTTACTATTCATTGTCTCAAACACATTTCCGTGTATAAGTGAGAAGGTCCTAGTGCTTATTTGTCATAAGGTAAGTGAAGATGCTTCATGGGACAAAAGAAATCTGACAATGCAGCAAGATTTTTAAATTTTCTATTGTGGTAGGAGTTTTACTGATTATCACTAAAATAGGGAATGAAGTGGGTTTTGGGAAATCAGTTCCATTTACATTTATTCCACAAAAAAGATTTATATCTATATGCCACTCTTTCTTTGTGTATGCTAAGGTGTATGAAAGGAAGAAAATCCTCTGTGATTTGCATTAAGAACAGTAAAAAACAATATTGAAGGACTTCATCATAACCAGTAGGAGAACCTGGTCAAATTAAGCACATTTGTGATTCCCAGAACATTCTGAAGAGAAATACTTGAGTCATTCATTTGGTTCTAAGTACACCTGACAGAATTGCATCTGGGCATCTTCTCAGGGGAATCTTCTCTCCTTAAGTGCCCTTGAGTAAGATCTCTCTACAGTTAAGTGCCTGACATTATTAAGAATCTTAATTTTGTACTGACTTCTTGTATGCGCGGCATAAGATTTAGGCAAAAGTAACACTGCCTCTTTCAAAGTCAATTTGAAACACACATATATGAAGAATTTTTTAAAAAGTCAATAACTATTGTCATTCAGTAAAATCCTCAAAAGAAATGTAATAATACCAAGTCCTTCACCCACTTCATTTTGATTTGAATTTATCAGAAAAAGTTCTGAAATTAATATCTAACCATATAGTCAAGCTGTGCCAAATGATTGTAGATTAACCAGTGAAAATCTATTCACATTTTTTCAGTAGTGTGAGAGATACAGCAGCCAAAATCTACGGATTTGTGTTTGGTTTTTTGTTTGTTTGTTTGTTTTTTGAGACAGAGTCTCCGTCTTTTGCCCAGGCTGGAGTGCAGTGATGTGATCTCAGCTCACTGCAACCTCTGCCTTCCGGGTTCAAGTGATGCTCCTGCTTCAGACTCCTGAGAAGTTGGGATTACAGGTGCGCACCACCATGCCCAGCTAATTTTTGTATTTTTATTAGAGGCAGCTTTTCACCACGTTAGGCAGGCTGGTCTTGAACTCCTGACCTCAAGTGATGCCCCTGCCTTGGCCTCCCAAAGTGCTGGGATTACAAGTGTGAGTCACTGAGCCCGGCCAGCATTTTTATATACCTGCAAAAGACACTTTGAAATAACAAATAAGTTGTAATGACACAGTTGATAGAAACTGGAAAATGTATCCTTCCAATGTGGAGTAAAATAGCAAAACATGCTCGTAAAAGCACTAAATAAATAAGAAATATTAATGAAAAATATCTAACTGTAAATATCTTGAAGAAAATACTTAAAGTACAGTTTTAGGGATTGAACCTAAACTTCAAGTTTAAATGTTCCATAATATTTAAATTTATTTACAATATAAATTTATAAAACAAAATAGATATTCAGCGTGGAAATTCAGAACGGAAACATATACAAAGTTACTGGTGTTACTAATAAGTGCACGTGGTTTGCAACTGATTGCTCTTATGCAAACACTCACACGAACACATGTGAGGTCCCCTAGGAGTAATAGACCAGTCTCTGGCATCTGGGCAGATGGTGCTTATATTGCTGGCAGGTGATGAAGCTGAGGGAAGACACTTATCATCTTAAATCCCAGAGACCAACGCTTTCAACTTAAAAATGAAAATGTCCCAATTATAAATCCCTGAGGTGGGAAAGGCTGCAACACGAAAGCATTCTAAGCCATGCCTTTGTGTTGTATTGCAGTCAAGAGGAAATAAAGAGGTCCCCTTTGTTTAATAAGCAACTGAAAGTTTTTCTTTCATGCCTCTCATATTTCTTGGCATCACCATAACTGTTGCCATTTAATCAAGATTCCCTTTAAACTGGTGAATGCTAGCAGAATGTCTCAAGAGAGCTGATTTCCTTCACTTTCAAGTTCATTGTGACCACGAATGCATTAACCTGGGCTGCCTACATTTCTTCCTGTGCTGTCACATAAGATATACTCCACATAAAAATAAAGAACATCAACCTTGAAAGAGGAAAAAAAAAAAAAAGAAAGAAAGAAAAAACTACATTTAGCAACCCAGACTAGAATCTAAGCTCTGTCAAAGTGATTTCTTATTCCATTTTACTGAAGCAGTGCCAAGCTTTATCACTTCTGAGTTCATGTCTTACAGCTGAGGCAACCCACTTGAATTGGTAAGTTGCTTAAAGTATACACGCGCTGTTCACGTTGTCACTGATTTAAAATGAGAGAGGAGTTCTGCAGGTGGAATACAACTGAAATAGAGGAAATGGGAACTAGAAACATTAAACCATGCATAATTAATGGTTCTTTGTCTTGCTGGTCCTCTGGAACTCTTTTTATGAGTGTTATGCAGATGCCCTATAGCAGGAAGGGCAGTGCTGTCATTTGAATAGGGTTGGTTGTTCTCCACCAAAGTGCATTTTGAAATTTGATTCCCAGCATGTAGGTGTTGGGAGGTGGGGTCTAGTTGGGAGGTGTTTGGGTTGTGGGGGTGGATCCCTGATGGATGGCTTGGTGCTGTGATCCTAGTAGTGAGTTCCCACTCTCACAAGACTGGATTACTTCCCTTGGGAATGGATTTGTTCTTGTGAGAGTGGATTGTAATAGAGCCAGGGTGCCCCTCAGGTTTCCCTCTCTTCACATGAGTTCATTTCCCCTTTGGCCTTCACCATGTTGTGACACAGCACGAAAGCCCTTGCAAGAAACCAGGGCTATGGCCTTGAACTTCTCAGCCTGCAGAACCATGAGCTAAACTAATCTCTATTCTTTACTAATTACCCAGTCAAAGGTATTCCTTTAGAGCAACACAAAACAGACAGAGAGAGAGAGGCAGGATGCTTAGTGCTGAGGGTCCAACTTTGTATCATCCTACATTTTTCGTTCACATTGGCATCACAAATAGAAATGGAGAAAATAAGTATGATTGCTGCAGCTAAATCTGACAAACTGTCACCTACGTACACCATTTCTACACCATGTAATCTCACATAACGTCCACAAGTGTCCTGTGCCTATTAGCATTTTAAAGGGCTTTGTGGCCATCATACTCTCGCTTTGGAGCTAGGGATGTTTCATTATCCTCAATTAAAACTCTCTCAGAAGCAAGACTGGCAAGCATTTATTTATATATTTTCCTTAGAGGCAACATGGGAGGCATGGATTCTGTAAAGGAGGCAGGGTGCTCTTCTGTGCTGCATCAAGAAGCGATGCTGGTTTGGAATAATTCTCCTAATGTGAAGCTATCTCCATTAAAACATAAACCATAATTGTGGAAAGCAATTTGCTCAGGAGAACTAACAGGGTTTCTTATTGTGATTCAATAACAAGGGAGCATGGAGATGCAATGCTGAAAATGCTCCCCAAACTCTTTTAATTTTCTTGAAGTGTAATTTTCTTCTGTGAAACCAATGTGAAAAGCTGAAATCATTTCTATTATACTCAGAAGCAAGATGTATATACATTTCCTGTAAATTAACATTTTCCAACTTCAGTGAACTTAAACACTCTTCCATTTGTTTGTTTCAAAATGTGGATTAATAAAAACTTGAAACCATGACACTGCCGATAAACAGTGAAAGCAAATCCACAGCTAGGTCAAAAGCTGATGTACTTAAATTTCTAATCAGTTTTGTCATGCTTTATACAGCTGCTTCTCTTTCACTAACAATTGATTATAGTTCAATAATGATTATATACCAACATGAGAGGTTGATAAATATTAATAATATTTTAAAAATCAATAACATTATTAAGAGAATCTTTCCTATAGAATATGGTCAAAATCAATAATAGCATATAAATATATCAGATGCTGAGATATTGCATACTGTATGCTACTAAAGTCAAAATCAATAGTAACAATCAGGAGATCTATTATTTTATTACTTATACTTAACATAAGTAGATATTCGATCTGTACAATTCTATTTCTTTTATTAGGCATAACATGGATCAAGGAAACGAAAGGAGCCATAAATGGTTCTAATAAATTTATAAAAACATTTATTTGTTAAAAATTTGTAGCTAGCCCGTTTCTTTTTATAGCATTATCCACTAGTGAAGGACAAGAAATAGAAATATCTTTTTAAAAAAAATTTCTATTTTTAATCATAGTGCTCAATAGTGGCACATGCAATGGCTTGAGATCTGTGGTGCATCCAGGGGATAACAGATGCCTCAGAAGCATTACCACATCTTCCCCTCCCCTACCCCCAGCCCCGTGGGCTGCATTTTGTTGTGACTCCTGTGTGCTTTTCTAAGACGTGTTTGCTTCACAGCTGGTGAATGGACACTTTCCATCACTTCACCTCTTGGCAACAGATGCCTCTCAGTTAGGCACAGATGCTGAGTGTCCACCCATCCCTAACATTAGCCTTGCGTTCTGGACTAATTGGGCCAACAGAGTTGCAATTAAGATTTGAATAATTAGATAACGGACATGATTACTTTTGTAATTAATCCTCATACTGAGTCATCATGATCATGTCTGGGGTGATGACCACTGGCTTATACTTAATTCAAATAGAGGTAGTGAGTATTAAAAGCAAAGCATTAGCAAAAATACTCCCTCACTTCTCCTCTAGAAAAAATAAATATGACACTACATATAGACACACAATTTTCATTTTTCAAGTACATTTTACAGTGATCTGTTGGATGATGAGAACTCATTTCAATTTAATTCATGCCTCCATCTGTCTGTCTGTCTATCTATCTATCTATCTATCTATCTATCTATCTATCATCTATCTATCAATCGTCTATCCATCTTTTTTTCCCAAAGACTTCCACTTTGGCTTCTGCACTGTTTTGGAACTGTGACCTATATTTTAAAATGAGTGTTTTCTTTCCTTTTTCAAAAATTTACCATATCATAAAAACAAATACATATAAACAAACTGAAGTTGACCCCTCTCCCTTCTCTTGTCTACAAAAAAGCCACAGATGTTAGAATTTCTTATGGTTTGGCTGTGAGTTCCTCCTCTTGTCTCTACTCTTTCCACATACTGTCCATATCTGTGACTCCTAGAATGTCATCTGGTAGGAGTGTGTTGCGAAAAGACATCCAAAGCCAACAGTGCCAAGCAGACCTGCCAGAGCTCTTGTCTCTGCAGATCCCTCTCAGAAGCCTGTTGTCTTCAATTAATCTTCTCAATGAAAGGATCAATCAGCTCCGTAAATCAGGGTCTCAGACTCATCCCTGACTGCACACTCCCACAACTGGCGCATGCCAATCTGTTGCCAAATGAAGTTCACTTTTCTCTTTAAATGTTACTCAACTCCCACCACTATGTATTTCGCTCCATTGCCTCAATGTGGGAATATCGTGATATCTTTCTGAAGTAATGTAATAGTTTTCCTTTCCTATTCCTGTCCCATTCCAAACTTCCTTCTAAATTGGCACAGGCTTCTCTGTATGACTGTGTTCCTCCATCGCTGCATTTTAGCTGCTGTAGCTTCTCTCAATCCTAGGAATAAACCAACATCCCAAGTGTTACTACATGGACGCTTCCCTTTGCCTAGAACAGTCTTTCTTCCCTCTTCATCTAGTAAACTGCACATCCTCAGATCTCTGGCCATCAATTTTCCCAAGAGGTGTTTCTTGTCCCTCTAGACCAAGCCAAGCCCTTCCTTTATACTCTCTTACAGCCTCCTTCTCATTTCACTCTTAGCGCTTTCCTCACTTTGTAGTTATATGAGCTTTTTTGTTAATCATTTCAGCTCACAGATACACTGGATCGACCCAGTTTCTGACACACAAGAGACTCTATGCTCTTAAATTAATGAATGATAAATGGTGTCATATTGAAAATGGGTTAAACTGTGTGATTCAGCAACTAAGGATAAAAAGGTTTCAGAAGTAATTACTCAATATTTATTTATAAGTTGTCTATATACACCAATGGTCTTTAAAGAACAGATTCTTTCATATATGTGTTCATGTATGGCAAAATTAATACTCATGTTTTTTGTTTGTCTGTTTGCTTGAGACAGAGGCTTGGTCTGTCTCCCAGGCTGGAGCGCAGTGGCCTGATCTTGGCTCACAGCAACCTCTGCCTCCAGGATTCAAGTGATTCTCCTGACTCAGACTCCCCAGTAGCTAGGATTATAGGAGGGCCACCATGCCCAGCTAATTTTTGTTTTTTTGGTAGAGACAAGGCTTCACCATATTGGCCAGGGTGGTCTCAAACTCCTGGCCTCAAGTGATCTGCCTGCCTCAGCCTCCCAAAGTGCTAGGATTACAGGCATGAGTCACCATGCCTGGCAGTCAAATATTAATATGTGACTGACACAATACAGGTCTTTGAAGATATACACATAATTAATATGTAGTCTGGGCCTGCAAGGAACTTATAATCTCTCAAGTAATACAAATCTCTAAAGACAAAATTAGGAGCCATGACAAACTAATAAAATAATGAGTTAACGAGGCTGGTGGCTGGAAATGAGAGAGCATTTTCTGGTGAATGTAATGTCACGTTTGGGTTTCAAAGAGAGTAGGAATTAGCCAGACAAGTTACACAGATGTAGAAGAATAAGAAGGAGAAGAGCAGACACATTTAAGGCCCTATGGACAGCATGGATAAAAGTCACAGAGGTCCACAAGCACCATTAGGGGTGTGTGTGTGTACATTTGTGCACACAGGCTTATGCATGTGCCTACAAATTATTCACAGTGACTGAAAAGAAAAGAATGGTGAGAGGTAAGGAGGGGTGGGATAAGCTGGGGGATGTCAGAGTAGGCCTCTTATCCCAGAATAGACTGTGGCTCACTTTGTAGATAACAGAGAGCCATTTGAGATTTCATGTAGGTAAGTGGTAAGGTTATATTTGTATTTGAAACAGAACACAGCTGGGGAGGCTACACTTGAAAGGGAAGAGACTGGAGGCCAGAATATTGAAGAAGAGGCTGAGTCCAGGCAAGAATTTGCTATACTTGCCTGCATAGGCAAGAGTGAAGGCCTGTACTTAAGAGAGATGCAGTAGGTATGCAGACATGGCTACATAGTTAAGGAAGTCGGAAAAAAACTGAGATTTGTGATACTGGAATGGAGTGTGAAAAAAAAAAATCATAGTTTAGTAAGACACTCAGGTTACAAACATACATGCTGGAGAAAATTGCAATTTTAACAAATGTATTTTAGCTTCTCTGACTCATGAATCTGAGCCCTACATATGTCTTTTTGTTTGTTTTTGTTTGTTTGTTTGTTTTTGAATACTAAATGTTTTGAACACCAATTTGGATGGCTATAAAGTTTAATGTGAACTAAAGATATCATAACTTCTCAAATTCAGGCTTAATGCTTCTAGGAGTAAACATGTTCAGAATTCTAACCAAGAGCATAAGGAAATGTAATGACATAACTTTGTTAAAACTAGATTTCGATGTCATGTTTTTTGAAGCTATGAATGTTAGACGATGGGGAAACTCCCAGGTCTTTTCTGCTTTACATAACATGTAAGTATTTTTGTCTCTTTTTGCTGGTTACTTTCCTAGGCATTGAGGAGTACAGGTGAATTCATATATTACCTTTGGGGTAGGTTTTCACTTAGTGCTGAATGTCAACCTGTTCCTTGAATGGGCATAATTCAGAAAAAAAGCTAATTTGTGTGTTATTATCAGAGATTATAGTTCATTTTTTATTCTGGCTGTTGTCTTCTTTGAAACTTTTTTCTTTGTAGGTATACAAATTTGGATAAGCAGCCAGATGTATCAGGCAAATTCTTGGGGAGATCCATGTTTGCACAATTGTTGATGTAGTTGTTTTATAGAAGAAAAACCCACGAGGGTTGCTGAGTCATCAGACTCCACTGTACTCTTTCACTGCAGTAGAGAATATAGTAAGAACTTGGTTTGGCTCAGTACAACATACTAGCTCAGTGGTAGCCTACACAAGGTATTATTTAAGACTTACTAATACAATTGAATTTGTGTAGGATTATCTTCCTTTAATTTTCCTATTAAGAATAACTTAGGGACTGCAAGGGAGAAAAGAATGTTTTATTGAAATAAGTGGACATTATCATAGCCAATACTTACAAATGTTAGAATTTGGAAATGAAAATGAGGCTTCTATGATCAAAACCCAGGATGGAGTCTAGGGCTTTGTCTCTGACACCTCATTGGAGATGAGTCCTGTCCTCTGTGCTAGAAGATCTATTTTAGTGCAGTCCTGGTAGGAAAAGAAAGCTGGCCCCTAGCCAATGGTAAATAGGGGTTAACAGAGATGAGACATTCAGGTACCAGGCTTGTGAGCTAGAGAGGTGACACACTGCTTACTTAATGGTGTCTTATGTAACCTACCTCCCCCACTATTCTTTCTTTTCTTTTCTTTTTCTTTCTTCTTTTTTGTTTTTTTTTTTTTGTTTTTTTTTGTTTTTTGTTTTTGAGACCGAGTCTCACTCTGTCTCCCAGGCTAGAGTTCAGTGGCACAATTTCAGGTCACTGCAAGCTCTGCCTCCTGGGTTCAAGCGATTCTCCTGCCTCAGCCTCCCGAGTAGCTGGGATTACAAGCGTCCGCCCCCATGCCCGGCTAATTTTTGTATTTTTAGTAGAGACAGGGTTTCACCATGTTGGCCAGGCTGGTCTCGGACTCCTGACCTCAAGGGATCCGCCCAGCTCAGCCTCCTAAAATGCTGGGATTACAGGTGTGAGGCACCGTGACTGGCCTCCCCACTATTATTTCTTTACTTTATGAAAAAAACTTGCCACTTGGTCTGTCGGTGCAGTGTGGTCTTAATGAAAAGGCCAGGTTCAAGTTGTGAGTAAAAAAGAAATAAAAGGCAATATGTTATTCTTTCCCTGTAGCTACAATTTTGTGAGTAATGGGGACCACGGGCATGGGACAGTTTCACCCAGAGGAGCTGTGATCTCCCAAGAGACATCAGCAGTTGTGGTCTTGCCTGGCAGATGGCAGGAGGTCAGACAGGGAAATACAAGACTTTTTTTCTAAGAGTATAAGCGAGCACCTTGGGAGTTTCACAAACAGCCAGGAGAGAAATCAAGTGACTCAGGGGCAGCAATCAAGGCAGTGATCCTGAGCTATCGTAAAGGTGTCAGTTGATGAAAATAGGACCTGATGATATTATCCCAAGCCTAGAAATATGGGTTGCCATAGGTTCTTGATAAAAGTTAGTTTTCTGTCCTCTAGGTAAACAGAGGCTTTTTAAACTTGAAATTATTAGGGAGATTTGAGACCAAGATTGTAGCTAGAATCAGTGACAGGGCAATGTCAGTGAAATATTGGGACATGGGCTATCCAGTTGCTGAAATAATAATAACCTCCTCAGCAGTAGTGTGCTTGCTGTAAGCCAGGTGCTTCACTAAGCACATTTATTATAGTATCTCATTATATAACTACCTGTTAATATTGTCTGTGTTATGCTATGAAAGGAAATCAGAGCATTAAAGAGTGACAAAAATTGTCTAAAGCTACATAGGTAGTAAGTGGTAGACTCAGATTGAAATGTCAATGTGTTGAATTGTGAATGCCATTCTTTTAACCATTATGCCTTTCCAATTCTACTTTACAAACTTGGATGTGCTACCTGGTAACACTGTTAACGCTGGGAAAGCCAAAGGAAAAACAATTATTATTTTTCCTTTGAAAAATTGTTATTTGTCATTCATTAAGATGGGTGCTTTCTCATACTTTACCTCATTTAATTCTCAATACAATGAATAAGAAAATATAAAATGTGTATTTATACCTTTTAAACACACAGAAGCAAAGGATTCTCCAACTCTCACTCTATTGCCACCAAATTTATTTCTTATGGGGATTTCTCTTTCTCTACAATCTTCTGCAAAAGAGAGCATGTTTTGCCATTTTCTCTCCTTTATTTCTTGTTCCTAAATTTAGCTCAATATGAGGGAATAAAAGCCTGGTGTGAAAAACTCTTTTTTCCTAGGTGGCATCTCTCCTCCCTCTCTTTCTTTCTGTCTTTCATTTTCTCAGTTTCAACCTATTAGTAGTAATAATTTTTAAAAAGAGTCATATATACATATTAATCACAGAATTTAACCTAGATGTTTACATAGATTTAAATAAGAACGTTCTACACGTCTTCATTTCTCTATCCTATATTACAGAAGTTTTGGTAGAAATAGTGTGTGTATATTACAGTGTGTATGTATGTGGGTGTGTGTGCATATGTATGTATATCTCTGTCTATTCTATCTGCATGTAATTTTTTTTTTTTTGACAGAGTCTTGCTCTGTCGCCAGGCTTGAGTGTAGTGGCATGATCTCAGCTCACTGCAACCTCCGAATCCCGGGTTTAGGCGATTCTCTTGCCTCAGTCTCCCGAGTGGCTGGGAATACACGCACTACCCCGCCCAGCTAATGTTTGTATATTTAGTGGAGATGGGGTTTCACCATGTTGGCCAGGATGGTCTCGATCTCTCGACCTCATTATCTGCCCACCACGGCCTCCCAAAGTGCTGGGATTACAGGCATGAGCCACTTTGCCTGGCCTGTATGTAATCGTTTATTCATTTTACAGAGATCATTAGAATTTTCTCTCCTGCTTTCTCATGCACTCCATTCCAGGTGACATCCTATACACAAGCCACATATACAGTGAGAAACTGCCTACGCTGAGTTGACCTCAAGTAGGTAGAAGGCTTTACGCAGCTTCAAAAGTCCCTCATTTGCTCTCATCAAAAAAGGATATCTGCAAGGGGACTAGAGACATTTATTCTAACATGTGCATCAGGACTCAAACAACTTCTGAGGTGTCCTCAGGCACCCAGAGGGCTCTATTGTCCTACTTCTCCTTGTTGCCTGTGTTCTCCTTTCAATCTCAGCCTAAAGTTCTTGTGGCTTTGGGACATCACTGTAGCTCCTTGTTGGGTATTCTCTCCCTTTAATTATTTCATGTGATAGATCTTGCTTCTTTTCCCCAAGGAAAGGGATTCAGAGTGGGTCAGTCGAATTTCTTAATCCTCAATCAGACAAAAAAGTAGATCATGAAAAATAATTGATGGGTGTTAGGCTTAATATCTGGGTGATGAAACAATCTGTACAGCAAACTCTCATGATACAAGTTTACCTACATAAACCTGCACTTCTACTCCTGAACTTAAAATAAGAGTTAAAAAATAGATTATGATAAGATTTTCATTAATAAGAAACTGTTTGTTGCATTTCTAACACAGGGGCCTTCAATACCTCAACTTAAAGAATGGAAAGAATAGGCCGGGTGCAGCGGCTCATGCCTGTAATCCCAGCACTTTGGGAGGCCGAAGGGGGAGGATCATGAGGTCAGGAGATCGAGTCCATCCTGGCTAACACAGTGAAACCCCGTCTCTACTAAAAATACAAAAAAAATTAGCTGGGCGTGGTGGCAGGTGCCTGTAGTCCCAGCTACTTGGGAGGCTGAGGCAGGAGAATGGTGTGAACCTGGGAGGCGAGCTTGCAGTGAGCCAAGAGTGCACCACTGCACTCCAGCCTGGGCAACAGAGCGAGACACCATCTCAAAATAAATAAATAAATACATAAATAAACAAAAAAGAATGGAAAGAATATTGGCAAGGTAGATTTTGCCAGAGAGTATCAGTGAGATGCTTTTAAAGAGAAGCAGCTTTAAGCAGCATTGTTTCTTTTCTGATTAGTCAGCTCTTCTGTTTTATTCTAAATTAGCTTTCATTGCTTTTTGTGAAGATCAGGTATTGGTAAGGACTCCTTATTGCATTTTCCTAATCTGAAACTATGATGTTATTATCACTTGTTCCTAAAATACATCTATACCATAAAAAGTTTGGGGCAATTACTTTATTTCTGGCTCAATGTCTCCCAAGATGATCTCAAACACAAAATCATTACTGTTAATATTTATAAAGTCTCTCAAAAAGTATGGATTTTTCTAATTTATAAATTTGTATGCTTCTTGCAGAAAATCCTTAAACCTTTCTTATTTTTTTCTTTTCTTATGTATCAGTGTGAAATCAATTTGAAAGTTATTAAAAGGCTTTACATGGTGCTCTTCACTTGCAAATTGGTGGGACAACATTCATTATGATAAAAATAACAGTAAAATAAGTATGATTTTATTCACAACAATATTATTCTTAATCATATTTAAAAGAATAAAAAGATAATTTACTTATAATTACAACAAAGTTCTTAGCAAACCATGCAGAATAACTTTTTTCATTACTAAAATATCATAGTGTGTGTGTCTGGGTGAGTGTCTCTATGTAATTACCATCTGTGTCGGGGTGTTCATTTCTAGCACTTCAGTAGTCTCTCTTTTGTACTTCTGTCAGTCACCCCAAAAACGTACTGATAGTGTTGGCTAAATGAATAATGCAATAACACTTTTATTCTACTTGCATTTTATGTAATAACTAATAATGTTAAAAAAATGCTTCAGATTTATTTTACACACCAAATAAGCATATTGTATAAACATGTTACATACATGATAGTTATGTTATCTGACAATGTTAGAAACAGGCATTTCTGACACTCTTCAATATTTTTATTTTTATGTAGGAATCATAACAAATGCCTAAGGAACTTAATGTCTACAAAACTATTTCTGCTGTTTAAAAGATACCTAGCAACTGGAATGTTAAATTTGCTCTATTTGTATAAGTAGTTATGCTGTTGTCAGATTGAGATGAGTAACTCCAGGACCTATGAAAACTCTACTTTCTATTCCTATATGACTTCAACAATTCTGCTCTATCTAGTAAGTGATTTATGCACAAAACTCAAGGCAAGTATTTGAATACATCTTACACTTTCATTGGTAATGGCTTTATGTGGACAAAAATGCTATCAATTCTGAATTTTCCTTTCGGAATGCAAAACCTATGAAACATTTCAATAAATATAACACAAGCAGAATCACCCTCTTTACCAATCCTCAAGATTTTGAAATGTTTAACAAACCTGACATTTTTTATTTTTATTTATTTATTTAGTAAAAAAAGCAGATAGGAAAATTCGGCCTATTTTTTGTACTTAGTATGGGTCACTAGAGAGATAGAGAGAGTGAATGGTCTTTCAATAACCTCAAACTACAATGTGTTCAAAAGGGGAAATTGGAGAGGCACATGAACTTGAATTATGATTATAGAGAAAGTGCCAGAGCACCCAGCTCTGCACCTGGGAGTACAGAATTCTTAAAACGAGGAAATGCTTACTCAGATTCCTCCAAATATGGAACAAACCACTTGGGGAAGCAACACATTTTAACTTTACTGGTTCTTTTCAAAATAAGATCACCAAACTTCTTGAATAGGACACTAATACAACAGACACACAAACAAAACCAAAGACAATGAAGAGACTCTATGTTGATACATGTGTGGCTACTTAGTCATGAGGGTTAGATAACTCAGGAGTCTGTAAAAACTAGACTAGAAAAGACCAGGAGAGGCGTGAGGGTGGGAGATGGCCGGTAGCTTCCTAAGTTCATATGTTGTTTAAGACCAAGGGTAATATAAACACTATCACACAACAAGCTTTACTTTGTTAAAAGAATCAGTGTGAAGCATTCATAGCTTTAACTAAACTTTTGTGTTAACTGTTTTCATTCCCCGCTGCTTACCTCTGGGCTGAGTTCCTCTTTTCATGCCTGCAGATCAGAGCATAATTGGACCTGCTCTTTTTCCCTAAAATATTTTCAAGAACAAAATGGCTTAGCATCCCATAGAGAAAAACATTCCTGATGTTTAATTATACTTCTCAGTAGATGTAGAATTGTGGGATATTAAACCTGTTTACTTTTTGTTTGACAAGAGATATGTCTCTATTATTTTTCTATTATGTTCCCCCTTGGACACTAGTCACAACATTTTTCTTTGCATTCTTTTTCTCTCTGCCTTTTAGATGTTTGCCTTTAGGGGCGCTGACAAAAAACATTTTATTTGGTGGATCTGCATTAGAAATCACTTCTTTTCCTGACAAGCTATTTAAAATGTCACTTGTGCCTTGTGAAGGCTTTTAGAAAAATACAGAGACCTGGACCCAGATGACCCAAACTGTGTTTCTGCAAGGATTGCAATTTCCTTTTGAGGATTATGGTTCCAGGGAAGATTGCTTCTAAATATCTGTGAGAGAAATACTTTCCAGAATTATTGCTGTTGTTTACTCTATATTGATTTTTAGAGTATTTTACCTCACTTCATATAAAGGACAAATAATAAAATATCATTTAATTATTGTAATATTAAATATAACAGTGTAATTATTTCTCAAACACAAGAGATCAAAGTGTATCTCTTCAGGATGTGCTTTTTGACTACTGATTATCAAGTACAATATAGCCAATTTCAGTTGTTTGTTCTACCAATTACACTTCTCTGAAGATCAAAAAGCTGGAGAATAGGAATTAGTGTAGCTCCCCTATACTAATTATCATCCAGTTATGAAATACAAAGCTATAAGAGTGGTGCTTTTGAAGAAAATTGACGTGTGAGTTAAAATATGCATGTTCATTGATCACAAATGGATGAGAAATGTCACCCAGTTATTACACAGAAAAGAGCTGATTGAAAATAGGTGACTTTTACCAAACGTGTGTGAACAATTTCCACTGTTCATTAAAGTACAAGATATCTACATCATCCATAAGGTGGATATGATGTTGGAAATGCATTAAACAGATTTCAGTGGTTACTACCATGATAAGTGTTTTGAATTAATCTAATTGTTACTATACTTTGTGTTCTCTGACATTTCATCAAGGGGACATAGGGAAGCAAAATTCTTTTCAGAATGTCAGGAATTTAATTGCCCAAGTAGAAGGAAGAAGCATTGGCTTATGAATAAATAACTATGTTTTTAATTTGAAGAAGATCACCAACTATTCTTTTTACAAAGGATTTGGGCACATAAGTGCCTGTCACTGGGAATATAGTAGTGAATGACACAGGCATAGAACCTGCCATCAAAGAGTTTGAAGTGTGGCATTATTCAATGAAGTAATGAGTTCTGTGATTGGATTATAAGGGACATAGAGTGTGCTATGGAAACTGATAGAAAAAACATTTGAACTCCACTTGTAGGGGCCAAAAAACACTTGTATGAAATGTATCTTGAGTTCTGAAGGTCAATAGATCTAGTCAGACAAAAAGTCAACTTACTGTGACAGACAGCAAACATGAAATCTCAGACATAGGAACCAAATGATAGCAACCATGGCTGGGTCATAGACTGCTTGAGATTAAGAAAAAGCAGATATGATGCAGCATCCAAACCTCACGTTGAAATGGATGCAGCCATATTCACCATATAAAGATATGGAATCAACCTAAGTTTCCATATCTTAAGATATCTAAGATACAGAATCAATCCATCACAAAATGACTGGATAAAGAAATGTGGTGTATATACAAAATGGAATACTATTCACACATAAACAAGAATTAAATCATGTCTTTTGTGGCAACATGGATAGAACTGGAGGCCATTATCTTACGTGAAATAACTCAGAAACAGACAAATACCGCATGTTCTCACTTATAAGTAGCACTAAATAATGTGTACAAATGAACATAGAGTATGAAATGATACACACTGGAGACTCAGAGCTTGGGGGATGGAAAAGTGTGAGGGAGGATAAATAACTTAATGGGTACAATGTATATTATTTGAGTGATGGATACCCTAAAATGCCAGACTTCACCCTATGCAATATATATTGCATATAACAAAATTGTACTTGTACCCCTTAAATATATACAAAAAAATGGGTGTCCAGTGGGGGTTTTAATTATGTCTTTAAAAAGCAGGGAAACTACAAGAGAAGCCTTAACATGGGGGTAATAGGGCAAGCTTGTATTCAGAGATATCAATTTTCTGTCAGTATATGGCATTATCTTGTGTAGAAAAGGAATACGGTAATGCAGCCATAAGGCAAGTGACAGATGAAGGTGATAAGAACTGTGGGGAAACAACGAGGGAAAGCCAGGGGAGAGAAAGTTAGAAGGCAGGATTGAAAGGACCACATGTTAATTGGATCTGTGGGAAGTGACAAGTGGGAAGGCAAAGATGTTTGCTGGATTCCTAACTTGACACATTGGGTGGATTAGAGTGCCACTTACTGAGATGGTAAAGAGAGAAGACATAGAAAAGGTTTTGAGGCGAGATTAGGGAATGCACTGATATCTCCCTCCCTCTGCCCCTCCCTCCCTCTCTTTTCCTCCCTCCCTCCCTCCCTACTTTCCTTCCTTCCTTCCTTCCTTCCTTCCTTCCTTCCTTCCTTCCTTCTTTCAACATATAGTTACTACCTCTGTGACAGACACTGATCTAGGTGATGAGCCTGCAGCAGTAAACAAAGCAAGGTTCTCATCTTCACAGAGCTTACAGTCCCATTGGAGCAACCATCAGCAGGTAAGACAGTAAATCTGAGATGAACAATAAGGAGAAAGAGATAGGGTGGGTGATATTTTAGGTAGAATGGTAAGGGAAAACTGAAAAATTAGTTTCAGCTAATATTAGCGACAACAAGCTCTGCACAAAAGGGTCAGAGATTTTGCCAGAGTTAACCCTTAGTGTTCTATCTCTGAAATAAAAAGCTCAGAAGTTCTCCTTCTAAGAATGTCAATGGTGTTAAATTTAAATAGCTCAGTTTGACTTTGATTATCCAGCAAGAGTAGAGGCAAAAAAGTGGCCTTTTCTGTTAGGTCGCAGTCAGGAGGTGGGAGGATGTGAACACTTCTCCACGTCAGTACTAGCAGATATGGCCATCCATATTCTTCACTTTTCCTGAACTCTGAAACTGAAATACATTCATTCATCTAATCCTGCAATACAGAACCCCTGAAAATCACCTATGGATTTATAACTTTGCCAAATTTATGCTCATTCAACTTTATTTGGTTCAAAGCTCTACACGCGAACTTTCATATATTCTTGGCACAGCATTTAGGTAAGTGACTTTCTCTCCCTTCAACTCCACTAAAACTTATTTTCTCCTATAGTATACATATTTTTGTTTTTCATGTGCCTTTTTAAATTTTTTAAAATTTATTTTTTAATTGACACATAATAATTGTGCATAATTATGGGAAACAGTGTGATGTTTCAACATAGGTATACGATGTGTAATAATCAAGTTAGGGCAATTAGCATATCCATCATTTCAGAAATTTATCATTTGTTTGTGGTGAGAGCATTCAAAATTTTCTCTTGTAGCTATTTTGAAATATATGTTATATTAACTATAGTCACCATGCTGTGCAATGGAATACTAAAACTTATTTCTCCTATCTAACTGTAACTTTGACCAATTTGTTTCTATACATCTTTTTCCCTCCCCCTGCCACAGCCTCTGCTAACCTCTAATCTACTCTCTACTTCTATGGGATCATCTTTTTCAGATACCGCATATGAGTGCAATCATGAGGTATTTGTCATTCTGTGCCTGGCTTATTTCACTTAACATACTGTCCTCCAGGCTCATCCAAGTTGCTACAAATTACAGAATCTCATTCTATTTTATGGCTGAATAGTATTCTACTGTGTATATATACCACACTTTCCTTGTCCACTCATCTGCTGATGGACACTTAGGTTGATGCCATATCTTGGCTGTTGTACATAGTGCTGCAATAAATGTGGGAGTGCAGACATCTCTTTGACATACTGATGTTATTTCCTTTGGATACAGACCCAGCAATGGCATTTTGGGATCATATGGTGGTTCTATTTTTAATATTTTGAGAAACCTTCCTACTCTTGCCTATAATGACTGTACGAGTTTACATTCTCACCAACAGCAATATGAATTCCCTTTTCTCCACATCCTTGCCAGCACTTGTTACTTTTTGCTTTTTTGATAATAGCCATTCTAACTGAGGTGAGATGATATCTCACTGTGTTTGTAATTTACATTTCCCTGAAGATTAGTGATGTTGAGCATTTTTTCATGTGCCTGTTGGCCATTGTATGTCCCCCTTTTGAGAAATTCTATTCGGATTGTGGGATAAGAACTCAAACACACAGATTTAGAAGCAAAAATAGATAAATGGGATTACATCAAAATAAAAAGCTTCTTCATAGCAAAGGAAACAATCCACAGCGCAAAGAGACAACTGACAGAATGGGAGAACATATCTATAAACTATGCATCTGACAAGGGGTTAATATCCAGAATCTATAAGGAACTCAAACAACTCAATGAAATAGAAACATAGAATTCACGTGTTTTTGTTTTGTTTTGTTTTGTTTTTTGTTTTTTGAGACGGAGTCTCCCTCTGTCGCCCAGGCTGGCGTGCAGTGGCGCGATCTCAGCTCACTGCAAGCTCCGCCTCACCGGTTCACGCCGTTCTCCCGCCTCAGCCTTTGCAAGCTCCACCTCACGGGTTCACGCCATTCTCCTGCCTTAGCCTCCCGAGTAGCTGGGACTACAGGCACCCGTCACCACGCTCGGCTAGTTTTTTGTATTTTTAGTAGAGACGGGGGTTTCACTGTGTTAGCCAGGATGGTCTTGATCTCCTGACCTCATGATCCACCCGCCTCGGCCTCCCGAAGTGCTGGGATTACAGGTGTGAGCCACCGCGCCCAGCCCAATTCACGTGTATTTTTTTAAGTAGCTAATAACATGTATTTCTATTTGAAGTAGTAAAAAATAAAATGTAAAATTCAGACTAGAGCAGCAATAAATCTAGCTTGCCCTTCTGAAAATTCTTTAATGAGTTCTCATTATTCCTGGGTTAAAGTTCGCACCTCTTACACAGGCATCAATGAAGCTGCTCTTTTTTACATATTCACCACTCCATTGTCATGTTCTATCAAACTAATGTGGTGCTGGAGGGTGTCAGGAATGCACCCAACATATCTCTGTGCTTTTAGCACATAGTGTGATTTCCATTAGGAGCTAATGGTCTCTCTTTTCCTGTCTGTCTAAATTCAAGCTATTCTTTAATTTACAGATAAGGGAATTCCTCTTGGCCTCTCTGTTTAAGTCAGGAGCTATTTTTTGTGCATTGACAGCAGTCTGTACATATGTTCCATGATGGCAGACCACAAGCATTGTGACTACTCGTTCTTTAGTTCCCCTCTCCCACCATCAGGCTGAGCATATTATGCATAGGAACTAGGCCTTGTCAACATGTATCCCTAGCACCTAGCACAGCACCTAACACTTAAGAGGTACACAATAGTTACTGAGTAAATTCAATGGATGAATGTCAATGAACAAATATGGTTGAATCTTACACATTAAGATTTTATAATGTGTTAAAACGTTAACAACAAAAGCAAAAGCAATTGCCTCAATTCTAATACAACAGCCACAGAAATTAATTTGGAATATTCACTCAATCTTGGTCAACAATATTTTCTGAGGATAAACTCTGTAACAGACACTATCTTAGGTACTGAGTTGCAGCTTTGAATAAAAGAAACAAAAAGCCTGCCTTCATAGAGCTCACATTCTAATAATGGGGAGTGGGGAGAAAAACAATAATCAAATAAATTTAAAAGAATACGGTTGATAAGATTTTAAACATTACAGAAGAAAATAATAGAGAAGAGTAATAGGAAATTATGGGGGCAGGTTTGTAATTTTTAATTTATATTACCATAATGATGGTAATATAAATTATCCAAAATTTATATCTATATTAATGAAATATATTTCCCTCTATTGTTTATAGATTTTGGCAATAAGAAAGAAATATGGCAGTTGAGATTAGAAAGGGAGAAAAGTTTAAATAAAGAAGAGAGATGAAATCAATATCCTTGTAATTCAGTTTTGGGAGAGAAGAAAGTTGAACTGACAAAGAAGAAAGTCTTAAGGCTACATTGCTAGAATACAGAGAACTGAGATGTTACCAGAGAAGTCAGCATTTTCTGATAAGTTTTGAACTTCAGTATGGAGTTATCTTGGGCAATGCTATAGCCAAAAACTTCTAGATATTGGGAAGGGAGACTGGAGAAGCAATGAACACCCTGTCCCTCTTAATTGCAAGGAATTAAATATGTCAGCGATACTTACCTAAATATTTTGCTTTCTAAGACATCCAACTATTCTATGTCCAAAATAGTTATGTAGAAATCAACAATAGATTAAATATACACACAAAATTTTATATTATATATTAAATATAATATACATATTTCTCAATTTTGACCTGGTTCAGAATTTTTCATCACCTTCCTGAGATGGGAAAAGCTTCTCAAGAAGGTTGATCAACATCTGATTCAGGTGAGCTAGGCAGTGAGTCTCATCCTGTGAAACGTCCTCCAGTAGACACTCGTCCACCCATGGCAGCCATGGGGCAGAGTAGGGGGCAGTGGTGATATGAGAGCAGCATTTCTCATCACCAGTAGCATCAACCTCTCTGGCAGGTTGTTAGAAATGCAGAATCTTGAGGCACACTCTAAAACCTCTAAAAAAGATCCCCAGGTAACTTGCGTGCCTGTTCTTAAGGTTTGAGAGTTGCTGGTCGACAGCAGCAGTGTCCAACTGGGGCTACATAATAGAGTTACCTGGGAAATTTTTTTTTTAAATCCCAATAATTAGGCCACATTCTTATATATTCTGTTTTTGTCAGAATCAACTGTATATGTCTCAAACTGTGGTTCCTGGTTTCTTTTCTACAACTGAAAGAAATCTACCAAAGTTTTGACCTACTAAACCCACTAAGGTTTGACTTGTGAAATCAGCACTCCAGGAATGAGACCCAGGAATCTGCTTCTTTATTTAAGTCACATAGCAGTTGATTCCTATATGTACCAAAATATAAGGTGTGGCTTGGAGGATGAAAAATAATGGATTCCACTGTAAAAAAAAAAAAAAAAAGAGTTTCTCTATGTTTATTATTTGAATCAATATGCAAAGTATGCAATGGAATACTTTTGCATATATACACTGGTAGTTGATAACTTTGTCAAAATTTATAATTAGAGGTTTTAAATACCATAGAAAAATATGGATGAATTAGTGAGTGTGAGGAAATAAAAATACTGAGTCTCTCCAGAGACAGACATTTAGATAGTTATCTTCAAGACATTTAAAAATATTCTACCACGGTCCGGCGTGTTGGCTCACACCTGTAATCCCAGCACTTTGGGAGGCGGAGGTGGATGGATCACGAGGTCAGGAGATCCAGACCATCCTGGCTAACACGGTGAAACCCTGTCTCTACTAAAAATACAAAAAAAAAAAAAAAAAATTAGCCGGTCATGGTTGCAGGCGCCTGTAGTCCCAGCTACGCGGGAGGCTGAGGCAGGAGAATGGCGTGAACCCGGCAGGCGGAGCTTGCAGTGAGCCGAGATCGCGCCACTGCACTCCAGCCTGGGCGACAGAGCGAGACTCCGTCTCAAAAAAAAAAAAAAAAAAGACTGCCTCAAAAAAAAAAAAAGAAAAAGAAAAAAAATTCTACCAAATATTCATTATGCTGATAATAAAAAAATCATGCAAGATGAATGTTTCTCTTCTAAAGAAGCAGTCAGCAAACTTTTTCTGTGAAAGACAAAATGGCCAATATTTTTAGCTTTTCAGGCTCTACAATCTTTTTCTGCTCTACTATTCAACTCTGGCTTTGTGGCTTGCAATCAGCCATTGACAAGATGGAAATGAATAGCTGTGGCTGTATTCCAACCAAACTCTATTTACAAAAACAAATCATGGGCTATTTTTCTGGCCCCTGTAATACCAAGTTAGATTGTTGACTACCAGTGGTCAAATGGAACTTCTTTTTCAAGACTTGTTCAATTCCTTTCAATGTACGTAAGAAAGAGTCAAAGAATTCAGTTGCTAATTTAGTCCTCATGACAAATAGGATGGTTTCTCTAAAATGGCTCCTAAGTTACATTCTTTTAAGAAACATCCACTTCATCTGTGTAAATCCAACAGGACCCCCAAAAAAGAGTATGCCCCAAAATTCAAAATGTACTTATATAAACACAGTGTTATGAAATTGTTCCTGGAAGTTTTGCAAGATCCACGTGTTCATTGTTGCTTAGGAGAGAAAAGATCTCTAATTTTTGCTACTTTACAGGTAAGGTGACAGCTAATAATAAGGTTCTCTATTTATAATAACAACTATCATTTTCTGAGGACCTGAGCAATTGTGGATATATCAATTCCCTCCTTTATTTCTCAGAACACTACAATAGGATAGGTACTGTGATTGGCTCAATTTTAAATAACATAAAAACAAAGTTTAGACACCTTAACTGACTTGTCCAAGGCCACAGAGCTAGAAAATGCCCTCAGCTGGATTTGAACCAGGTAGTTGAACCTAGAACACGTACAGCCACTAAACATTACTGCCCTATCCATTGTCTACCAGAACTATGAACATGTAAGATACTGAGTTAGTTGTAATATTTTCATTTGTAAGGGAAATAGATGTGCTCAATTTGAATGGATTAACAGGACTAAAACTACAGAGAAAAATGTGAATGTGAAAAATGGGGAAGTCTCACCACTGCATGGTATGCCTGGAATACGATACGGGATATCAACCCAGGATAACACAGTACTTCCTCTGAGAAGCACTCTTTTCTTCTTGCGCTTAGCTATTAGGGTAAGTTAGAAAATGTGTCTGTTCTTACTGACCTAATGCAATTAACCTCTTTTCTTTCTTTTCTACTGGCCTCATTACTGCAGCTTATTCATGATTTCCACAGACTGTCCTTTCTATGTTTCTCAACTTCTTTTCCTGGCCACTAACTGCTGAGGCTCCACATGGTATTTCAAATTTAAGATAACCAAGTCAAATATTTGTTATTTCACACAGAACATTTTTATTGGCATGGTTCTCCTGGAAGGCCACATGGTGGCCATTGGCCAGTCTAGAGAGGGCTCTCTTAGACCTTGGCACATTCATTTCTCATCAAATCTACTGCGGCCAGTAGAGCCTAGACACATGGTCATATTTTCTTGGTGGAAACACCTATGCATTGTGAACTGTTACCATTACAAGCTCTTCTACAATATTGTTCTTTATAGATAATATTCATTCTTTTGGAATAGTAATACAGGAGGTAATGTGTACATATACTTTGTTTTTTCTGTTATTCTTATACACAATTAGGATAAGCCAACCATTTTCCAACAACCTAGAGAATTGAAAGTACGCTGGTTGGTTGTTGGAGATTATACACATATATGCCTTGAACATATTTCTAGTCATTGTGGAACCTGTTATTTACAGTATCTGGTACAACGTCATCTCTTTCCAGATTTGGGAACATGTTGGAACACAATAAATTATCATATTTTATAACCATACAACCTAACTTCTAGTTACCATCTTAGCACATCATTGGATATGACAGCTAATCATATTAAATTTTCCAGGTCACCTCTAATCTTATAACATCCCTCCCTTCTTGTCACAGGATTAGATCAAATATTAATTGAAAAATATTACCACAATATCAACACGATTAGCTACACCAAACCTCTGTGGACATATGGGAAAGTTTATGTAAAGTCAGCATAGCAAATAGGCTGCTGAATATGTAAGTCTGTTTTTTCTGAAGTCCACTTCCAACATTCAATTCCAACAGTTAGTTTCTCTACCTTTTCTAATATTGTGAATATCTTTCACTATTAACCTGAGTTCCCTTAACTTCCTTTTAATCGCATTTCAATACAATTAACACTGAATTTATATCTCTACATTTTATTTTATTTTATCCTGAGAGTGTGTCAACCTCTCTTGGAAAGATGTATATGTTACAAATACTAAATTTCAGTAGAGACTTTGCTTACAGTAGAGTGCTTTTTCTGTCAGTAGTAATCAGAATTAGCTGGAAGCAAAGACTTGCACACTAACCTCTTTCAGAAACTAAAAGAACAAAGTACATGCTGGTTTCCAATACTGGTGGTGATGGAATTTACAAAATCATTTATTTTGTGTAAACAAGAGTTAACCTGTTCTAAAGGTAATATGATTACTCTGTACTATCTTAAAAATAGTCTTACAATATTCATGAGTATCATGTCAAGTGCTGGAAACAGTCACCATATATGAGGTAACAAAAAGGTATGGTATAGAGTGTATGAGTTTTAAACACAGCCAGATCTGAATTTTAGTTATAGGTTCATTACTGTGTGCCCTTGGCCCAGTTACATATGCTCTCTCAGATTCCAGCTTTCCTTCTGGAAAATGAGGGCAAATAACATCCATGTTAACATTTCAACTTTCATATGTTTTTATATTTATCATTTATTCATATATAAAAAGTTTATAACTCAGCTATCTGAGTTGAGGAAGCATGTGAGCTAGATTAGATACTGCCTATCTCTAGTGTCTTTTATTGAACATATTACTTATTGAGGAGCAAGTTATAGAAGAACTTGAAGCAAGTTTTGTAAAGTTTTAAAAGATTATTTTATTTAAATTTTGAGACTTCCTACTCTAAGTGAGGTTATCCTATGAGATGTTTTCCCATCTTACAGAAGAAATAAACTACCCTCAATCAAATGAAAAATGGAATTCAATATAGATTAAGGAGGCAGATGCTAAGTAAAATAAACTGTTACTAATTCTCAGTTGAACCCAAGATTTTCTTCATCCTCTTATCAGTATATTGCAAATTCAGACAACTATGACAATGGTAAGACTCCTTTAAGCAATTGCATTTTTAATTTTTTAAATTAAATTTGTATTTTAAGTTCAGGGGTACATATGGTGGTTTGTTATATAAGTAAACATGTGTATTGGGGATTTGTTGTTTTTTGAATGAGAACTACAATTCCCTCAATTTTTAAACATAGATATTTCATTAGACAGTAAACACAACCTTCAATGGACGTACTCTGGTCAGACACTTCAGTGGTCAATACATCCAACAAAAAAGTTCATTGGGTCTGATGCCACCATCAATTCTGAAGTTGGCACAAGGATAGAGATGTTTTCAGCGACATGCAAGTTCGCTAGTAGCAAGTGTGTGTCCCTGTTTGGTTAATGTTGCCTCTTTCTGTTTATCAAGTTTGCTTAAAAAAAAAAAAAAAAAGAAGCCAAAGACCCAGGGACAATCACTGTAGTCAACACATTCTTCTCTCAATTATCTTTAATTCTATTGAGAAATCATCTCCCCAGGGAAAAGAGATAGACGTCTCAGAACAAGAGAAGTAGATAAAAGTCTTCAGGCTTTAGCTACAAACATACTGGTAGCCAAGTACACATCAGCCTTTGGGAACCTTGAAAATAGTTTACTCCTCTGGAAGAAGCAGTAACATCGACATCAGCCTGAAAAGCTCTCCAGAGAATTTCAGAATGATAGCCAATTATTAGAAAGTGTTCTGACATCTTTATAAAATGTCCCATCTCAAGAGATCCATAGAAGAAAAGGGAAGTCAGCACTTCAGGAAATACGAGTGCTCACTCTGAAAAGCACACTTGAGATACCATTATAAATCTTTATACAAAAGCAGCTAGATATTTACATTTTGCTTTAACAATAGAAATTAATTGTTAAAAATCAACCTGTTTCAGTATTATATGTGATATTTTAAATAATGTTTATTTCATTATTTGAAAACTTTTATGTCATACAGTATCAAGGTAAGTGATTGCTATTCTTCAGTATTTAGAGTGCAGACTAATAGATCACATAATTATAGTGATATAATTATTTAATTACTCTTAATTACATAAAAATTTATCATAATATGGAGTAAAACCATCAGGCATGTATGCGCTTAGTAAGGTAGAAAAGAAAAAGTTCAGGTAATTAAACTTTGGAAAAAAGTTGCTTACAATACCTTTCTAGATATTTTTAACAAGCTTACAAGAAAATGGGTAAAAAAGAATTAATATGGAATGGTTTAATCTGAATTACCTGGATAATTGCCCTAAGTGATATAGGAAATGTAAGCTTCACTTCGATTCATTATATCTTAATAATAAAAATGAAATAAAACATAAAAAAGATTTTTTTACAAACACATAATCTCTTATTGAAGAATTCTTTCAAAAACAAGCATTTTAGAAAGCACTTAATTTTCCTTTGCTTTCTTTTTTTATTCATGTCATAAAAGAAATCCACTTCTGTTGAATAAGGACTATAAATTATATGAATGGTATAATAAGTCTTCTAGTTTCATTTTTCTTAATACTTGCATCAGAAACTATAACATTTAAGTTTTAAGTTCCAAATGGATACTATTAAAATATTCAGGGATTTAGTCCTAAATCCTTAAACCAAAAGGGAGCTCAGGAATATTGCTAAAGTAGAAAGCTGCACAAAATCTCAACTCGCATTTGCAAATTTTCTTTCCATCTGATTTAACTTTGAAGCTTTCAGACTCAGATTTTACTATATGACATCAACAAATCACTTCAATCAAAATCAATTTACCTTGGCAATGCACAACCCTTCCAGATAGATTATTAAAAAGGTAAAATGAGAAATTAACTATCTTTTCATGTTCCCTTTTATTTTCTCTGGATACAAGGCAGAATGAATGTATTTCAAAAGAAATTGCCCTGAGATATCATTATCTCCAACGCCGTTTTTACTCCAGGAAACTTGCTTATAAATTAAGCTTTTCCTGACACAGTCACTTGCTGCAGTGCAGAATGTCAGTTTAGTCAGTTAGAACTTTCAATGCAGAAATTCAGTGCCATGCAGTCACCCGGATAAAGCAGCACTTACCTTAATTGAAATTTTCTCTGTGAACGAGGTGAGAAATCCGTCAAATCAACCGTGATGGGGTGGGGAGATCGAAGTTTTCAATCAACACCCTCTAAGTAGCTGCATCCTGTGCTCCTTTTCCCTGTTATGTTGAGCTCCTCACTGTCTAAGGAGAGAAAAACATCAGCTGAAATCCTCCGAGGTTCCCAGTGAGTAAATGAGGACTAAGCGATGTTTCTGAACGGGAGATTCTCCGTGAGCGTGCTCCGTTTGGAGGCTCCCTAACACTCTTGGCAGGTCCCTGGAGCCAGGCGCTAATCATTGACCTGATTAGCAAGAACGCTCCGGGTGCGCAGGCAACACACGCCGAGGGTTGGTGGGTCTCCCGGGAACTGGAAAAGGCACCAAGGCCACTTGGGAATCTTGTCTTTTCCAGCCTAATGGATGAACTACAACTATGATTATAATTTGCAAGGAGATTAGCTGCCGTGCTAGCCATCGCAGGACTTAAACAAATGTGCTTTCTCCTGCTGTTTTTCAAGGTGCCTTCGTGTAAGATATTAGGTACAGTGAAACAATTAATAGACTGATAGAGCTGACTTGTAAGACAAGCTTAAAGCTGAAAAATGTTTAAAGCGATGTGATCAAAGAGATAGCTGCACTTGTCCCTGACGCTCGCCTGCTACATACTTCAACCTTTGTCGAAGTAAAATGAATTTAAAGGTTTATTACAGCCCTCCAGAGTGCAACTCTCTGAATTTATAAAAAGGAAGTATTCATACTAAATAAGCATATTTGGCAGATTGCTACAGACACAAGCACTCAAACCACGGCATGAACACAGCCTTGCTTGTGTAGTTTTCCAAACGGCATTTTCAATTAGCATTAAACTTGCAAAAAATGTTTGCATTGTACCATTAACCAGAGTAACGTAGGAGAATACAGCACTACACCTAACCGAATCATCTCTTTGATTATCTGTTGAAACACTGATTTACTAAAACAAAAACAAACAAGCATATGAGAGGATCGAAAATATCTAACAACTTTTTAAACGTAGTTATGTGCCGTTACCAACCTGCTGGTCCCCATCCGTCATCCGCTCTTTCTGCCACTGATCACCTTCTCAGCACTTCCTCATCAAGTTCCTAGTTCCCTGAAGAGATCTAACTCTCTGGAAAAGGTCACATAACTGAATGCCAAAGCCCCAAATGGTTAATTTTTGACAGCTCTCACTTTTGCAGGAGAAAATTATGCAAATAACATAAAAAGAACAGATGAAAAAAGTAATTTGCATGTCTTGAGGGTGAGAAAATTCTCATTGCCAGAGAGAAAGCTGACGACTGTCCTCTCACAATGATCCTGAGTGATATGTTCAGCACTTTTGTTTTTTTCCAGTGGGCCTCACTTGGGACATATGGCATTTCCTTGATGTGTGTGTGCGTGTGTGGGTGGGTGCGTGTGCTTGCGTGTGTGTGTGAGAAAGAGAGAGAGGAAGAGCGAGAAGCTATATTTACATTGTGATATTTATATATATCTTAGAAAACCCTCAAATTTCAGTAGGCGAATGCACTAAGTATAAATAATAGAGAATCCGTTTGCCTTATACATTCCCAAATATATTTTTAAAGTATCTCATTAAAATACAAGCTCTTGGTGAAACTTTTTGGACAAAGTAAAACTTCAGGGTAACTGAATTGCTGTTACTAAGGCAGGTACTCATCCTACTCTGAAAACGGAGACGGCCCTGCAGGAGACCCAGGAGGTGGGGCTGTAGCCTCCCATGCAGAGGTCTCTTGCTCCCTCAGCTGGTGGAGGGTGACAGCCGAATGTGAAGAAACCCAGTCAACCACTTCAGGAGAGGGAGAACAATTTTTGCTGCTGTAAAGCAGGAAACCCATTGTCCAATTTTAGATTGGCATGAGAGTGTTATAGTAGAAAAGAGGCTGCTTACATCGAAGTAAATGCACCTTGAGCATAAATTGTAAAAATAAGAAAATGTAACTGCTAATTTCTCCTGAGAGGGTTCCAACTAGTCTTTAACACAATACTTGTAAATAACAGTGGGATAGATTCCAGGGCTCTAATGTGTAGTTGGTCATGCAATTAAAGCACTCCGTTTCTCATATTGGTCTAAGTCCCATTCTGAGGATCTTAAATTGTGAACTATTTTTAAAACTTATTAAAACATTAAGACACGGCTTATTTTCCTGAACCCTGCCAGCCAACCTGCAATCATCATCACCAACTAAAACAGGTGCACACGAAACTCTGTGCCATAGTAGATGGGTTCTATCTGGAAACTCCAACTCCATGAGACTGCCCTGATGACATTTCCAAATAATCAGCCTTTCTGTTCTCATAAAATCCAGAGGTCTTTCAAAACCCTGAATGGTTTCTACAGAGAGTATGATGACTCTTCAGTAGTTTTTTTAACCTGTGTTGGAACACTAATTGATTTTATGTGAAACTACACACATGAAGAACAAAGCAAAATAAGACCATTTTGTTGGAGGAGTGAGGGGAGACCGTAGTCACATGAAAATAACAGGTACTGTCTATTACATGCTTGCTATGTAGTAAGTGACTGGCATGCACTTCAGCTATAGCTATCCATGAACCCCTTAGTCCAATTCTATTAAGCAGACATTATAATATTTTATTTTTTTAATTAATTAAGTTAGGGCTCTGAGAAGTTAAGCAAATTTGCCAATGTTGCATAGTCAGTACAGAAGAAACCCACCACTAAAAGTCAGGTTACTGTAACTATAAAATTAACAAATATTTGGAAGTTCCCAAATGTTAAAACTGATCAAAATCCCTACTTCCAACAGAATGGGAACATTTTCTAGATTTTATGATTAACAAAAATCATTTTCACATCTTTAAAAACCATTTTATAACTGATAAACTATTGTAACAGTTCTGCTATTAAAAGTTATGTATGATTTAGCAGAAAAAAATTCACAAAAAAAACTTTAGGCTAAAAAATAGATTCCATCCAGAGCTTCCAAATATATAATTCCATTAGCACAAATTACTCAATTTCAAATTTTTAAAAATCCCTTCTGCAATTCATTTGCTCTCCCACTCAAATATAATAATTATTGCTTTTTTAAAACAAGAAAATAGCTCCACTCTAAGTAAATGAATATCTCAAGAACAGTCATAAAAATATATTAGGCCAAAATTATGATGATTTTTACTATCCTAGTTCTCCAAGTGGCATAATGTAACAGCAAAGCTCAAATGTACTAGGGAGCTAAAGTTTATCTCTGATTTGTTCATGCTTTATCTACAGGTTTCTTAAAAGTCACATGAATCCTATCATTTCATATGGCTCTTTGAAATTCTCAGACACATCCATAACTTTACACAGAAGCATTGTGACCACACTCTTTCAAGATGTTTAATAAAATAAATGATGATAATGCAAACTAATGCAACATTTAAACTTTGCCAAGAACTTATTCTCTCATTTGATTCTTACGGGAATCCTGTGAAATAGGTTACCATAAGTATTTTTCTCATATGTTAGTGATGAGGAATAAAAAGAGCAAGTGATTGTCCTTTGGTGTTCGATAGCGGAAAACCTAATGTCTTCCTTTTTACATAAGTCCTATTGCTCCCCACTATGTCAAATAAATATGTTTATCTGAGTCATCTTTTTGTCAAAAAGGATCTTAAGTGGCTATATAAACAGAAGCCAGTCTTTCTTCATTTACTTAGGTTTGTTCCAAACAGTGTAAATTGTGATTATGATTTATTGAAGAAAAAATTACTCTGAGCTGACAGGGAACTTGTGATTTATGTATACTGGAATAACAACCCTTAGATTTCCTACAGACTTTTCCTGATCTTGGCTATTATTATTTAAATTGGGGATATATGAAGATATTTCCCAAATATTAGTCTTATGATTCTTACACAAATAGAATCTTGCTTCTGTATACCAATGTAGATTCAGCTATTACCTCCCTACCACTGTTTGTGGTGGTTTATCTGAACAGACCTTGAAAAATTACCGTTAATTATTTTAAATGGATCTATAAATACATATACATAAACAAGCCACCTAACTAATAACAAATTGATCTTGCAGCAGCAGCATCAAGCTAATACTATCACACAGAGGTTTGCTGAATGCTAACAGATTCTCATGTATTATACATATTTCTGCTTATGTCTAAATCATGGAGGCTGAATGACTAAACTCACCAGCCTTCAAGAGAAATTTTTATTTTTGATTCCGGTTTCACACACATATACTCATGAGTTTAAGATAAGATGAAATTTTAGATAAAAAAGAAAGCTAAACTGGATATCAGAAAACTTAGACTATAGTCAAAATTCTAGCAGTGAGTAGTTTTCTAACCCGAAGCCATTTAAAAAGCTTCTATTTAATAATTTCATTGGAAAATTTGAGGAAATTAAACTATATTATCTCTAGGATTTCAGTCAGTTATGAAAATACATCTATTTGACTAATAATTTGTGATGTTCTTTCTACCTAATTCAGAAATAATCAAGCAATTAAGAAGGAATTATTGTCTGCAAATACATGTTTTCTCCCTTCTCACACCCTTCGGTGCCCCAAACAACTTACTTTATACTATAAATAACATTATAGCAAGGATGTGTTGATTTCATAGTTCGAGTAATTAAAAAATCAGCCAGAAATTATTGATTTGAAATTGTAAATGGAGTAGATAAAAAAACTGCTAAGGTCAAGAATATTCTTTAAATGTTTTAAAATAATTATAACACGTTTCTTATAACGAGAACCGAAGCCCGTGGAGACTTGGCGGCGCCGGGAGCCCTGCTGCTACACACGCCTGGGAGAGCCCAGCGAGAGCCCAGAAAGCGGGTTCTGTTCTGCCGGAGGGATAGGCGTGTGTGGATTTTCCCCACTGTGCGCCAGGCACAGGGGCTCCACCAGCTCCCCACTTTTTTTTTAATAGGAAATCACAATAAACACTACAATATCTTACTTTTTGGCAAAGCACATTAGCTTTCATTCATCCCCTTGCGGAGGCGGAGAGGGGCGGATGGAGACTGAACAGATTGAGGGTAACTGCAAAAGGCACTGTCCTTTACATATTTTCCTTCCTTATTCTAAACACAACTCTGCAAGTTAGGCTTCATTGTTTTCATTTTGCATAAGAGACAGACTTAACTGCGTAGGAATTGATATGAGAATAAAATTTAAGACGGACTCTAAAGCATATTTATTTTCCAGTTTATTCCAGTGCCCTTGTCACGATCCACAGTGCTTCAGGAGTTTTAGGCTACTGACTGTGCTTAGGTTGTTCGGTGGGGAGAGAATGGCAGGGAGTGCAGTCTTAACCACAATTCAGAATAGCCCAGAATAACCTCGGAACCTAGTAAAAGCTGTGGACCATCTGCCATTGGTAGAAACACGTGTAGAGATGCTTCTGTGGCTCATGTAGCGTATAATTACTTCATCTCTTTCATTGTTATACACACACACACACACACACACACACACACACACACACACACACACACACACAAAAGAATAAAAACAAAAAGAGGCCGGGCGCGGTGGCTCACGCCTGTAATCCCAGCACTTTGGGAGACCGAGGCGGGTGGATCACGAGGTCAGGAGATCGAGACCATCCTTGCTAACACGGTGAAACCCTGCCTCTGCTAAAAAAAAAAAAAAAATACAAAAATACAAAAAATTAGCTGGGCGTGGTGGCCGGCGCCTGTAGTCCCAGCTGCTGGGGAGGATGAGTGAGGCAGGAGAATGGTGTGAACCCGGGAGGCGGAGCTTGCAGTGAACCGAGATCGCGCCACTGCACTCCAGCCTGGGCGACAGAGTGAGACTCTATCTCAAAAAAAATAAATAAATAAAAATAAAAACAAAACGATAACATTGTTACAAACTGAGATGATTTGGATACCCCACATTGCCCTATATTTTAAAAACTTTTATTTTGGAAGATCTGAAATTTATACAGTACAAAAGCATTAGTAACAAGGATAACGAATCCTCAAGGAGATGCGACCAAACTTCAATTATTACCTCATAAAATCGTCTATTTTAGAGAAGGTGGAGAAAGTGAAGACTGAGGAGCTCTGGAGATGAACTGTCTGGGTTGAAAGTCCATCTCTACTAATTAGTAGCTGTGTCAACTTGGACAGTATTTCATTATGTTAAAGCGTTCTTACCTGTAAAATGGGGAGGTATGTACCTTCTTCATTAACTGAATTAACGTATGTGAAGTACTAGGTCCCCAGCATATGGTAGAACTCAATATGTTAGCTCTTACTGTCATTATTCTTTCAAATTCAGAGAGCCTCGCACACATCACTATCCTATCCCCACACCCCACCTCTCTTCCTTAATACTGCTAGCCTCTGCTTCCACTTAGTGAAGTAACTTGAAGGGAAAAGATTGACTTTCTGGCACCGTGTTTTGTTTTGGAGACAGTATCTAACTCTGTTGCCCAGACTGGAGTACACTGGCGCAATCTCCGCACACTGCAGCCTCAGCCTCCCAGGTTCAAGCGATTCTTGTGCCTCAGTCTCCCAGTAGCTGGGATTACAGGCGGCTGCCACCCTGCCCCGGCTAATTTTTGTATTTTTCGTAGAGACGGTTTTTTGCCTTGTTGGCCTGGCTGATCTTGAACTCCTGGCCTCGTGTGATCTGTCTGCCTCGGCCTCCCAAAGTGCTGGGATTTCAAGCATGAGATTTCAACCATTCCAACCTCTGGCACAGTTCTTTATAGAGATAAGGTCATCTAAAGAGGGAATGGGGTGGGATTGGAAGGTAAGTGGTAGAGTTTTTTTGTTTGTTTTGTTTTGTTTTTTAGACGGAGTCTCCCTATGTCGTCCAGGCTGGAGTGCAGTGGTGCGATCTCAGCTCACTGCAAGCTCTGCCTCCTGGGTTCACGCCATTCTCCTGCCTCAGCCTCCCAAGTAGCTGGGACTACAGGTACCCGCCACCACGCCCAGCTAGTTTTTTGTATTTTTTTTCGTAGAGATGAGGTTTCACCGTGTTAGCCAGGATGGTCTCGATCTCCTGACTTCATGATCCGCCTGTCTCGGCCTCCCAAAGTGCTGGGATTACTGGCGCAAGCCACCGCGCCCGGCCGGTGAGTAGCAGAGTTGTTTTTGTACGTGCTCTCAATTTAATCTAATTGAACATTTTTCTTTGCAGCTGAAATTTTGCAGTTCTTAAGTTGTAGGGCTACACATGATATACCCCATGTACACAAAATGTGTTGTGTGTGTCTCTCAGAGAAAAGTAGAGATTTAAAAAATTCGTATGATGCCACTAAGAATTTACTCCACAAACTTGTGTAACAAATGTCTTATGACTTTATATTTAATAATAAAATTTAATCTGATTCTGTTCCCATCCCTTTACTGGTGGGAAATTAAATCTTAGTCACTATTTACTTTCTGACCTGTAAAAACTTGGGACAATGCCCTAGTCTCTTAAGTGGAACAGAAGACCATCTGGGGAAAGGCCCTGTGTCTTCAGTTGGTATCAGAATATGCTGTTCAAAGCTGTGTAGACCTGGCAGTGGCTCCAAGATTCCTGAGACATCTTTAGCAGGGTATTCTCTCGAATTCTTGAGCTTCTTTAAATAAAGAAGATAAAACTGAGATACTGTTCCTTTTCCAGAGTATTGCAGGGAGCCCACGGAATCCACAGACCTCCTCTTTTCTCTTCCTTCCTTCCTTCCTTTCTTTCTCTCTCTCTTTTTTTTTTTTTTTTTGAGACAGGGTCTCACTTTGTCACCCAGGCTGTAGTGCTGTGGTGTGATCTTGGCTCACTGCAACTTCCGCCTCCTGGGCTCAAGCAATCCTCCAACCTCAGCCTCCTGAGTAGCTGGGATTACAGGCAGAAGCCACCATGCTCAGCTAATTTTTGTAATTTTGGTAGAGATGAGGTTTCACCATGTTGGCTAGGCTGGTCTTAAACTCCTAGGCTCAAGTGATTCGCCTGCCTCAACCTCCCAAAGTGCTGGGATTACAGGCACGAGCTGTGCCTGGCCTCCAGACCTTCATTTTCTTCATAGTCTTAGAGATATATGTTTTCTCTTCTCTGCTTTCAGTCTTGCCTTCCTACTCTCAAAAGCACTTGCCTCTTTTTTGTTCTCCCTTTAGGTGATCAATTTCTTCAGTCAGTTCAGAATTTTATTCCTTTGACCTTTTGTTATTAATGTATCACCATATTCTTGTAGGATTTTCTTTTCCTTCTAAGAAGAAAGTCAGGCCTTTGTGTTCCCATGAGTCAGGGGATTTGTATCACTGGTTCAAACATTGGCCCAATACCTCCAAGGCCAACCTCAGCTCTGGCTATTTTTCCTCTCATCATAGAGGACTTCCCTAGCCACTCTACTGCCAGCCTCCCTCCCATTACTTTCTATCACATCATCCTGTACATTTCTCTCTTTTTTTTCTTCTTATTATTAAATTTTTGTTTTAAGGACAAGGTTTCACTTTGTCACCCATGCTGGAGGGCAGTGGCACTATCATAGCTCACTGCAGCCTGGACCTCCTGCCTCAGCCTTCCAGGTAGCTGGAGCTAGAGGTGGGAGCCATCACAGCCACCGCATGTAGGTAATTTGTTTTAGGGGTCTCAATATTTTGAGCAGGTTGGTCTGGAAGTCTTGGGCTCAAGAGATCCTCCCACTTCAGTCTCCACAGTAGCTGGGATTATAGGCGTGCCTCGCCATACCCGGCATTCAACCCTTAAATTTATTTCATGACATTTGATATACTTTATTTTATTGCAATTAATTAATTAATTCATTTATTTTAAGACAGAGTCTCACTCATTCTGTTGCCTAGGCTAGAGTGCAGTGGTGCCATCTTGGCTCCCGGCAGCCTCCACCTCCAGGGTTCAAGCCATTCTCCTGTCTCAGCCTCCCATAGCTGGGATTACAGGCTTGCACCACCAGGCCTGGCTCATTTTTGTATTTTTAGTAGAGATGGAGTTTAACCATGTTGGCCAGGCTGGTCTCGAACTCCTGACCTCAAGCAATCTGCCTTGCCTTAGCCTCCTAAAATGCTGGGATTACAGGCATGAGGCACCCACGCCGGGCCTGATACATTTTAAAAATATCTTGTTCATTTCTTTTTTGTATTTTCTCCTCCCAAATCCAGAACGTCTTGTTTACTGCTACCTCCTGAAGCAGATTAAGAACACTCACAATAATTTACAAGGTTTCAACTATAATAATTTTTAAACAGGCTGGAGTGTAGTGGTACGATCTCGGGTGATACATTCATATTAAAAAGTACACAAGGAGGTTGGGCGTGGTGGCTCACGTCTGTAATCCCAGCACTTTGGGAGGCCAAATGGGTGGCTCGCTTGAGCCTAGGAGTTCAAGATCAGCCTAAGCAACATGATGAACCCCGTCTCTACTAAATATACGAGAAAAAAAAAATTAGCCGGGTGTCGTGGCGCGTGCCTGTGGTCCCAGCAACTTGGGAGGCTGTGACGGGAGGATCGCCTGAGCCCGAGAGGTGGAGGCTGCAGTGAGCCAAGATCGCGCAACTGCACACTCCAGCCTAGGCGACAGAGCAAGACCCTGTCTCAAAGGACAAAAACAAAAAAGTACACAAAGGCGTACGGTAAATGGTCTTCCTACCACGACGTGTTTTCCAGAAACACATTCCTCTCCTGGGAGGTAACTATTATCAGTTTCTTCACACCAGCATTTTTAATCTATGTCTACTCAATTTAGAATTTCTAAACCCTTCAGGATCTTCAAAAGACAAAATCGGCCAGCGATTTTAATAGTTCCAGTAAAGGTTTGAGCAGAGAAGTGGACTTTCTTCTGTTCCTCTTTTCAACTACTCCTAAGGACTCCTGGAGAAGAAAGAGCAAATATCTCTGCATCTCAATTTCTGGTCCGCAGGTAACCCAGTCTCAGTAGCTTGGTAGTTACCATGGCTCCCAGTGCTGTGCGTCTGACGTCATTCTGCGGCGCTGGCTGATGGCGCAATCAGTTGCGGCGTCCTGTGAGCGCGGGGATGCTGGGAGGAGGGTGAAATTTAGCCATCGGTGTGTGGCAGGGTCATGAAAAAGCGGCGGCGGCGGGAGAGAGGAGGAGGCGGCGGCGGGGCAGTGAAACTACGGTAGCTGCCCCCTGAGCTGGTGGTGTGGCTTTGTGGGGAGGGCGTAGTTCCTAATCCCCTTTCCGGGCAGCCGCCGGGGCTCGGGGCTGTGAGCGGCCGTGAGGCTGCCTCCCCGGGCCCCCTGCCTCCGCCATGTTCCGCAGGGCACGCCTTAGCGTGAAGCCGAATGTCAGGCCTGGTGTAGGCGCCAGGGGCTCCACAGCTTCCAATCCCCAGCGTGGACGGGAGTCTCCCAGGCCGCCGGATCCTGCCACGGACTCTGCTTCCAAGCCCGCGGAGCCCACAGATGTGCCCACAGTCGATTTCGGTGGAGCGGAGCCCCAAGAAAAGGCTCCTAGGAGCAGGTAAGAGGTTGCAGAGGGAAGAATTTTCATTTGTCCCGCCTCTCCGGGCATGTCACCTGGAAGCTGAGCAAATGAATTTTATCACAGGAGTCCGCTCTCGTTTGCAGTAAGCCTTTCAGTTGAGGCTTGATGAAACCACTCCAAACTGCAGTTTAGTTGTCTGACCTGCAGGGTGTGGCTTGTGTGGATTTTGTCACGGTCTATAGATTCTCCGAGAGGAGACCATGTCTTCAAGTGGTGGTAGGGAGAATCGGGGTATGGCAGTCCTGAAGTGAAGAATATCCACACTATTCATTTGAGAATTTAGGTCACTATAGTTTTCATCCTTCTGGAGTGCTTTGCAGGGAAGTGTTTTTGTCTTTCAATTTATAAAATATTTATTTTTTAAAGGAGAAGATAAGTATTGCTTTGGCTTTACCGATTTATGTCAGTGAGTAAGAGTTCTGGTCACTTAATTGAAGTGTGCCTCTTTAACTATGGTGACCGTGTTTCCTGAATAGAGAAGCATGGCTTTAGCGTCATGTATCATATTTGGATTCAGGACTCTTTTAGTCTACAGGTAAACTTTTCTCAGGCAGAATTTGCTCATCTGCAAAATGGGAATAATATTGCCTACTTGGAGCGTTTTGGTGCAGATTGGAGATAATTCATATTAACTACCTTGCAGGGGATATAGCAGAATAGTTGCCCGCAAAAAGTTACTAGTTTTTTAGAAAGGTGATGGAGTAAATTTAAGACATGTTAGGCTAAGATGGTCTCTGTTTCTATATATATGAGGAAATCAGTAAACAGCCTTGTTAAGTGAAGTGAGATAGTACAAATTCTGTTTATGCTGTGATAGGAAGGTGAAACATTTATTTATTTTTGGAACATCTTCCTCTATTGGCCTGAACTGGTGCTGAGTGTATGGTGTTACGTTGATAGTTCAGTGATGGTTAGTAATTTCCAAGTTTATTACATGAATCTGTTTCAAAATTTCTACACAGAAAGGAGATACCGATACTAGTCGCTGTTACATTAATAAAGTTCTCAGAGATTTCGTTAATTATGTGTGAGTGCGTGATGGTTGATAATTTAATAAATTGCCCAAAGATTGTAGTTTTGAGATATTTATGGTCAAGGATATTTAATTTTTTTTTTTGAGTTGACATTTACGTTTGGGGAATATAATTTGTTTTTTAGTCACTTTTTTTGCCATTACTGACTCTGGGAAAGTGGTTTTTTTTTTTTTTTTTAATTAGTTTTTTTTTTAGATGGAGTCTTGCTCTGTCGCCCAGGCTGAAGTGCAGTGGTACGGCTCACTGCAACCTCCACCTCCCGGGTTCTTGCAATTCTCCTGTCTCAGGCTCCCAAGTATCTGGGACTACAGGCGTGCCCCACCACGCCCAACTAATTTTTGTATTTTCAGTAGAGACAGGGTTTCACCATGTTGGCCAGGCTGGACTCGAACTCCTGACCTCAAGTGATCCACCTGCCTCAGCCCAAAGTGCTGGGGTTACAGGTGTGAGCCACCGTGCCCAGCCTCTTTTTATTTTTTTGTGGGTCTTTGCTAGTTGTAAAACTCTATAGGATATATATTCTGTCATTATGCATTCAACATAATTGGGTGAAATGCAGATAATGCATGTATCCATAACAGCTAAGATACGAATTTAAATTGAAGTCTTCCTGGAAAGGTTATTCTATAAGTTAAGGCATTTTCTAATTTTTTATAAGTAATTATAAAATAGGAAAAAAGTAGACTGTTTTTAATTATTGACTTATACCACCTCTTTTCTTGACTTAAGTTGCATTTATAGACCATTCCTGAAATACTTATATCTGAGGTATACCATACCTAATATGCAATTTGGGGTGACTGAGTACTTTTTTTGACTGAAGTTTATTCTGATGGCTGTATAAGTAGAGTTGTACCTGACAAAAGATAAATGATTTCTGCCTCAAAGGGAATTGGGTTTGGCTACTGTAACTAAATGTTTTTCTTCAAATACTGCAATACAGATATTTCAGAGGTTTGGAGTTTTGCATATTTGATTTGACTGACCTCGGGTTGATAAGTAAAGTAAAATGCCGGTAGTTTAGACCAGTTTAAAATGTCAGAGTGAATTAAAATTTTTTTAAATTTTATATAGAAATTAATTATAAATTATTACTTTGTTACTTAGTAATTCAAATTAGGTTGACTAAGCTTTGTTCTGTAAGTTGGTTATTTGTTTTGAGGGGGGTAAGCCTATAATTATGTGCTGTAATGTGCCTAGGGACTTTATGTTTGAAAAAGATTAAGAGTCTATTAGAATTTACGTATATTTAAAAGATTTACTAAACAAATTTTTTTGTAACCTGTCATAATTATCATAAATCTCAAGTTACTAATTTTTTTTTTTTAATTACGAGATTGCAGTTTTGGATTTTCACCAGACTAGGTTTTAAAACTAGCATGTGTAACAGAAGATTCATGTGCCCTCTTTTTTCTTTTTTAATTTCAACAGTACTGAAAAGACTGGTGGTGACAATGATGTTGAAGAATCCAGTAGATCTTCCTCTACTGTTTCACAGAGAAGAAAGCGAATATCAAGTACTTCTAGCCTGGTTAAGTCTAGTGTCAGTGTTCCTTCAGAATCTCATCCCTTATCTACAATTAATCAAGAGGCTCCACAGCCAACTGCCACTTCAACAAAAGAGAAACAGCCATGCTCAGACAGATACCGAATATACAAAGCCCAGAAACTGAGGGAAATGTTAAAAGAAGAATTGAGAAAAGAGAAGGTAAGGGAGGAGAATCAGGATTTTGATGTTGCCTTCTATTTATGTTAGTAAGGAATCATTGGGAAGAAAAGCATTTGTAGCATTTTGATGGGGGAACAAAACCACATAACATCCCTTAGTCAATAGAACATCCCTTCTTGTTAATGGATTGATTGATACACCGTGGACTTAAATTACATTTTTCACTGATAGTAATTTTTACATTATTTATTTATGTTTTCACTGTTTTTGGTGAAGACCACAAATAAGTTTCATACGCATACACATAGATGCACATACACAAACATATTTATAAAATAAACCTTCAGTCTGATTTTTCACATAAAGATGTCCAAGTGATAAGTGATATATTTATTTGAATTAAGACAAGTATAGGCCGGGCGTGGTGGCTCATGCCTGTAATCCCAGCACTTTGGGAGGACTAGGGGGGCAGATCACTTGAGGTCAGGAGTTCAAGACCAGCCTGGCCAACATGGCAAAACCCTGTCTCTACTAAAAATACAAAAATTAGCTGGGCCTGGTGACGTGCATCTGTAATCCCAACTACTGGGGAGGCTGAGGCATGAGAATTGCTTGAACCTGGGAGGTGGAAGTTGCAGTGAGCCGAGATTGTGCCTCTGCATTCCAGCCTGGGTGATAGAGTGAAACTGTCTCCAAAAAAAAGACGAATATAGTTGAGCAGAATGAATTGGTAATGTTTTCTAAATTGACTATGGAAAATTACAAGTGGGAAAAATTTGTGTTATGCATATATTAGAGTCCATGTTCTTTTTAATCTTGAGGATTGATTTCTTTTCTAGAAGGGCAGGTAACAGCAGTAGAGCATGCTGGCCCTGGAGTTAAATACTTAGGGATTGAATCTCAGCTTCATTTCTTTACTAGCTTTGTGACCTTGGGTAATTTAATTAATCTATTTCCTCATCTGTAAAATAGACCAATAATAGTTCAGGTTGAGCATCCCTGAAATTGAAAATGCTCCAAAGTCTAAAATGTTTTGAGTGCCAAAGTGATGCTCCAGGGAAATGCTCATTGGAGCATATTGGATTTCAAATTTTCAGGTTAGAGATGCTCAGCCAGCATGTATTCTGCAAGTATTCAAAAATGTGAAAAAATCCAAAATGTGAATCATTTCTGGTCTCAAGTATTTCAGATAAGAGATGCTCAACCTCTATCTAGCTCATTAGAGGGTTGTGAAGATTAAATGAGTCAATACATGTAAAACACACTTAAACTGGTGTCTTGGGCCTTGTGCAGTGGCTCACGCCTGTAATCCCAGCACTTTGGGAGGCCGAGGTGGGCGGATCACCTGAGGTCAGGAGTTCGAGACCAGCCTGGCCAACATGGTGAAACCCCGTCTCTACTAAAAATACAAACATTATCTGGTTGTGGTGGTGCACGCCTGTAATCCCAGCTACTCAGGAGGCTGAGACAGGAGAATCGCTTGAACCTGGGAGGCAGAGGTTGCGGTGAGCCAAAATCGTGCCATTGCACTCCAGCATGAGTGACAGAGCGAGACTCCGTCTCAAAAAAAACCAACCAAACAAAAAAACTAGTGTCATGAAAATAGTAAGTGTCCAACCAGTGTCAGCTTCTGTTATGAATTATAAAATGCCTCTTAGTTTTTTTTAAATTAAGGGAAGGCATTTTGCTTGGTGCTTTATATCTGTTATCTTATGTAATTATATCAACTATGTGAAGTAGATATCACTGTTTCACACAGGAGAAAACAAGCTTTCAATTTATGTCTTCTAAAATGTAAGCCTCACAACAATTGCTTGAACCTGGAAGGCGGAGGTTGCAGTGAGCTGAAATTGTGCTACTGCATTCCAGCCTGGGCGACAGATCAAAGCCTCTAAAAATGTTTTATGGGTTGGGAATTGGGGGTGGGGGGATTAAAAAAAAGTTCTGTATTTTACAGAAACTGCTTATTTGCTTATTTAATTTATTTTGGGGAATTAAAGATTAAACATTTGCTTCAAGAATTTTACAAAATACACAGAATTTCAAGTCACTACAGGGTAAAAAAAAAGCTGTGTAAGCATAAATTCTCAGTGAGCTATTAAGATGTTTAGTTAGAAGGCATCAGTAAGCATTTTATACATTGAGCTTTATTAGTTTTATTCTTTGGTTATTTATTTAGTTTTGAGACAAGGTCTCACTGTCACCCAGGATGGAGTGCGCTAGTATAATTGCAGTTCACTGCAGCCTCAACCTCCCAGGCTCAAGTGATCCTCCCACCTCAGCCTCCCAAGTAGCTGTGGCTATAGGCATATGCCACCACATCCAGCTAATTTTTTTGTATTTTTTTGTAGAGATAGGGTCTCATTTATGTTGCCCAGGCTGGTAACTCCTGAGCTCAAGCGATCCTCCTGCCTCAGCCTCCCAAAGTGCTGGGATTAGAGAAATAAGCCACTGTGCCTGGCCACATTGAGCTTTTATCTAGTCCTAGTCACTTTAATTGTTAAAATCTAAATACTGCCTGGGTGTGTGGTTCACTCCAGTGCTTTAGGAGTGTGAGGCAGGAGGATCACTTGAGCCCAGGAATTTGAGAGCAGCCTTGGCAACGTAGGGAGACTCCATCTCTACCAAAAAAAAAAAAACCCCACAAAATTAGCCAGGTGTTAGGCAAGCATCTGTAGTCCCAGCTACTTGGGAGGCTGAGGTGGGAGGACTGCTTGAGCTCAGGAGTTCAAGGCTGCAGTGAGCTATGATTGCGCCACTGCACTTTAGCCTGGATGACAGAGCAAAACCCCATCTCAAAAGTAGATAAATAAAAACTAAAAGCTATTGAGGGTAATGTGCTACAACTTTTTAATATTCCATCTACAAAATTACATAATTGGGGTGAGAATAATATTAAAGCACTTACAGTGAACGCAACAGTGGACTGTATATTTGCATATAGTACATCTGAAATTCTTTAATATTTATAAAAGTGGATCTGTGTGTTTATGTATACAGAAACAATGGAAAAACAAATATGCTATAAATGAAAGTCAGAGGCCACCAGATCGTTCAAAAATGACTATGAGAGACTTCATATATTATCTACCAGATAATAATCCAATGACGTAAGTAAAATTTATTTCTGCTTTACTATCTCTTTTTTTTTTTTTTTTTTTTTGGAGGTGGAGTCTCGCTCTGTCACCCGGGCTGGAGTGCAGTGGTGCAATCTTGGCTCACTGCAACCTCTGCCTCCCAGGTTCAAGCGATTCTCCTGCCTCAGATTCGCGGGTAGCTGGGATTACAGATGCTCGCCACCACACCCGGCTAATTTTTGTATTTTTAGTAGAGACTGGGTTTCGCCATGTTGGCTTGCCTGGTTTTAAACTCCTTACCTCGGGTGATCCACCCGCTTCGGCTTTCCAAAGTGCTGAGATTACAGGCGTGAGCCACTGCACCTGGCCTTCTGTTTTACTTTATTTGGGTATGTAGTTATATAAATAGCACTTTTATAGTAAATTTTTTAGTTTTCCAAAAACATGTTGACAAAATTTGGAACACATATGTCCTTTTAAATAGAATTTCATAACAAAAAGTAGCAGTATTTCAAGTAACTGCTTTCTGGGGATGGTAGATTATGCCCTTTATTTCTGAGATTAAAAATAAATTTCCTGGCTGGGCACAGTGGCTCATGCCTGTAATCCCAGCACTTTAGGAGACCAAGGTGTGTGGGCCGCCTGAGTCCAGGAGTTTGAGACCAGCCCGGGCAACATGGTGAAACCCTGTCTCTACAAAAAGTACAAAAATTAGCCAGGCATGGTGGCATGTGCCTGTAGTTCCAGCTATTTGGGAGGCTGAGGCAGGAGGACTGCTTGAACCCTGGCATTTGAGGCTGCAGTGAACCATGTTCATGCCACTGCATTCTGGGTGCACTCAGGGTGACAGAGCGAGATCCTGTCTCAAAAAAAAAAATGTTTTTTCTTTGTTATATTAGTTACCAAGGCATAGTGAAACCAACTAAGCCACTTTTCTGTAATCAAGATTGCAATTTTGGCCAGGCGAGGTGGCTCATCCCTGTAATCACAGCATTTTAGGAGGCCAAGGCGAGAGAATTGCTTGAGCCCAGGAGTTTGAGACCAGCCTGGGCAATGTAGTGAGACCCCATCTCTACAAAAAATACAAAAATTACCTGGGCATTGTGGCGCACAGGAGGCTGAGGTGGGAGGATCACTTGAGCCTGGGAGTTCAAGGCAGCAGTGAGCCAAGATTGCACCACTGCACTCCAGCCTGGGAGACAGCGAGACTCTGTCTCATTTAAAAAAAAAATGTTTGAAAGGATTGGAATTTCTATTTTTAACATACTATAAACTGATCTAAAGGAGTGATCCAAGTTTTATGCCCTGCCTTCTAATAAAGACAGTAGTAGTGTGATTAATAAATCCTCCAAGAACAAAGCTTCTTTATTAAAGTTAGCCTGGGGTTTCTGAGGCAGGTTTATAATAAATCTCATTGTTGTATTGTTGATGGTTTAGCAGGTAGAGGTAGGAGTTGGGACAGTTCCTCAGCATAGCCCTTTTTCAGATTCACCAGGTCTTTGGCCCTGTTGAAGAAAGGGCCAGAAACCTAGGTTTTGAGTTGTTTAACATCCAGGAGTTGGAGACAAGTCACCTAAGTAAGCTGCTTCATGCCTTGGGATTGGGAGCCTCCTTTCACTGAGAAGTTAGAGGATAAGAACATTCTCTGTTGGGCGTGGTGGCTCATGCCTGTAATCTCAGTGTTTTGGGAAGCTAAGGTGGGAGGATTGCATGATCCCAGGAGTTTGAGACCAGCCTGGGCGATATGGTGAGACCTCGTCTCTACAAAAAATTAAAAGACAAAAATTAGCCTGGTGTGGTGGCATGCACCTGTAGTCCCAGCTACGTGGGAGGCTGAGGTGGGAGGATTGCTTGAGCTCAAGAAGTAGAGGTTACATGGAGCTGAGATCACAGCACTGCACTTCAGTCTGACACAGCAAGACCCTGTTGTTGTATTAAAAAAAAAAAAAAAAAGTATTCTTTACTTAGGACCTAACAAATTATTTGTATGTGATGACAAGCTTTTGACTGAAAAGTTGATTGTTGGATTGTACTGTCATTAACGAAATGCTGTGATATATCATTAAAAATTAGAAGTTAGAATAATTTTCTTCTTGCCTACAGATAGAATTGGGAAGATATAAATTAATAATTTATTAAAGATATTGTTATTTATGTTCAATAGTTCTTCACTGGAACAAGAAAAGAAAACTGAAAAGCCATCGACTCCAGTCCAGACAAGAGAGTAAGTATTTTATTTTTGAATATATTCTATTCCTACATTTTTTAAGAAATGAGATCAAATGGTGCTTCCTGTTATAGTTGAATTACATTTGATTGGGGTTGGGCACAGTGGTTCACTCCTGTAATCTCAGCACTTTGCGAAGCCAAGATGGGAGGATTGCCAGAAGCCAGGAGTTGAGACCAGCCTGGGCATCATAGTGACATTTTGTCTCTACAAAAAATGTAAAAATAAGCTGTGCATGGTGGTGTGTACATGTAGTCCTAGTTATTCAGGAGGCTGAGGTGGGAGGATCGCTCGAGCCCACATGTTCAAGGCTGTAGTGAACTATGATCACGCCACTGCATTCCAGCCTGGGTGACAGAGCAAGACTTTGTCTCTTAAAAAAAAATTACATTTGGTTGGGCTATTGTTTTTGTAATTTTAAAATTTTAATTTAATTTTTGAGACAGGATGTTGCTGTGTCACCTAGGCTGGAGTGCAGTGGTGTGAACATAGCTCACTGCAGCCTTGACCTCCTGGGCTCGTGATCCTCCTGCCTCAGCCTCCTGAGTAGCTGGGAGTACAGGTGTGTGCCACCACGGTTGGCTAAATTTTTTAGTTTTTTTTTTTTTTTTTTTTTTGAGATGGAGTCTTGCTCTGTCACCAGGCGGGAGTGCAGTGGTGCGATCTCGGCTCACTGCAGCCTCTGCCTCCCGGGTTCAAGCGATTCTGCTGCCTCAGCCTCCCGAGCAGCTGGGACTACGGGTGTGCGCCACCATGCCCAGCTAATTTTTGTATTTTTAGTAGAGACGGGGTTTTACCACGTTGGTCAGGATGGTCTCCATCTCTTGACCTCGTGATCGGCCCGCCTCGGCCTCCCAAAGTGCTGGGATTACAGGTGTAAGCCACCATGCCCAGCCTAAAGTTTTTAGTTTTTGAAGAGTTTTTTTTCATAGAGATAAGGTTTCACTATGTCGCCCAGGCTGGTGGTCTTGAACTTCTAAGCTCAAGTAATCCTCTCGCCTCAGCCTCCAAAAGTACTAGGATTACAGGCATGAGCTGCTGCATTTGGCCATTTTCCTTAAGGCTCAAATGAGCATGAAAATACTAACCCTGAAGGATTGTACTGAAAAGTTAATCAAATAATCTAGAAACTAATGCTATATAACTATAAGCATTATTATTATTATTATTATTTTTACAGATAGGGTCTTGCACTGTCACCTAGGCTGGGGTGCAGTGGTGTGATTAAACTCTTGGCCTCAAGAGATACTCCTGCCTCAGTCTCCTGAGTAGCTGGGACTATAGGCACGCATCACCATGCTGGGCTAATTTTTAAATTTTTTTTGTAGTGGTAAGGTCTTGCTATGTTGCCCAGGCTGATCTCAACTCCTGGCCTCGAGTGATTTTCCTGCCTTGGCCTCTGAAATTGCTAGGATTACAGGCCTGAACCACCATGTCCTGTCTGTTTCTCTTTATTTTAAAAGAGAGTAAAGACTGCTTGGGCCAGGCACGGTGGCTCACGCCTGTAATCCCGGCACTTTGGGAGGCTGAGGCGGGTGGATCACGAGGTCAGGAGTTTGAGACCAGCCTGGCCAACATCGTGAAAACCCGTCTCTACTAAAAATACAAAAATTAGCTAGGTGTGGAGGTGCGCGCCTGTAATCCCAGCTACTGGGGAGGCTGAGGCAGTAGAATGGTGTGAACCCAGGAGGCGGAGGTTGCAGTAAGTCGAGATCATGCCACTGCACTCCAGCCTGGGTGACAGGGCGAAACTCCATCTAAAAAAAAAAATAAGACTTCTTACTAAATGTCTCGAGATAAAACTTGAGAAAATCCTCTAATTGCGTCCTTAATAACACATACTGTTTTCATTTGGATTATAGGGAAAGTTGGAAATAGCTAGAAGGTTGAGTTTGTAATCATTTATTTTAAGTTTTATACTATTTAGGCACACTTTTCATGCCTTTGTGAATTAACTTATCTTTATATGTGGTAGGCAAGAAGGTAAGAGTACTCCTAATGCTGAAGATAATGAAATGGAAGAAGAGACAGATGATGGGCCATTACTGGTTCCTCGAGTAAAAGTGGCAGAAGATGGTTCCATTATTTTGGATGAAGAAAGGTATTTAGAAAAGAGAAAAAGTGAGATTGTGGTTACATGAGAACAAACATGCTTTGTCTAGTGAAAGAGGTCCTCTTTCTGTATTGGCCTTTGTCACTTAGACCTTGACGTTCTTATTTGCATAATGAATATTGTAAATAGAAAAGTGGGTTAGATTAATTTGTAAATTTTAGTAATTTTTATAACTATTTTGTATGAGAAGATGCCCTATCATCTATTAACCTAACACCATTGTTTTATTATCTTTACTGGTCATTGAGTCAGGCTGTTGAACTAATCATATGCTGTCTTCCACTGAGGATAAATTTCTAAGATTGACACAGTCTTGAAGTCAATATTCAAGTTCTCATATTATTAAGAGCATATCCTGGTGTGTGGTGATAACTAATGGATATACAATGAAATGTAGGTTTAACATATTTTATGATTTTTGTTATGGTGAGGTATAATTCATCTTTTGGTTTAATTTCTCAGTTATAACATTAAATTTTGCACATTGGGCATTGTGGAATTTAGTTGTCTTAAGGGTTTTTTTTTAAAAGATGATAAATTAGTAAGTAAATAAATAAAGCAATGGAAGGTCTTTGAAAGTTTAGCCAGTGAAAAATAATTTTATAGCATTCACATTCTATAATTAAACATAAATGTAATACTGCTAATAATAGTTGTTTTTGTGTGCTATTTTCCATTAGTTTGTGATGATGATTTTACTGGTCATTAAATAGTTAGAGCATATTTAACTGCTTTCTCTGCAGGAATGTAAAATATAAAGTGCTTGTGTTTTTCAAAATTTCCATGGAGTCCAGCACAGTAATACATATTGAATATCAAAGACATGTGCAAGTCAATAATACAAATACCGTTTTATAATACGTAGCCCAAAGATGTTTTGTAAATATTATATTGCTGTTATGGATTTTGAAAATGAGTTGACATTTCTTTCTACCCTCTTGGAATCACATTGTAGGTAAAACTTAGCAGATGCTTGGAAAATACCCATATTTCACATAGGTATTATTATGCCTTTGATATGATTGCCATGCTAAACCTCAAAATATAACTATTTACATCTCATTTGCTATTTGTTTCCTTGTTTTTAGTATACATCTATTTAAAAATGTGTTTATTTCAGTTTAACTGTAGAAGTTTTAAGAACAAAAGGCCCTTGTGTTGTTGAAGAAAATGACCCCATATTTGAGCGCGGTTCTACAACTACATACTCCAGCTTTAGGAAAAACTATTACTCTAAACCATGGTCAAATAAAGGTAACTAATTTTCATTTAAAAATGTGTAAGTTCTCTATTTGAAATGAATTGACTGTTTCTGAATTAAATCAGTTCTCCCCTAAGTACATAAAATGCAAACTACCATTTTATTCCAGCTAATTTTATTGACACCTCTATCTTATGCCCTCCATGGAATGGTATCTCTGACTTTGTCTTACAAATCTTCAAAAAAATTTTATTTTTTATAGCAACTGGGTCTCAGCCAGGTGCAGTGGCTTACACCTGTAATCCCTGCACTTTGGGAGGTTGAGGCAGGAGGATCACTTGAGGCCAGGAGTTTGAGACCAACTTGGGCAACAAAGCAAGACCTCATCTCTACAAAAAAATTAAGAAAAAAAATTAGAAAGTAGAGATAGGGTCTTGATTGATTGCCGAGGCTGGAGTGCAGTGAAACTATCTTAGCTTACTGCAGCCTTGAACTCTTGGGCTCATGTGATCTTCCTGCCTCAGCCTCCCAGAGTAGCTGGCACTACAGGCGTGTGCCACCAAACCCAGCTAATTTTTTGAAAAAAATTTTTTTATTTTTTGAGACGGAGTTTCCCTCTTGTTGCCCAGGCTGAAGTACAATGGCACGATCTCGGCTCACTGCAACCTCTGCCTCCTGGGTTCAAGCGATTCTCCTGCCTCAGCTTCCCAAGTAGCTGGGATTACAGGCATCTGCCACCACCCCCAGCTAATTTTTGTATTTTTAGTAGAGATGGGGTTTTATCATGTTGGCCAGGCTGCTCTCAAACTCCTGACCTCAGGTGGTCTGCTCACCTTGGCCTCCCAAAGTGCTGGGATTACAGGCATGAGCCACCGCACCTGGCCTGTGTTTTGGATTTTTTGAAGAAATAAGGTCTCAGTATGTTGCCCAGGCTGGTCTCCAATGCCTAGGCTCAAGCGATCCTTTGCCTCCCGAAGTGTTGAGATTATAGGCGTGAGTCGTTGTGCCCAGCCCAGAAATTTTTTTTTTTTTTTAATTTCTTTCAGTCACTGTTCTGCTGAAAGAAATATTTTTTAAGAATTACCTTTATAGTCGTTTTGGCTGGAATGTTCCTCTCTGTCAAATCTCTACAGTAAATACCATTTAAATAAAAATTAACAATACAATATTTCCTTTTTTTTTTTTTTTTGAGATGGAGTTTCGCTCTTGTCGCCTAGGCTGGAGTGCGGTGGCGCGATCTCGGCTCACTGCAACCTCTGCTTCCTGGGTTCAAGCGATTCTCCTGCCTCAGCCTCCCGAGCAGCTGGGATTACAGGCGCCTGCCACCATGCCCAGCTAATTTTTGTGTTTTTGGTAGAGATGGGGTTTCACCATGTTGGCCAGGCTGGTCTCGAACTCCTGACCTCAGGTGATCCGCCTGCCTCAGCCTCCCAAAGTGCTGGGATTACACGCGTGAGCCACTGTGCCCAGCCAACAATACAATATTTCTAATGCGAATAATGTTCTACCTCAGATAATATTGTATAATAAAGCTTCTATAGATAAATATGCTGTTAAAAATCTGTTGCATGTTGGTGCTTATTGTTTTTATTTTAAAAACAGTAGTTTTGAGGAAAAATTCAAACAGCAGGATATAGAGTAAAAAGATTCTATACTTCCCTTCTTTCACTTCCCTATTCCTATTCTCCTGAAGTGTAACTTCTGTTAGTAGTTTCTTTTTTTGAGACCGAGTCTCACTCTGTCACCCAGGCTGGAGTGCAGTGGTGCGATCTTGGCTCACTGCAGCCGCCACCTCCTAGGTTCAGGTGATTCTCCTTCCTCAGTCTCCCGAGTAGCTGGGATTACAGGCATATGTCACCATGCCCAGCTAATTTTTGTGTTTTTAGTAGAGACGGGGTTTCACCATGTTGGCCAGGATGGTCTGGAACTCCTGACCTCAAGTGATCTGCCCGCCTCGGCCTCCCAAAGTGCTGGTATTTACAAGCGTGAGCCACCGTGCGTGGCCTCTTGTGTATTTTTCTAGCTACTTTCTTTATATACTACTTAGCACATCTTAGTTGCCTATGTAGTGTAACCCTATCCTGAGTATGACTCATAGCTTTCTTCAGAGCACTTTGAATAAGATCAGCTAGGCAGAATGAATGTTTTAAAAAAAAAATTCCAGATGCTTTTGTATGATTTCTTTTTCTTTTTTTTTGAGGTGGAGTCTCGCTCTTTCGCCCAGGCTGGAGTGCAGTGGCGCCATCTCAGCTCACTGTAACCTCCGCCTCCCGGGTTCAAGCTATTCTTCTGCCTCAGCCTCCCCAGTAGCTGGGATTACAGGTGCACGCCACCACGCCCAGCTCATTTTTTTTTTATTTTTAGCAGAGACAGGGTTTCACCATGTTGGCCCGGCTGGTCTCAAACTCTTTTTTTTTTTTTTTTGAGATGGAATTTCACTTTTGTTGCCCAGGTTGGAGTGCAATGGCACGATCTCGGCTCACTGCAACCTCCGCTTCCCGGGTTCAAGCGATTCTCCTGCCTCAGCCTCCCACATAGCTGGGATTACAGGCATGTGCCACCATGCCCAGCTAATTTTGTATTTTTAGTAGAGACGGGGTTTCTCCATGTTGGTCAGGCTGGTCTCAAACTCCTGACCTTAGGTGACCCACCCGCCTCAGCCTCCCAAAGTGCTGGGATTACAGGCGTGAACCACCGCGACCGGCCCTGGTCTCTAACTCTTGTCCTCAAATGATCTGCCTGCCTTGGCCTCCCAAAGTTCTGGGATTATAGGTGTGAGCCACCATGCCCAGCCTACGATTTCTTATACTGAAAAGTTTTTATTTATAATAAGGTGTTTTTAGGTATTGCATGGGGATCTTTCTAGTAAAATTAAGTACTGTCAAATTCTGTAAGATTTCTTTTCTCTGAAATATTGATATAATTAATTTTCAATCATTCTAAATCTTTTATTTTCACAGAAACAGATATGTTTTTTTTAGCCATCAGCATGGTAGGAACTGACTTTTCTATGATCGGACAACTTTTTCCTCACAGAGCAAGGATAGAAATTAAGGTAAAGTAAACCCATCACATTTGTTGATTGGAAAGAGACCAAACATTACAAATGTTAGTAGTATTATTCGCTTACCTTTGGTTTAAATCTTAGTTCATCTTTTTTTTTTTTTTCATTGAGACAGAGTTTCACTTTGTTGCCCAGGCTGGAGTGCAGTGGCACAGTCTCGGCTCACTGCAACCTCTGCCTCCGGGTTCAAGCAATTCTCATGCCTCAGCATGTCACATAGCTGGTATTACAGGCACCTGCCACCACGCCCGGCTGATTTTTTTACTGTTTTAGTAGAGACGGGGTTTTACCATGTTGCCCAGGCTGCTGTCGAACTCTTGAGCTCAGGTTAATCCCCCCATCTTGGCCTCCCAAAGTGTTAGAATTACAGGCTAGAGCCACCGTGCCCAGCCCTTTTTTTTTTTTTAAACTGTTATGATGGTTTTGTTACATTTATCCCTCTTTATTGAAAAGTAATATTTATCAGTTCTGATATGGGTATAATCTTCTTTATGTTAGTTTCATATTTTCTTATATCTTCTTCATTTCTAAAATGAATTTGAGGCAGTACCAATAAAAATGCACTGCAACTAAGATATAAGAAGAGTTACATAATGAAAAGAGAAGATAAATGTACCAGAGTACTTTGGTTAAGGGTAGCTTTTTTTTTTTTTTTTTTTTTTGAGATGGAGTCTCGCTCTGTTGCCCAGGCTGGAGTGCAGTGGTGCGATATCGGCTCACTGCAACCTCTGCCTCCTAAATTCAAGTGATTCTCCTGCCTCAGCCTCCCTAGTAGCTAGGATTACAGGCGCACACCACCACGCCCAGCTAATTTTTTATTTTTCGTAGAGAGGGGGTTTTACCATGTTCGTCAGCCTGGTCTTGAACTCTTGACCTCTGGTGATTCACCCACCTTGGCCTCCCACCAAGTGCTGGAATTACAGGCGTGAGCCATCATGCCCGGTTGAGGGTAGCTTTTTCAATGCAAAATGTATTTCAGAATTTCCTAGGAAAGCTTAAAGAGAAGAAATCTGAGTTTACACAGTTCTCATTTTCTGATCCGTTGCTTTCCTAGGCCCCCTTAACTTTGGGACAACCAGTGGCACTAATAACAACAGTGATGTCAGTTACAGCTATTATATGCCCAAGAGGATGAGCTTTCTCTGTTTTTTAGTTTCTTTGCTTGAGAAACTTTATACAAGTTTTCTGGGTTTAAGTGCATTTGAGTGTCATCACACTATGTTGCCATAATGCATTCTCAATTGATAGTGAGATCTTTACTCAACCATGGGCTTTTTACTTCATTTCTCATCCCTATCATGTTCATTACATTAATAAAAGGAACCATTAGGAAGGTATGTTTTTTCCACTAGAACTAAATTAGGCATGGATTGTCTGGGGACATTACATAAGGGGCATTGTACAGTGTAATGAAATAGTCTTGTTATTTCTGCAAGAGATGAGGAACTTTATATTCTTCATGTTCATTTTCTAATGTTGATCTTTGATAAAAGAACAAAATGTTAAAATTCTGTGAAGGCTAGAAATTGATTTTCTGGAATTGGAGTGCTCTGCTGATCTGTGTAATTAATTATAAATTTGTCACTGGGCTATTTGTCTCAAAAATCATGTATATTCTTTTCCTGAAAGGTTACTATGGCTCTAGCAGGTCGTTGGGTAAAGTGTAGAAAAGTGAGAGTAGGCTGGGCATGGTGGCTCACGCCTGTAATCCCAGCACTTTGGGAGGCCAAGGCAGGTGGATCACCTGAGGTCAGGAGTTCAAGACCAGCCAGGCCAACATGGTGAAACCCCGTCTCTACTAAAAATACAAAAATTAGCCGGACGTGGTGGCGCATGCCTGTAATCCCAGCTACTCGGGAGGCTGAGGAAGGAGAATCGCCTGAACCCGGGAGGTGGAGGTTGCAGTGAGCTGAGATTGTACCACTGCACTCCAGTCTGTGCAATGGGAGTGAGACTCCATCTCAAAAATGAGAATAGACTGTATTTAAAGCTACTGAATTACATTACCTTGATTTTCAAATATTGGACTAATGTATTCCTGTATAACTTCCATTTGGTCATAGTGTATTCTTTTTCTGTGTTGCTCTATTTTGCTACATTTTCTTGAGGATTTTTTTGCTACTTTGTTCATAAGGGATACTGATTTGTAATTTTCTTTTACAAAGTCTGTCCTATTTTGATATGAGGCTTATACTGGTTACAGAAATTGAGCTGAAAAGTGTTCCCTCTTCTATTTTCTGAAATAATTTGTTGAAGATCAGTATTATTCTGTCTTTAATATTTGATAGAATTTACCTGTGAAACTATATGATCCTGTAGTTTTCTTTGGAGGAAGAGTTTATTTTATAAATATACTCTTTCATTGATAATTTGTATTTTCTCTCTCTCTCTTTTTTTTTTTTTTTTTTTTTTTGGAGACAGGGTCTCACTCTGTCACCCAAGCTGGAGTGCAGTGGTGCTATCATGGCTCACCTCCTGGGCTTGAGTGATCCTCCCACCTCAGCCTCCTGAGTAGTTGGGACTACGGGCACGTGCCACAATGCCCGGCTAATTTTTCGTATTTTTTTGTAGAGACTGGCTTTTGCCATGTTGCTCAGGCTGGTCTGGGACTCCTGTGCCCAAGTGATCTGCCTGCTTTGGCCTCCCAAAGTTCTGGAATGACAGGTGTGAGCCACTTGTCCTAGCCTCTTTTTTTCTTAATTCATCTTGCTAAGTGTTTATTAATCTAAACATCTTTTTAATGAACCAACTTTTCTTAATGTAATTTTTTTTTTTTTTTTTTTTTTTTTTTTTTGAGATGGAGTCTTGTTCTGTAGCCCAGGCTGGAGTGCAGTGGTGACATCTGGGCTCACTGCAAGCTCCGCCTCCTGGGTTCATGCCCTTCTCCTGCCTCAGCCTCCCGAGTAGCTGGGACTACAGGCACCCGCCACCACGCCCAGCTAATTTTTTGTATTTTTAGTTGAGACGGAGTTTCACTGTGTTAGCCAGGATGATCCTATCTCCTGACCTTGTGATCCGCCTGCCTCGGCCTCCCAAAGTGCTGGAATTATGGGCGTGAGCCACTGCGCCTGGCTTCTTAATGTAAGTTTTAGGTTTCCAATTGTTGGTGTGTTTTTATTGATTTTTTTTTGTTACTGTTTAGCACTTCCTTCCATTTACTTTGTGTTTGTTTTTCTAGCTTCTTTATTTATTTATTATACTTTAAGTTTTAGGGTACATGTGCACAACGTGCAGATTTGTTACATATATGTACATGTGCCATGTTGGTGTGCTGCACCCATTGACTCGTCATTTAACATTAGGTATATCTCCTAATGCTATCCCTCCGCCCTCCCCCCACCCCACAACAGGCCCCGGTGTGTGATGTTCCCCTTCCTGTGTCCATGTGTTCTCATTGTTCAATTCCCTTTTCTAGCTTCTTAAGATGAAAACTTAGAGCACTGATTTTAAAGCCTTCTTTTTTAAAGTAGACATTTAAAGCTATACATTTCGTTTTTTTTGACACAGAGTCTTGCTCTGTCGCCCAGGCTGGAGTGCAGTGGCGGATCTCGGCTCACTGCAAGCTCCGCCTCCCGGGTTCATGCCATTCTCCTGCCTCAGCCTCCCGAGTAGCTGGGACTACAGGCGCCCACCACCATGCCCAGCTAATTTTTTTGTATTTTTAGTAGAGATGGGGTTTCACCATGTTAGCCAGGGTGGTCTCGATCTCCTGACCTCGTGATCCTCCTGCCTCAGCCTCCCAAAGTGCTAAGATTACAGGCATGAGCCACCGTGCCTGGCCTGTACATTTCCTTTTAAGCATCACTAGAGCTGTGTCCCACAAATTTTGATTTTTTTTTTTTTTGAGACAGTCTTGCTCTGTTGTCCAGGCTGGAGTGCAATGGCATGATCTTGGCTGACTGCAAACTCCACCTCCCAGGCTCAAGCAATCCCCTGCCTTAGCCTCCCAAGAAGTTGGGACTATAGGTGCACACCACTAACACCACTATGCCCAGCTAATTTTTGTATTTTTTTGTACAGATGAGTTTTCATCAGGTTGCTCAGGTGGGTCTCTGACTCCTGAGGTTGGCCAGGCGTGGTGACTCACGCCTGTAATCCTAGCACTTTAGGAGGCTGAGGGGGGTGGGTCACTTGAGGTGTGGAGTCCAAGACCAGCCTGGCCAACATGATGAAACCCCGATCCTATTAAAATACAAAAATTAGCCAGGTGTGGTGGCAGGCACTTGTAGTCCTAGCTACTCGGGAGGCTAAGGCAAGAGAATTGCTTGAACCCGGGAGGGAGAGGTTGCAGTGAACCGAAATTGCATCACTGCACTCCAGCGTAGGCAACAGAGCAAGACTCTGTCTGAAAAAAAAAAAAATATATGATCCACCCTCCTTGGCCTCCCAAAGTGCTGGGATTACAGGCGTGAGCCACCATGCCTGGCCCCCAGTATAAAATTTTAAGAATTATTAATTATTACTGATTAAGGTTATTAAATGCATAACACTAATTACTTGCCAGCTATTGGTAGTCTTTTTCTTCTCTAGTTCATCCAGGGAACTCTTAAATTACATCTTCAGCAGAATAATCCTTAAATGTACTTTATTTTAATTTTTTTTTTGAGACAGAGCCTCGCTCTGTTACACAGTGTGGAGTACATGGGCATGATTACGGCTCACTGCAGCCTCTGTCCTGGCTCACTGCAGCCTCTTACCTGCTGGGCTCAAATGATCCTCCCACCTCGGCTTCCTAGGTAGCTGGGACTACAGGCACATGCCACTATGCCCAGCTAATTAAAAAAATTTTTTTGTAGAGACTAAGTCTCACTGTGTTGCCCAGGTTGGTTTCGAACTCCTTGACTCAAGTGATCCTCTTGCCTTGCCCTCCCAAAGTGTTGGGATTACAGGCATGAGCCACTGTGCCTGGCCCTTCAGTGCACTTCATAAGCAAAATGGGAGCTTTTGTTTATGTACTTTTTTTGTATTTTGCTGTTCCTAATTTTATTCTGAAACTCAGTTTTACTCCAGGCCATAAATAACGTATTAACTTTGTAATGCACAGTTGTTTCCAGTTCAGCAAAGCAGTAGTTCATTATCAGGCTGTATTCACCCAGAGGTTAGGAAAACCAGGATTGGTCACACCTTTTAAAACAAATCTATCTCATGTTATTTTTCAATGTGTAGTTTCAGCCTAAATTCTGACAATGAAATTGTATGAATTCCTATCTGTGAGATGAGATATCTTGATTTTCAAAAGTAGCCAAAGGGAGTTCCTCGCAGCTTACCTTTGCTCGGCTGAAGCTGAAAACTTTGTAACTTCATATTGCCAGTGATTTTCCCTTTGCCTTGAAAGAAGGAGAACTGAGGATTCATTTTACCACTTCAATCACTAAAGCCAGTAAATCCTAGTCAGTCTTTGTGATTGTGTGGTCAGCTTTCTCATCTGAGTTAGAGTTAGAAAGCACTGATCCTTTGTGTTCTTTACCTCCACCACTAGGTGGCTTCTTTACCCCCTAGGCCATTCATTCTTCACCTTAAAGGCAAAAATACCACGGATTTTCTTCACAATCTGTCCACTTTCCTCTTCAGGCTTCCTCTAAATCTCTTTAAACACAAGATTTGCCTTAAATCCATTCCCTGTAAAGCTGGTTGGAGCAGCCTAATTTGATGAGTTCTAAAAGAACTGGCAGCTTTGAGAAAACACATCTTGTGAAGTGTTAAAACCCCAGCTTCTCTAAGGCCTAAATTATGCTGCACGCCAACCTTTGCATCAGGAGCTTGCCTCTTTCTAGCTTCCTTTCTCAGCTGCTAGCAAAGTTCAGCACACTGAACCAGCTGTTTATTGGTTTATTATAAAGGATATTATAAGGGATACAGATGAAGAGATTCATAGAGTACGGTCTGGAAGGGTCTTGAATGCAGGCACTTCTGCTGGAGGAGTTGGGGTGCACTGACCTCCCAGCACGTGGTTGCATTCACCAACCACGAAGCTCCTGAAAATCTCAGCCTTTTATTTGTTTGTTTTTTCCATAGCCCCAAATAACATGGCCAGCTTTGACTTTTTTTTCCCTTTTTTTTTAGACAGAGTCTCGCTCTGTCATCCAGGCTGGAGTGCAGTGGCACGATCTCAGTTCACTGCATCCTCTGCTTTCCAGGTTCAAGCCCTTCTCCTGCTTCAGCCTCCTGAGTAGCTTGGAATTACAGGCGCGTGCCACCACGCCCAGCTAATTTTCTTTTTTTTGAGATGGAGTCTCGCTCTGTCACCCAGGCTGGAGTGCAGTGGCGCGGTCTAGGCTCACTGCAAGCTCCGCCTCCCGGGTTCACACCATTCTCCTGCCTCAGCCTTCCGAGTAGCTGGGACTACAGGCGCCCGCCACCACGCCTGGCTAATTTTTCGTATTTTTAGTAGAGACGGGGTTTCACCCTGTTAGCCAGGATGGTCTTGATCTCTTGACCTCGTGATCTGCCCACCTCGGCCTCCCAAAGTGCTGGGAATTACAGGCGTGAGCCATCGTGCCCGGCCCCCCCACCTTTTTTTTTTTTTAAGTAGAGATGGGGTTTTGCTATGTTGGCCAGGCTCGTCTCAAACTTCCTTACTTCAAGTGGTCTGCCTACCTCAGCCTCCCAAAGTGCGGGGATTATAGGCATGAGCCACCGAGCCCAGCCTCTTTTTCCTTTCCTTTTCTTTTTTTTTCTTTCGAGACAGGGTCTTTGTTGCTCGGGCTGGAGTGCAGCGGTGCAACCATAGCTCACTGCCGCCATGACCTCCTGGGCTCAAGCAATCCTCCTGCCTCAGCCTCCTGGACCACAGGTGTGCGCTACTGTGCTTGACTAAATTTTTTATTTTTTGTAGAGAAGAGGTCTTACTGTGTTGCCTAGGTTTGTCTCAAATTCCTAGGCTCAAGCAATCCTCCTGCTTCAGCCTCTCAAAGTGCTGGCGTTACAGGCATGAGACACTGCACTTAGCCCTATATATTTTTAAATTCACCTTACAGTGAACTTATTTTATAATAGTTTAATGAGGCAGCTGGTCCAAGTGCACTGGTGTTTACAACTAAATGATCACAACTGATTACAGATTTCTTTTTTAATATTAAAAATTTTTTTTAAACACCAGCTGACCCATGTTCAGACAAATTTTTTCTTTTTTTTTTTTGATATAGGGTCTCACTCTCTGTTGCCCAGGCTGGAGTGCAGTAGTGTGATTGTGGCTACCTGCAGCTTCAGCCTCTTGAGCTCAAGTAATCCTTCCATCTCAGCATCCCAAGTGCCCAACTACAGGCATGTGTCACTATGCCCACCTAATTTTTCTATTTTTTTGTAGAGATGGGGTTTTGCCATGTCGCCCAGGCTGGTCTCAAACTCCTGGGCTCAAGCAATCTGCCGCCTCAGCCTCCCAGAGTGCAGGGATTGCAGGCTGAGCCACCATACCTGGCCCAGATAAATTTCTTTTATCCTACTCTACTGGCCTTAAAAACAAAAATAAACAGCCGGGTGCGGTGATTCACGCCTGTAATCCGAGCACTTTGGGAGGCCGAGGCAGGCGGATCACCTGAGGTTGGGAGTTCGAGACCAGGCTGACCAACATGGAGGAACCCTGTCTCTACTAAAAATACAAAATTAGCCAGGCGTGGTGGCACATGCCTGTAATCCCAGCTACTCGGGAGGCTGAGGCAGGAGAGTCGCTTGAACCCGGGAGGTGGAGGTTGCGATGGCCGAAATCATGCCATTGGACTCTAGCCTGGGTAACAAGAGCAAAACTCTGTCTCAAAAACAAAAACAAAAACAAGCAAACAAAAAAACAGCTCTCTCTCTCTACATATAGATATATATGAGTCTTTTGTCTTTTAAGGAAATCAAGTAGAAAAAAGCTAGTTTTTAGCATTTAACTATTTATTTACCATTTTTGGTGTTTTCATTTCTTCCTGTAGGTCCAAATGACAGGTCTACTGTTGAAAAATTTTCTGAGCTTTCATTTATCTGAATGTTTTTATTTCAGCCTTTCAGCCTTGTTTTTGAATGATATATTTTGCCAGTTTGACAGTTTTTTCTTTTTGGTCTTTTAAAGATGTCATTGTATCGTCTCCTGGCTTTCAGTGTTGCTGATGAAAAGTCGACAGTAATCATATCGTTCTTGCCTCATATATGATTAATTATATTTCTCTGGCTGTTTTCAGGATTTTTTTTTTTTAATTTTAGTATTCAGCTGTATGACGATGATATGCCTAGCTTTAGTTTTGAGTTTGCTCAGCTTCTTGCATCTTTTACTGTATTAGGGAAATTTTAAATTACTTTTAATAGTTTCTCTGTTTAATCCTCTCGTTCTGGAACTCCACCAACATAGTTTACCCCATGTGACGTTCTACAGGTTACCAAAGCTCTGACCACCTTTTTCCAATCTTTTTTCCTCCATTTCAGTTTTGATAGTTTCTATTGTCATAGCGTCAAGTTCACTGACTCTGTCTTTTGTCTTCAATCTGCTGTTAAACCCATTTAGTGAATATTTTATTTCTGATACTGTATTTCTTATTTCTGTAATTTTCACCTGGTTTTTATTTTATTTTATTTTATTTTATTTTTGAGATGGAGTCTCGCTCTGTTGCCCAGGCTGGAGTGCAGTGGTGCGATCTCGGCTCACTGCAAGCTCTGCCTCCCAGGTTTACGCCATTCTCCTGCCTCAGCCTCCCGAGTAGCTGGGACCACAGGTGCCCGTCATGCGCCCGGCTAATTTTTTGTATTTTTAGTAGAGACGGGGTTTCACTATGTTAGCCAGGATGGTCTTGATCTCCTGACCTAGTGATCCGCCTGCCTCAGCCTCCCAAAGTGCTGGGATTACAGGTGTGAGCCACTGCACCTGGCCTCCTCCTGGTTATTTTTTATAGTTTCCATTTCTCTGCTGAGATTTCCCCATCTCTTCACTATACTTTCCTCTGAATCGTGAAACATCTCTATAATGAATGGCTCCTTTAACTTTTTTGTTTGTTTATTCTAATATCTAGATCATATTGGAATCTGTTTCTTTTTTTCTTTTTTTTCTGAGTCTGCTTGCCAGGGAATGGGATCTTTTTCTTTTTCTTTTTTTTTGAGGCGGAGTCTCGCTCTTTTGCCCAGGCCAGAGTGCAGTGGCGCAATCTTGGCTCACTGCAAGCTCCGCCTCCCGGGTTCACGCCATTCTCCTGCCTCAGCCTCCCAAGTAGCTGGGACAACAGGCGCCCACCACCACGCCCGGCTAATTTTTTGTATTTTTAGTAGAGACGGGGTTTCACTGTGTTAGCCAGGATGGTCTCGATCTCCTGACCTCGTGATCTGCCTGCCTCGGCCTCCCAAAGTACTGGGATTACAGGCGTGAGCCACCGTGCCCAGCCTTGACTTTTTCTTTTCTTTTCCTATCACATTTTCCTATCTTTTCTCATGTCATGTGGGTTTTAAAAAATAATTAATTTTTTGGTCTCCGTCACGGGTTTTTTTGTTTGTTTTTGTTTGAGACAGAGTCTCGCTATGTCACCCAGTCTAGAGTATAGTGGCGTGATCTTGGCTCACTGCAACCTCCGCCTCCCAGGTTCAATCGATTCTCCTTCCTCAGCCTCCTGAGTAGCTGGGACTACAGGTGCGCACCACCATGCCTGGCTAATTTTTTTTTTTTTATTTTGAGACGGAGTCTCACTCTGTCGCCAGGCTGGAGTGCAGTGGTGCTGTCTCAACTCACTGCAACCTCTGTCTCCTGGGTTCAGGTGATTCTCCTGCCTCAGCTTCCCAAGTAGCTGGGACTACAGGCGCGCACCACCATGCCCAGCTAATTTTTTTTTTTTTTTTTTTTTTTTTTTTTTGTATTTTTAGTAGAGACAGGGTTTCACCATGTTGGCCAGGATGGTCTCAATCTCTTGACCTTGTGATCCACCCGCCTTGGCCTCCCAAAGTGCTGGGATTACAGACGTGAGCCACCGTGCCCAGCCTAATTTTTATATTTTTAGTAGAGGTGGGGTTTCATCACGTTGGCCAGGCTGGTCTCGAACTCCTGACCTCAAGTGATCCACCTATCTTGGCCTCCCAAAGGGCTGGGATTATAGGCGTGAGCCACTGTGCCCGGCCATTTTTTTTTTTTTTGAGATGGAATCTCACTCTGTTGCCCAGGCTGGAGTTCAGTAGCATGATCTCAGCTCACTGCAACCTCTGCTTCCTGGGTTCAGGTGATTCTTCTGCCTCAGCCTCCCAAGTTGGGATTACAGGTGCATGCCACCATGCCTGGCTAATTTTTGTATTTTTAGCAGAGATGTGGTTTCACCATGTTGGCTAGGCTGGTCTCGAACTCCTGACCTCAAGTGATCCACTCACCTCAGCCTCCCACAGTGCTAGGATTATAAGAAGTGAACCACCATGCCCGGCCAACCGTGAGTTTTTTTGAAATTGCATACTAGGCCAGGCGTAGTGGCTCATGCCTGTAGTCCCAACACTTTGGGAGGCCAAGGCGGGTGGATCACGAGGTCAGGAGATAAAGACCATCCTGGCTAACACAGAAACCCTGTCTCTACTAAAAATGTGAAAAATTAGCCAGGCGTGGTGGCGTGCGCCTGTAGTCCCAGCTACTTGGGAGGCTGAGGCAGGAGAATGGCATGAACCCGGGATGCAGAGGTTGCAGTGAGCTGAGATCGCGCCACTGCGCTCCAGCCTGTGAGACAGAGCAAGATTCCGTCTCAAAAAAAAAAAATGAAATCACATACCAGACATTGTGAATGATGTGTTGTAGAGTGTCTGGATTATGTTTTTTCTTTTTTTTTTTAAAGCGCAGTGGGCCAGGCGCGGTGGTTCACACCTCTAATCCTAGTATTTTGGGAGGCTGAGACGGGAGGATTGCTTGAGCCCAGAAGTTCAAACCCAGACTGAGCAACATGGCAAGATCCCATCTCTACAAAGAAAAAAAAAAAAAAAAAAAAAAAAGCCAGGCTTGGTGGCACACGTCCCCTAGCAATTCAGGAGGCTGAGGCAGGAGGATTGCTTGAGCCTGGGAGATCAAGGCTGCAGTGAGCTGTGATCACAGCACTGCATTCCAGTCTGGAAGACATCAAGACTCTGTTTCAATAAACAAAACAGAATAAAAAATAGTGTTGACTTTTGTTCTGGAAAACTGTTAATGTACTGCCAACTTCTTTGTTCCTGTTAAGGCTTGTCTTAAAGCTTTGTTGAGGCAGATCTAGACTGGTCTTTAATCTAGGACATCCTTTCTCCAATGGGATTTCTCATCTGATTTACAGAAAATAATTTGAATTACTATTATATTTTATTATTTTCTTCTTTTCCCAGAACAGTCTCATGGTAGGCATGAGTTATTATTTTCTAAGTTCTCTAAGGATGGTTATACTAATACTATACTATTAATAGATAAGTGAGAGAAGGGAATGCATTGCATACAGTGGCTGCTTTAATGCATTAGTACTTAATTCTCATGCTACATCCCTGGTAGAGAAAGGCTACTCTAGGGTATCGTTTTTATCTCTAATGGTGATCTTTCTGGTGTCTGAGGTGAATGTATTTGGGTATTAATGAGGTCTTTCCATTAGGATGCACCTGAACTCTATTGTCATATGGTGTTTTATGACTTTTAGCATCTTCCTTCTGCCTTCATGGCTTTAGCAGCTGTTCTCTTTTAAGCCTTATATTCTGGACATATGCAACCCATACTTAGGCCAAGGTATCATGGGGTATTTCCACCAGGCCTGTGAGGTACCCCTCTACACAGTTCCTTTTTAGAACTATGCTCCTAAAGATTCCCTACCTCTGCAGCCTAGTTGGATTGCTGTACCCTGTTTGGCCTTCACCTCCCTTTCCTTGGTTAGGAAATTGAGCCCAGGCAGAGAGCCAAGGTAAACATGGGCACATCTTGTCTGTTTTCCTTCTCTCCGTGATTGTAGTCTTGCTCTCACTATTGTCCTTTGCTTGAAAATAATTGATGCATATATTTTGTCAGTGTTAAAAGTCATTCGTGGTGGAGTTGGATATGTAGGACCTGTCCATAATGAGTTACTTTGCCAAGGCCAGAAGTGGAAATTATGGGATTTATTTTGTGATCATGGAATTTGGCCTGTTACTGGTTCTTACCTATGAAATCATTGACTAGTTTCAATATATTTCTTTGAGAAAGTTTTAAATTGTTCTGAATTATATTACCAATTAAGTAAAATATGAGGTAGCACTGTTTTAGAATTAAATGCCTGAAGCCTATTGATATTTCTTTTAGGACATTTAATTTAGTGTTTATAGCCAATCATTTTTTGTGGAGGTAACATTTGTTAACTTTTGAGGAAATGTTTAAATAACAGTATGATCTTTTAAGGCAGAAATAAGATTATCTTTGAAAACTTCTGTATTGATAATAAGTTTTGTGAAGAAAAACAAAAGAATGGGAAAGAAGGGCAACCTGTACATTAAAAGATGTTAATGTCATATCAGGTTTTAAAAATATGGGCAAGGCTAAACTGTATCATCTAAGAATACACACTTGGGTCATAAACAATAAGGAAATACAAGAAAGTGATTGCTTTACAAGTCATATTAGTGGTTAAGTTCTTTTGAAGGGAGGAAGGGGGCATGAAGTACTTCCTTTGTTTTATGTGATATTCTCTCTCTCTTTTTTGCAATTAAAAAGCTTTATTTTTGTGCTTTTAATAAAAACTTGTAGATCACTGACGTGTAGATGGGAAACATTGGCTGTTTGTTTCCTCTCCTACGATGTGTTTGCGTGATCAGACGTCTTCAGACACAAACTTATGCCCTCAGTCTTCCTAATGACTTTAGGATGGATTGAGCCTTAAGCCTTAAACATCTCCCTCTTAATGGAAGTAATCTGGTAGTAAACTGAGGACAGGGATTTTTGGGGCTGAGAAAAATGTGAGGAAATGTGCCTTAATATATAGAAGTTTGTCAGGATAAACTTGGCCTGCTTCAAAATTTCACTTAGTTGTTTCTCTATAGTCTTCTCTCCATGCTACTTGAAATATATTAGAACAATGATGTCAGAGGTTTAACCTGTTACGAATACTTAATTTTTTAAAAGTTAATACCAGTGAGCTTAGTCATAGGTTTGATCTGCTTTCATGTTTGTTGACTTTATTTTTTTCTGTCCTCTGTAAATCCAGCTTCCATTGCTGATTCATGCTATTGGTAATGAGAATCAAGAAGCTCAGTAAAAATCTTTCATCCTTATTTTTAAAAAGCCGAAGGTTTAAGTAACTTGCCTATTGGCAAAGACATATTAAGTAGAGAGCAGTATGTTATTCCTAAGAGTTTCATTTTAATGCTTACTGCATTTAAAAAAAAATGCTTGTTTTATGAGAGAAAATTACCATAGGGTTTTTTGTTGTTAACAGAATAAATTTAAACGGGAAGAGAAAACAAATGGATGGAGAATAGACAAAGCATTCCGTAAGTATTAAGACCTCTTTTACAAAGTATTACTTGAAGAGCCTAAAAAATGACCAGTCTTTTGTCTTTGGCTTTAGTGTGTTTTAGATTTGTTTTGTTCCTGTATTGGCATTAAGAGGAAGCAGTCTGAAATTTTTCTGTTTAGCAGTATGGGTCTGGCACTTGCTACAAATATATTGGCAGGAGATTATCCAGAACATCTAGGTGCAGGTAAACAGTTCTAAGTCCAAGAAGTTATGGAGGGATTGATGCTACCACTTCTAAGTGTTATTTATTCTGAAGGAACTGTATGGGAGGAGATCATTGTTTCTGGAAGACAGTACTATTAGTTATATAGATGGTTCTTTCTGGTTCTGAATGACTAATCAGTCATTCAGTCAATAACACTGACCACCTACTATATGGTAGTCATTGTTCTAGGTATTGAGCATGTAATGGTGGAAGATAAATGGCAGATGAGAATCCTGCATTTAGAACCTTAAGTCTGATTGGATGGCGGAAGAAATATAGTTGATAAGCATAATTTTAGGTAGTGATTCATTTCCAAAAAGAAGAAAAAAGAGAGGGTGGATGTTTAGGTCTCTTTTTTCCTAATGATCATTGGATCATTAGGGAAGTTCTGTCTGAAGAGATACACTAGCATTTGAATTTAGATCTCATCTGAAGGAATGATAGATATCTTGCAATTTCTAACTAAAATCCTCATTAAAATTAACATATTTTTCTTCAAGTCTAGAGAAAGATATCAAAGGATCTATAAAGAAAAATACATTTACTGTTAAAAATAGTTCTTGTATTTTTTGATTACAAGATAGGTCTTTTTTTCACCACAGCTGTGGACAGGAATATATTTTTTGTGGATTTACAATTATCAGTATTTTATGATTAATAAATGTATTCAATGTCCATTTAGTCGTAAGATTAGCCATAGTGCTAATTTTAGAAAAAAAAAATCCAAATGTAGAGAGTACCTACATTATGTAGCATGTATATTTATTTTATGAGTAGACACTAAGGTAGGTGGGTGGATCCTACACCCAGTGTTTTATCGGGTCTTTAGGGAAACTGCTTTGAGGAATGGCTCTTAGAAGATCTGGAATATTGTGCTCCTCAGCCCATTCCATATTAGAGAAGTGGTCCTGAAACTTCATTAAGTGTAACACATTATAGTCAGAAAATAATTCGTAAATCTATAAACAGTCTATTTGGATTGTGAAGCATTTTTATAGACTATTATAATAGATATTTTTAAAATTTATTGATCTTAAACAGGATACAGTGTTGTATGCCTATAGGCCCAGCTACTCTCAGGAGTCGCTGAGGCAGGAGGATCTTTTCAGCCGAAGAATTCGAGGCCAGCCTGGGCAACACAGCAAGATCCTATCTCAAAACTAGAAACAACTCATTGATTTGGAGGCTTTCTATTGGAAATTTTTTTTTTAAATTAAAACCTATATAAGTTTTTTGAGAGAACTTATGTTTTGAATTTCTCTGAGAACCATGTGGAGATCCTTTATGATTCTTTGAGTGCTATGTCTTTCAGAATCATTGTGGAGAGTCAGAACAAATGAAGTCTGGGTCAACAGTGAAATAGGGTCTTCAGGAATCCCAGATTTGGGTTTAGTTTCCAGAGATTCTTTTTATTTTAGTATATACCTTCTTTTCTGAGGCTATCTTGTAATCAAACCAGTCTTTGGCTTATGTGCATAGAGCACCATTTTCTCTACATTGACTTTAAGTTCAAGCAAGGATTTGCCTCCTGGTCTGGATTCATTCCTGGAGTGTTCACTGATTACTTTCAGATATAATGCTGTTGATAGGTATTTAGTGGGCATGTTCCTGATTAAATTCATTTACTTCCCACTTTGCTGATACTTATAAGAGTAAATGGTGAAATGGTTGTGATAAAGGTAGGGCATATGGTGGTGAACAGGCATTTCAAGGACTTCTCAGTCCATAAAAAAATTGATTTATATTTATACACAGCTCAAAGTGTAGTTCAAGTTTTGACAAAGAATATGCCTGTGTAATCACTACCCCAAACAATAGAGGAAATGTTTTCATCACTTCACAAGGTCTATTATGTCCCTTTCTGAACAATCAAATGCTGTCCTCCTGGCCCAAGGCAACCACTATTTTCATTTTAATCACCATAGATAGCTTAGTGTGTTCTAGAATATCTTATACATGGTATCATATAGTATGTACCCTAGTATCTGTTTTCTTCCACTCAGTATGTTTTTGAGATTCCCTCATATTATTGCATGTATCAGTAGTTTGTTCCTTTTGTTTTGTTTAAAACTAGTTTATTTGCAATAAACAAATTATTACAAATTTGTAATAAATTATTATTTGTAATAAACTAGTTTATTTGTTTCGTTGCTGAGTGGTGTTCTGATGTGAACTAATCTATTTCCCTGCTAAGACCAACCTATTCTGTTGCTGAGTGGTGTTCTGTTGTGTATTTGTTTTTCTGTTCTCCTACTGATAAACAAACCCATTTGCTTTTGATGTTATGATACTTTAAAAGCTAGAAGTAGCTTTTAAAAATAAAAACTTGAAAGTTCTTTTCCTTTTCTTTAAACAGAGGAAAAGCGCCCTTTTGACTTCGATTTTTTTGCTCATTTGCTTCAGAAAGTTCTTGCTGAAGAAGAGAAAAGAAAACAAAAATCTGTTAAAAATCACAGTTTAAAGGAGAAGAAATCCACCAAACCACGGAAAAATGTAAAAGGTATTGATTTTAAAAGGAAGTGTGATAGTTTACTTAGTAGTAATAAACTTGCAATATTGTCCCTCAGGCCTTTGAGAGTTCATGTGTAGCTCAGGTAGTTAAGATCATCAAAGCATCCAGTTGGAGGGAGTATATGTTTTTTCAATCAACTAGTTATCTGGTCCAAAACAATAGCTTTCTTTTAAAATTTTTAACTGGCGTGATTGGGTTATTTGATATCTCTCTAGCATAGAGGATAGTTGTAGCCAGTCAAAGAGCATCAGAATTTGGAGTGTTGTATTTCATGTTTGATTATTTATTATCATTTTCCTCTGTAAAACAAATCTGGTATAAAATTCTAGGATTAAAAAAAGGAACTCTAATCTTCTGGGGTTGTGACTAGACTGTATTGGTTGAGCGTAACTTATTTCTGAAGGCTAATGTTGAGTTGTAACAGGTAGAAATTGTATATATGTAGGTATTTTTATTTTTAGGCTTATGTTTTCTTAACTATTTGAACTCTGGTCTATAAGGACAATGTTTAGCTATAATCACATAAAGAAGACGCTCGGAACTATAGGGAACCTTATATGTTAGCTAGCTTACATTTTAGCCCCCTTTGTGTTGTTTTTTTCTTTTTTTCTGTTTTTTTTGAGACAGAGTTTCGCTCTGTTGCCCAGGCTGGAGTGCAGTGGCACGATCTCGACTCACTGCAAGCTCCGCCTTCCGGGTTCACGCCATTCTCCTGCCTCAGCCTCCCGAGTAGCTGGGATTACAGGTGCCCGTCACCACACCCGGCTAATTTTTTTTGTATTTTTAGTAGAGACGGGGTTTCACCATGTTAGCCAGGATGGTCTTGATCTCTTGACCTCATGATATGCCTGCCTCGGCCTCCCAAAGTGCTGGGATTACAGGCGTGAGCCACCGTGCCCGGCCCTTTGTATTGGTTTTAATCACCAAGAAACAGCCCCAGAGATCGTAAGACACTTTTTCCTAAGGACTCACAGTGTGTGTAGTGGCAGAGGCAGAACTGAAACCTGGGATGGTGAGAGCCTGTGTTGGGGGTCCCCACGACCACCACCGGGGTTCGATTATCCACTAGGAAGACTAAGGATTCAGCATCCTCTGCCTGGAACATACAAAAATTTCGGATTTTCAAAAGAAAAGCAGTTCAGCATAAACCACATTGTACAGCTAAGGCACAGTGAGCCACTCTTATCAGTTAGGGTGGTAGGAACCCTTCCCAGAACCAAATTCTGAGACATGGCCCAAGGGCCAACCTTATAAGAAGGATTTTCAAAGGATAGCAGTCAAGCCTGCAAAATTAACTCTTTACTGTTCAAAGCTAGGCTAGAATTTCTTCTTCTGGGGCATATCTTTTAAAAAGTAGTATTGATAACTACAAAATACCTTTATTCTTAGTAGTCTTTTTTTTTTACTTACACATAATCGTAGAAGATTATGTATCTTCTTGTATGTTACAGGTGATAACATGAGTAACTCACTGTATCTTACTTAATGTAAGAACTTTTTTTTTGAGACAGGGTCTCACTTTGTTGCCCAGGCTGGAGTGCAGTGGCCTGATCTCGGCTCACTGAATCCTTCACTGCTCGAGTTCAAGCAGTTCTTTCACCTCAGCCTCCTGAGTAGCTGGAATTACAGGCATGTGCCACCATGCCCAGCTAATTTTTGTAATTTTTTTGTAGAGATGGGATTTTATCATATTGGCCAGACTGGTCTTAAACCCCTGACCTCAAATGATCGCCCACCTTGGCCTCCCAAAGTACTGGGATTGCAGGTGTGAGCCACCACGCCCAGCCAGAACTTTTTTTTTTTTTTGAGACGGAGTTTTGCTCTTGTTGCCCAGGCTGGAGTGCCATGGTGCCATCTCAGCTCACTGCAGCCTCCACCTCTCCAGTTGAAGCGATTCTCCTGCCTCAGCTTCCCAAGTAGCTGGGATTACAGGCAAGTACCACCACACCCAGCTAATTTTTGTATTTTTAGTAGAGACGGGGTTTCACCATGTTGGCCAGCCTGGTCTTGAGCTCCTGACCTCAAGTGATCTGCCTGTGTCAGCCTCCCAAAGTGCTAGGATTACAGGCGTGAGCCACCATGCCCAGCCCAGAGTTTTGCTCTTGTTGCCCAGGCTGGAGTGCAATGGTGCGATCTTGGCTCACTGCAACCTCCGCCTCCCGTGTTCAAGTGATTCTCCTGCCTCAGCCTCCCGAGCAGCTGGGATTACAGGCGCCTGCCACCATGTCCAGCTAATTTCTGTATTTTTGGTAGAGATGGGGTTTCACCATGTTGGCCAGGCTGGTCTCGAACTGCTGACCTCAGATGATCCACCCTCCTCAGCCTCCCAAAGTGCTGGGATTACAGGTGTGAGCCACCATGCCCAGCCTGTATTAAATGCATTTTCAATTTACAGTATACTCAACTTATGATGGGTTTATTGGGATGAAACCCAGTGTAAGTCAAGGAGCATCTCTATATGTAACTGTTTTTGTTTAATAAAAATGAGATTTTATGTGTATCTTGTTCTGCTTGGTTTTTTAAATGCAACAATATGCTTTGAAATTTTTCACATGACTACATATAATCTTACCTCATTATTATTATTGGCTCCGTGGATTTTTATATATTATTTAGTCATTTCCCATTAGACATTTTAGGTTGTCTTTAGGTTTTTTGTTCATACAAATAAATAATACAGAGGACATCTTTGAGTCTCTTTCCCACCTTTACAAATTTTTCTTTAGGTTGTTTAAATATTTATAGTAATTTCTCTTGTTTTCAGTGAAAAAAGTTGCCTGTGAAGGAGTGAATAATGATCCAGATGAGTCTATGAGTTCTAGAATTTCAGACACGGAAAGATCTCAGAAGGATGCTCAGACAGTTGAAGAAGAGTCTCTGACCTTATCAAGGGAGGATGCAGAGCAGGTTGCATTAGAAGTAGACCTAAATCAAAAGAAAAGAAGGAGGAAGAAGCAAGATGGAGCTAATGAACTGGGAGTAAACAATCTTTTAGAAAATGCCACTGTTCAGGCGGGTCCTTCTAAAGGAGAAAAACACAAGAGTAAGTTTCTTACATATTTAAAAAGCCTCTATATTACTTGAGAAGACATGTACAGTAATATGGTATGTAACTTAATTTTCTGTCTAGATAGCAATTAATGATGCTTATTAATTGGTTCTGTACTAATGGTACTGTGCTAACGCTGTTTATTTTTAATTAAAAAAGTTTATGTAAAAAAATTAAACAAATTAAAGTGGGGAGATTGTTCTCTAAAGTTTGTTTCTAAGATGTATCACCTCCTGTGCATTCCCATTAACTATGATTAGAAATCACATCTATATAGAGTTAAAAGTATGTTGCTATGTCTGTCAATAAAGCACAGATTTTCATGTTGTACCTCTACAGAGCACCTCTGTGAACCCACAAGGGGTTAGTTCCTATAAAAGAACTAGTGGAATATGTATTCCTTCCCTTTTTCTTTTTTACTCTTTGAATGCAAACATATTGCCACTTATGAGTTGCTTGGGGATGAGGGCTAAGAGTTTGAGGGGGAGTCTTGGTCCCTTTCCTTAAGAGTTCATATGTAGATTATTTAAAGCTGATAACCAAGGAAAAGGTAGGAGCAGACCAGAACAACCTTTCTATAAAATTTATGTTTTCTGTAGTTCAGATTTACCCATCTGATTTTAATAAAAGAGTACTGGTAGCTAACATAGTATGCTTTGTAGGCATCTCAATATTATGCTCTTTTTTGGCTTATTGGAGTCATTACGTATAATGCAGAACAGCTTAATGATTCACAACCAGGTTTTAGAAATCAAACAGACCTTGCTTTAAATTCCAGCTTTTTTACTTGCTTAAGTATTGCATTGGGAAAGTTACTTAAGATCTCTGAACTCAGGGGGTTCTCTATGAGGTTAATGTTAATATATTTTAATAGGATTGTTTCAAGTATTAAATGAGATAATGCATCTGATGGACTTAAGGGTTCCTGCCGCTTAGTAAGTACTTAATAAATGATAGCTATTACTGTGTTACTAATTAGTATACTTCTGAAGGAGCAAAAGAATAGTTAAGTCAACTTTTAGTTTCCCTACTTGACATATAAAATAAGCCACTTTAAATACTTAGAATTTAAGATAAAAGGAAGATGCTACAAATTGCCCAAGAAGCTTGAGCTGATCCTCATATATGTTAAGTTTTTATTATGGTCTAAAAATAAGATGTGTGCCTTGCAAATAGGGACTTGAATGTTGCTTAAGGTTTTGTAGGAAAAGAGTGTTATAGGTAAATTCCTTTGTGCTCTAAAAAAGATGTTTTTGCTGTCATTTTTTAGAATAACATGCATTTTGTATTTGTAGATAAATGTCAGGCTATAAGGCCTGAGCTAAAGGAAGGTGAATGCAGTAAGGAGCAGATGCTTTCCTGCACACAAAACATAGATGGCATTGTGGGTTTTGCCTCCACTGAAAAAGTTGAGAAAAGAACTGACCCCATCCTTTCATTAAGGTATTTTCTGTGTCTTTTCTGGTTTTATCCACATCTGTTGATTACTGAGAAAGGAGTGTTGAAGTCTCCATCTGTAACTGTGGATTTGCCTGTTTCTTTTTTTCAGTTCTATTTGTTTTTGCTCCATATATTTTGAAGCTCTGTTGTTAGGTGTGTACATATCTAGGATTGTTTTGTCTTGGTGAAATTCCCTTTATCATTATGTACTATCCTTCTGGTATTGCTCTTTTTTTCTGATGTTTACTTTGCTATTGTAGCTTTCTTTTGGTTGGCGTTTGCATGGGTTTATCATTTTCTGTAATGATTTTCTCTATTTTTGGTTTTCGTTAGTTTGAATGTGATGTGTCTTGCTGTGTGTGTGTGTGTTTTTAAATTTTATTTTGTAATATAAAATCATGAGATTTACCCTCAATAGATTTTTTATGTGTACTATACAGTGTTGTTAACTATAAGCACAGTGTTGTATTGCTGATCTCTGGAATTTTTTTTTACCTTGCATAACTGCACCTCTATACCTATTGAACAGCAACTCCTATTTCCTCCGCCTCCCAGCCCTTGGCAATCATGATTCTTTCTTTGTTTTGTTTTGTTTTGTTTTGTTTTTGAGATGGGGTCGGTCTCTGTCACGCAGGCTGGAGTGCAGTGGCACGATCTCAGCTCACTGCAACTTCCACCTCCCAGGCTCAAGCAATCCTCCCATCTCAGCCTCCTGAGAAGCTGGGACCACAGGCATGTACCACCATACCTGGATAATTTCTTGTATTTTTGGTAGAGACAGGGTTTCACCATTTTGCTCAGGCTGGTCTTGAACTGAGCTCAGGTGATCCACCTGCCCTGGCCTCCCAAAGTGCTGGGATTACAGGTGTGAGTCACAGCGCCCAGCCTCATGCAGTATTTTTCTTTCTGTGACTGGCTTATTTCACTTAATGTAATGTCCTCAAGGTTCATCCATGGTGTAGCATATGAGAAGATTTCCTTTTTTATGAGCAAATAATATTCTAGTACATGTATAGACCACATTTTCTTTATGGACATTTAGGTTGTTTTTGTCTGTTGGCATCACTGAACATGGGAGTGCAAATATCTCTTTGAGATCCTGATTTCAGTTCTTGTGGATAAATACCCAGAAGTGGGGTTGCTAGATCATATGGTAGTTCTACTTTTAATTTTTTGAGGACCCTCCATACTGTTTCCAATAGCGGGTACACCATTTTACATAACCACCAACAATGTACAGGGTTCCAGTTTTTTTCACATCTTCTTCAATACTTGTTATCTTTTATTTTATTAATAATGTCCTTCTGAACAGGTAGAAGGTGGTTTCTTATGGTTGTTTTGATTTGCATTTCCCGGATAATTATTGAGTTGAGCATCTTTCATAGCTGTTAGCCATTTGTATATCTTCTTTGGAGACATGTCTATTCAGGTCCTGTGCCCAATTTTTTAATTAGGTTATTTTCTTTTTTGCTATTGAGTTTTGAGAATTATTTATATAGTTTGGATTTTAGGACCTTATCAGAAATATGATTTACACATTTTCTCCCATTCCATAGGTTGCCTTTTCACTCTGCTGTTTCCTTTGGCGTACAGAAGTTTTTTAGTTCAATGTAGTCCCATTTGTCTAATTTTGCTTTTGTTGCCTATACTTTTGGTGTCATATCTAAGAAACTGTTGCCAAAAACAAACTTAAAGCTGTTTACTATTTTTAAGCATACAATTTAGTGGCATTATTTACATTTACATTGTTGTGCAGCCATCAGCACTATTTCTAAAGCTATTTTATCACTGGAAACAGAAAACCTGTACCCATTATGCAGTAATTCCTCATTCTCCCCTCCCTGCAACCACTGATAATCTCTAATCTGCTTTCTGTTTCTCATCCAAGTATTAATCAGGACCAGACTTGCTTAGTTTGAGATCAAATTAGGCTCATTGAGAGCGGTAAGGATGTAGACAACTTTCTGTCTCTATGACTCTGTCTAATCTAGATATTCACATAAGTGGAATCATATGCTATTTCTCATAGTTGTTTGTTCCTAGGTGACAGATAATCTAAAGTGTGAGTTCAGAGATACACCTAATTTCATAAACTACACAAAACTGTACTCGTGACTTTTTCTAATTTTTAAAATAATTAAAAAATGTTGTGACAGGGTCTTACTCTGTTGCTCAGGCTAGAGTGTAGTAGCGTGATCACAGCTCACCACAACCTTGAACTCTTGGGCTCAAATGATTCTATCACCTCAGCATCTCGAGTAGCTGGGACTACAGTCATGGGACACCATGACTGGCTAATTTTAAAAACATTTTTTAGTAGAGATGTTTTCCAGGCTGGTCTCAAACTCCTGGGCTCAAGCAATCCTCGCACCTCAGCATGAGCCACTGTGTCTGGCCCTAGCTTTTTCTAATTTAGGGGAAAAACAACCTTGTAATGACTGTTAAAGTCCCAGTTGGTTTTGGAAAACAAAGAGTTGATTCTAAAATTGTCATGTACACAAGAACAAAGGCTCAAGAATGGTAAAGACAGTTTTAAAAAACACCAACTTTGCAGAGGGACTGTGCTAGTAGACTAATTTTCGAGCTAGAGTAACTAAAGCAGCATGGTATTGGTGTAGGGTTAGATGAATTGACTCAGTGGAACTGAATATAGAGTTTAGGAAGAGACATTTAGGAATCTGTTATATGGCAGAGGTAGCTTTAGAAATTAGCGGGCAAAGATAGAACTAACTTCATTAGATTGAGCTGAGATTTGAAAAACATAATATTTGATCCTTGTGTTACCATATCCGCTAACTTCCTGATGGATTGAAGACTACATGTATAAAACAAATCTTTACAACTTTTAGAAGAAATGTAGAAAAATATCTTTGTAATGTGAAGGCCTCAGGTAAGACATTTCTATTAAGACGTAGAAAACACAGACTTTAAAAGATAAGATTGATAAGTTTGATGGTAGTAAAATTAAATACTTCTGTTAACAAATCCTCCATAAAGAAAATAAAAGGCAAGTTACTGATCGGGAGATTTTATGTGTAATATCTAGACAATAAAAATATATAGAGAACTCTTGCTGATAAGTCAGGAAAACATAAACACCTAGTAGAAAAAATGAACAAGAAAAAAAGAAAAAGGTATGGCTAAATGTGAATATGTGTTGAAATGGTCAGTGCGTGGCTATCAGTTATATTATTGTTAGTTGAAATTTATTTTGTGACAGAGTCTTGCTCTGTCGCCCAGGCTGGAATGCAGTGGTGCAATCTCAGCTCACTGCAGCCTTGACTTCCTGGGCTTAAGCAATCCTCTCACCTCAGCCTTCTGAGTAGCTAGGACTACAGGCACGTGCTACCACACCTGGCTGATATTTGAAATATTTTTTAATATAGTAGTTCTCACTTTGCGTAGGACTATGTTAACTCAACTTGAGCTTATTGGAGCTGTATCTTTGCTTTATTTGACTTTTGGTTACACAGTACCCTGCATAGCAAGGATTGCCTATATAAATTTTAATGAAAGCTAATTCCTAAATATTAGTATTATTTTACGCATGTTTGATTTGTGAACCACATTTAATAATTTCTCATTTTGAAGCCTTTTCTTTTTTTGAAACAGAGCTTTGCTCTGTCACCCAGTCTGGAGTGCAGTGGTGTGATTCCACCTCCCGGGTTCAAGTGATTCTTTTGCCTCAGCCTCCTGAGTAGGTGGGATTATAGGCCTGCACCACCATGCCCAGCTAGTTTTTGTATTTTTAGTAGAGATGGGATTTAACCATGTTGGCCAGGATGTTCCAAACTCCTGGCCTCAAGTGATCTGCCCGCCCTGGCTTCCCAAAGTGCTGGGATTACAGGCGTGAGCCACCTTGTCCGGCCTTCATTTTGAAACTTCTTGAGCATGTTCCTAAGCGTGTAAATTTGTGGCTGCTGCTTTCTCTGGAGGTACAGTTTTTATAACATGATGCAAGATGGATCATAGAAAAGCTAATGTAGCAGTTTGTATTACTCTATAATGTGAAGCAGCATCTTGCAAAATGGTGATTTTGTGTGTTTAACATTTTTAAAAATAATTATAAAATATATATCATTAGGAATTCTTTTCTCTCTGAAATATTTTCTTTTTTTTAGTAATCAACAAGATGCCACATCAGTAGCAACTGAGTCTTCAGAATCAAGCACTTCAGATTTGCCTTCATTCGAAGTTGGAATTAGAGCATTGTGTGAGGTGAATAATGCTGAGGGTAGTTGTATAGAAGAAAGAAATGTTGACCTAAAAAATAATTCACTGTAAGTATTTTATACGATAGGATTTATTTATAAAATTTTGATAAGGTTCTTAAATGATAATAATGTTGCTTCATTTAGGGATTCGAGGGGATTATTAATACATACTTTATTAATAGTAGAGGGAATCATTTAATATGTAATTATACTGTAGTCTGTTCAGAGTGTAACATCAGGTGTTTTACTTTATATTTCTTTGCAGAAAGATTCTCTTTCATATCTGTTATATAATAATGATATGAATTTTAGGAAGGTGGTAACTTACGAAATTCTAAAACAATTTGGAAGCCTAAATATTTGCCATGAGATTTTACTTTTACTTGGTTTGAGTTATTTTTTATGCCTGGTGTCAAAATAATATTTTGATATTGGTGATTTCAAGGAAGTATATCTTCCAGTATGCAGATACTGGTTAAATTAGTATCTTCCCAAGAAACGATTAAAAACATCATAAAAATCTCCCTTTGAAGAGGTATCTGAAAGTTTTATACTTCCTTTTAGTCTTCCTTGTAATTCCTCATCTCATATGGGCTTAAAAGCTATTAATAGTTTATGGGCTGGGCGCAGTGGCTCACACCTGTAATCCCAGCACTTTGGGAGGCCGAGGCGGGCGGATCAGGAGGTCAGGAGATTGAGACCATCCTGGCTAACACAGTGAAACGCTGTCTCTGCTAAAAATACAAAAAATTAGCCGGGTGTGGTGGCATGCACCTGTAGTCCCAGCTACTTGGGAGGCTGAGGCAGGAGAATGGCGTGAACCTGGGAGGTAGAACCTGCAGTGAGCTGAGATCATGCCACTGCACTCCAGCCTGGGCGACAGAGCGAGACTCCATTTCAAAAAAAAAAAAAAAAGAAAGCTATTCAGTTCATAAATTCTTATTTTTCAGTAAAGTACTGTCACAATGGAAATCAAACTTAAAAATGTCAGTCTTTGAAATAGACAATACATTCATAGGGTTCAAACATCGAAAAGTATAAAAAGGTATGATTGAGCTCTCCCTCACACACACATACACATTTAAACATTTATGAATTTTTTTTTTTTTTTTTGAGACAGGGTTGCACTCTGTTGCCCAGGCAGGAGTGCAGTGGTGTGATCATAGCTCATTGCAACCTCAACCTCCCAGGCTTAGGTGATCCTCCCACCTTAGTCTCCCAGGTAGCTGGGACTATAGGTGCTCGCCACCACATCCAGAGACGGAGTCTTGCTCTTGTCACCCAGGCTGGAGTGCAGTGGCACCATCTTGGCTCACTGCAACCCCCGCCTCCCGGGTTCAAGGGATTCACCTGCCTCAGCCTCCCAAGTAGCTGGGACTACAGGCACGTGCCGCCATGCATGGCTAATTATTGTATTTTTAGTAGAAACGGGGTTTCACCATGTTTGCCAGGCTGGTCTCGAACTCCTGACCTCAGGTGATCCACCTGCCTCAGCCTCCCAAAGTGCTGGGATTATAGGCGTGAGCCACTGCGCCCGGCCTTCCCATCATCATTTAATCTTACTTAATATTTCTTACGTTTTATCCTCACTGTATTGTATTGCATTTCATCTTATCCTCCCTATTATGAGTTGCTACCTTCAATATATACCAAAATCATGTCTATTTTGAAGTTATTTTCTGGATTTTAAATTTGTTTCATTTATCTGTTTATTCATATGTTAGTACCACACTGTTTTAATTACTGATGATGAATGGTGTATTTTTAATATCAGATAGAACAAGTTAGTCTCTTTAAGTTTTCTTTGCTACTCTTGTTCTAAGTAAGCTCTTAAAGGAGTTCTTCCTAATTCTCAGTAGGTTATTTTAGAAGTTCATTTGGACATGACTGCATGTTTGATGCTATTTAAATAATGTTAATTTTTCAGGGAAATTGATCAAACAGAAAATGTTAAACCAATGTTGAGAGGTCGCTTCCAAAGACCTAAACCCAATTTGTCAAGGGCTGGGAAGAAATCAGTTCTTTCACAAGGCAAAACAGAGTCAGAGAGCAAGAATTCACATTCAAAAACTTCAGTTGAAAAGGTATGGGGTAAGAGATTTCATGGAAATTAAAATTATAAAAATTTTCTTTAGATAGTTGGGAATAAAAGTTGTTGACTTGAAATTACAAAGTACTGTTACTGATATTAAAACAGATACAAGAACTTACATTAACATTAGATTTGTTCGTATCTTATTAGTCTCCTGTTTACACATTTTCTTTAACCTGGGATGTAATCATTTCAGATATCCTCAGTGGTGATAAATCTGTCTTCTGTTTACTTCTATAAAATTTTTATTTAAAATATTTCATAAACCAGCTATATATTAAATTCTGCCCACAACATTCTCATCTACACACAGGCAGTCTCATTTCTGTTTGTCTTTTACAAACTTTCTGTTTGTTTTTTCTGAGACAGGGTCTTGCTCTATTGCCCAGGCAACAGAGTCCAGGAGTGCAATGGCAGTATTATGGCTCTCTGCAGCCTCGAAATCCTGAGCTCAAGTGATTCTCCCACATCACCCTCCCCAGTAGCTGGGACTACAGGTGTGTGCCACCAAACCCAGATAATTTTTTTTTTTTTTTGAGACGGAGTCTCACTGTCTCCCAGGCTGGAGTGCAGTGGCGTGATCTTGGCTCACTACAAGCTCTGCCTCCCAGGTTCACGCCATTCTCCTGCCTCAGCCTCCTGAGTAGCTGGGACTGCAGGTGCCCACCACCATGCCCGGCTAATTTTTTGTATTTTTAGTAGAGATGGGGTTTCACCGCGTTAGCCAGGATGGTCTCTGTCTCCTGACCTCGTGATCTGCCTGCTTTGGCCTCCCAAAGTGCTGGGATTACAGGCGTGAGCCACCGCACCCGGCCTGATTTTCTGTTTTAAGTTAGCAAAAATTTGGAATGGAGTTTCACTGTGTTCACCAGGCTGGTTTCTAACTCCTGGCCTCAAGTGATTCTCCTGCCTCAGCTTCCCAGTGTGCTGGGGTTATAGGCATGAGCCAGCTCACCTGGTCAATAAATTTCTTTATTCTTTTTCTTTCTTTATTTCTTTTTTTTTTTGAGATGGAGTCTTGCTCTGTTGCCCAGGCTGGAGTGCAGTGGCACGATCTTGGCTCACTGCAGCCTCTGCCTCCCAGGTTCAAGCAATTCTTCTGCCTCAGTCTCCCAAGTAGCTGGGATTACAGGCATCTGCCACCATGCCTGGCTAATTTTTGTATTTTTAGTAGAGACAGGGTTTCACCTTGTTGGCCAGGCTGGTCTCGAACTCCTGACCTCATGTGATCCACCTGCCTCAGCCTCCCAAAGTGCTGGGATTACAGGCGTGAGCCACCACGCCTGCCGTCTTTTTTTTTTTTTTTTGACATAGGATCTCGCCCAGTCGCCCAGGCTGGAGTGCAATGGCATGATCCTGGCTCACTGCAGCCTCTGTCTCCCAGGTTCAAGCTATTCTTGTGCCTCAGCCTCCTAAGTAGCTGGGATTGCAGGCATGCACCACCACGCCCAGCTAATTTTTGTATTTTCAGTTGAGACGAGGTTTTGTCATGTTGGCCAAGCTTGTCTTGAATTCCTGACCTCAAGTGATCCGTGTGCGTTGGCCTCTCAGAATGCTGGGATTACAGGCATGAGGGCACCATGCCTGGCCAATAACTTTATCTATGTATGCACACATTTCTATAATTTTTAACCATAATGTGTATAATGTTTAAAACCTTTTTCTTTTCTTTGTTTTGTTTTTGAGACGGAGTCTCGCCCTGTCGCCCAGGCTGTGGTGCGATGGCGTGATCTCGGCTCACCGCAACCTCTGCCTCCTGGGTTCAAGAGATTCTCCTGCCTCAGCCTTCCAAGTAGCTGAGATTACAGGCGCGCGCCTCTATGCCCAGCCAATTTTTGTATTTTTAGTAGAGACTAGGTTTCACCATATTGAGCCACCGTGCCCTGCCAAAACCTTTTTCAGCTGACCACGGTGGCACACACCTGTAATCCCAGCACTTTGTGAGGCCAAGGCTGGTGGCTTACTTTAGGCCAGGAGTTTGAAACCAGCCTGGCCAACATGGCGAAATCCCATCTCTACTAAAAATACAAAAAAATTAGCTGGGCATTGTGACACATGCTTGTAATCCCAACTACTCGGGAGTTTGAGGCAAAAGAACCACTTGTACCCGGAAGGGAAGAGGTTGCATTGAGCCAAGATTGCACCACTGCACTCCAGCCTGGGCAACAGAGCGAAACTCTGTCTCAAAAAAATAAAAAATTAAAAAAAAACCCTTTTCCTCTGAAACTATTAATTTACATTTTTTTGGGTCCAATTGATCTTTTTAATAGCTGTGTCATGTTAACATGTTATTGATTTACCTAATCAGTTCTCTACTAATGGATGTTCAGATTGTTTCTATTTTTGTTTGTTTTTTTAACTCTTGTACATTAGAAGCAAACAATTTTGTAAGTAAGGCTTTCTCAAGGAAACAAAGTATAAATTTCTAGAGACGGGTGGGATCGTTGGGTCAAATAATGTTTTAAATATTTTTGTGATTCTTGTTATGCATTGTCTTTTGTTATTTGTTATTTTTATTACTTTAAAAAATTTTCTGGTATGTCTGAGTCTCCTGAATTGTTATGCATTGTGAAACTGACAGTCATAAATAATCTATTTACATTGCTAAATGAATCTTTCTGTTTCCTTATAACTTTTCCAGAATTCTATTGTTACCATTTTTTTTAAACTAAAACACTTTTTAAGATGTTGGTTTGCTTCTTTTCCTGTTTTGTGAAATATCTTTTATCATAATCTTTATAGTACAGTTACATTATTCTAATCTTATGTTTATTGAATTGTAGAAAATTTGGAAAATACAGATTCATGTAAAAGTTAAAACAAAAATTACTTGTAATTTTTTTCTTTACCTTTTTTTCTTTGAAGTGTTGTAATCTTGTTTCTTTTTTTTTTTTTTTTTTTTTTTTTTGAGGTTTAGTTTCACTCTTGTTGCCCCAGCTGGAGTGCATGGTGTGATTTCGGCTCACAGCAACCTCCGCCTCCTGGGTTCAGGCGATTCCCCTGCCCTCAGCCTCCTGAGTGGCTGGGATTACAGGCATGCGCCACCATGCCCGGCTAATTTTTTGTATATTTAATAGAAACGGGGTTTCACCATGTTAGCCAGGCTGCTCTCGAACTTCTGACCTCAGGTGGTCCACCTGCCTCAGCCTCCGAAAGTGCTGGGATTACAGGCGTGAGCCACCATGCCCAGCCATTCCTTCTAATACTTGTAATTTCATTATTCCCTTGCAACCAATCTTTTCACATATCTCCTTACAGATTTTCTTTTACACAACTGAATCATGGTTTCAATACAGTTTTGTATCCTTTGGTAATTAACATTTCAGAAATATTTTTCTGAAATATTTAGTGTGATTCCATTTTTCTTAAAAAAAAAAAATGTACATCAGGTGTGGTGGCTCACACCTGTAAGCCCAGCCCTTTGGGAGGCTGAGGCGGGCTAATCACCTGAGCCCAGGAATTTGAAACAAGCCTGGGCAACATGGCAAGATCTGGTCTCTACAAAAAATGAAAAAATTAGCTGGGCATAGTGTGCACCTGTAGTCCCAGCTACTCAGGAGGCTGAGGTGGGAGGATCACCTGAGCCTTGGGGGTCAAGGCTGCAGTGAGCTATGATCATGTCACTGTACTCTAGCCTGGGCGACAGAGCATGACCCTGTCTCAAAAAAAAAAAAAAAATTCTCATCTGCATTTAGGATTTTTAGAAAATCTCCTCTAGTTAGAAGTACAAAAAATGAAGTTCTTATTTATTCATTTATTGAGATGGAGTCTCACTCTGTCACCCAGGCTGGAGTATAGTGGTGTGACCTCGGCTCACTGCAACCTCTACCTTTTGCGTTCAAAGAATTCTCCTGCCTTAGCCTCCCAAGTAACTGGGACTACAGGCACACGCTGCCATGCCTGGCTAATTTTTTGTATTTTAGTAGAGACAGTTTCACCATGTTCCCCAGGCTGGTCTTGAACTCCTGAGCTCAGGCAATCCGCCTGCCTTGGCCTCCCAAAGTGCTAGGATTACAGGCTTGAGCCACCGTGCCCGGCCAGTTCTGTTGTTTTAATTTCCATTTGTTTATTACAAAGTTTGAACTGTTTATTGTAAGTAGATAAATTGTAGCAAATTAAATTCACAGAACCACGTGGAAAAAGATAAAATGAATACATTGGACATTTTGAGAATGGAGACTACAGAGAGAGAGAATCCAGAAGCTGAAACTGTATCTGTGTGAGTATTCAGGAAGTAGTAAAAAAAAAAAAAAAAAAAAGTAACTCTTAGGAATGATGGTAATAATTTGTTTTCTACTTAATAAGGTCTGAATTTAATTTTCAAGCAGCATACTTTAAGTTCGTTTTCAACCATAGGTGGTTTTGAAACATTCATAATACTCTCTCTGCTTGATATTGCTTATATAAATTTTATGAGTCTATTGAGTTAGCCATTACATTTGAATGTTTACAGTATATGCCCCTGGATAATTTTATTTATACTAAGAGATTTTAAAAGGGAATATTTAACTTGAAATAGAAATCTAAAATAGAATGTGAATCTGACTGGTGGATTCTGGGCTCTTCCAGGGGTTACCATTTATACTATGATTTGGGACTAATCCCCTGGAGTTCTACATTATTCTATAGTATCCTTAGTCAGGAGTAGTATTCTATGCTTGGCAGATGTAGATTTTTCCAATTTTGTAATAAAATTCTATTTAAAAGTGCTTTTTCAAGAGGGCTTCCAGGATTATGTCTTTTTTTTTCTCTCTCTTTTTTTTTTTTTTTGAGATGGAATCTCGCTCTGTCACGTAGTGGTGCAGTCTCTGCTCACTGCAACCTCTGCCTCCCGGTTTCAAGCGATTCTTCTGCCTCAGCCTCCCAAGTAGCTGATATTGCAGGCGCCCACCACCACACCTGGCTAATTTTTGTATTTTTAGTAGAGACAGGTTTAACCATGTCGGCCAGGCTGGTCTCGAACTTCTGACCTCAAATGATTCGCCCGCCTCGGCCTCCCAAAGTGCTGGGATTACAGGTGCGAGCCACTGCGCCCGGGCGGATTATGTCTTTTCAGGAAACTTGTGAATTATTTCATATTCCAAATGGTTTACTTATTCATGCCAGGGAGAAGGAAATTGGTGACTTCAAAATAAACATTAATTTTATTTCTTTGTGGTTCTAGTTTGGGTGAAAAAAATTGTCTGCAGGAAGGGAGTCAACTAAAGGCTTTAAGACCTGTACAAGTGAGGGGCCGATTGCAAAAGCCAAAGCCAAATGCAGGTAAAGCTGCTGAAAGAAAAGAAATTCTCATATCACAGGAAGAAATTGGGGCCAATGTAGAGAAGAATGAAAATGAATCCTGTGCTGATAGAGATGTAAGTACTCTGATTCCTCCTCACATTTTTGGTAAGCAAGTACATGAGCCTTAATATAAGCTTCCCTTCACCCACATACTTACATACATACATACATACATTTATTTATTTATTTATGACGGAGTCTTGCTCTGTCGCCCAGGCTGGAATGCAGTGTCGCGATCTTGCCTCACTGCAACCTCTGCCACCCAGGTTCAAGTGATTCTCCTGCCTCAGCCACCTGAGATCGTGCCACCGCACTCCAGCCTAGGCGACAGAGCAAGACTCTGTCTCAAAAAAAAAAAAAAAAAATTCACATGATCTATAATGTTTTTGTATTTTTAGTTGTGCGACTGCAGGCTCACACCACCACGCCTGGCTAATTTTTGTATTTTTAGTAGAGACAGTGTTTTGCCATATTGGCCAGGCTGGTCTCAAACTCCTGACCTCAGGTGATCCACCCGCCTTGGCCTCCCAAAGTGCTAGGATTACAGGCATGAGCCACTGTGCCCAACCCCTTTACCCCCTTTTCAAAACAGTACTGCACAATTTGTGTGCATCATTTATTACATTTTTGGTCAAAATCTCATAGCCAGCAGCTTTGCTAGTTGTAAAGCCATTTTAGATTTTGGGCATTTACATGATAGATAATCTGTTTCACCTGACCTCATATTTGGAGTTGCTTTTCCGTATCACTTAGTGGATGTTTGAATTAATCTTTTGTTTTGAAGAAATAAGTACATATGTGAGTTTTAACATTGGCTTAAACAGCATAAAGTGTTAAAAGCTCCCTAGTAAGATACAATTCCAAGAACAAAGACTGTGAATTTTAGATTATTTACATAGCCTTTGTGATAAAGATAAAAGTTGTCATGTTTTGAGATTTCAATTTCTTATAATTCCCATGGTCTCTAGGCCAGGCATGGTGACTCATGCCTGAAATCCCAGCATTTTGGGAGGCCGAGGTGAGAGGATTGCTTGAGGCCAGGTGTCTGAGACCAGTCTGGGCAACATAGTGACACTCTGTCTCTACAAACAAAAATTTTTTTAATTAGCTGGGCTTGGTGGTGTGCTCCTATAGTCCCAGCTACTTGGGAGGCTGAGGCAGGAGGATCAATTGAGCCCAGGAGTTCAAGCCTCCAGTGAGCTATCTATAATTATGCCGTTGCACTCTAGCGTGGGTGACAGAGTGAGACCCTGTCTTAAAAAAAAAAAATTCTGACCAGGCGCAGTGGCTCATGCCTGTAATCCTAGCACTCTGGGAGGCCGAGGTGGGCGGATCACGAGGTCAGGAGATTGAGACCATCCTGGCTAACACGGTGAAACCCCTTCTCTACTAAAAATACAAAAACGTTAGCTGGGTGTGGTGGTGGACGCCTGTAGTCCTAGCTACTCGGGAGGCTGAGGCAGGAGAATGGCATGAACCTGGGAGGCAGAGCTTGCAGTGAGCCGAGATCATACCACTGCACTCCAGCCTGGGCGACCGAGCAAGACTCCGTCTCAAAAAAAAAAAAAAAGAAAAAAAAATTCCCGTGATCTATAATGCATTTATAGTAATCAAAAGAATTCAGAAAGATAGACCCCACAGGGGTATTTCTAACAGATGAAACCAAGGCAGTTACTTGTTTTTTGATTGGGAGGAAAAGAATGGGGCTTTGAGATATCCTAAAAGGAGTAACTCATGAAATTTTCTAAGATAGCTAAAGAAAAAACATTAAAAGTATTTTAAAGTCTCCATTTTATAATGTTGAATTTTTTACCATTTTATACTTAAATTGGACATTTTCAATGAAATCTGTTATGCCTCATTGTGAAACCTAAAACATTAGAAAAATTTGTTTGTTTTTAAGACTCCTCAACACATGGAAGATCAATCGCGTAAAGATTTTGAAGAGGAAGATGTCATATTACAGCCTGAGAAAAATGATTCTTTTCAAAATGTGCAGCCAGATGAGCCCAAGGTTCTTAATGAATGTCTAAGGTAAGCATCATTTTGTTGATATATAATCTTTGGATTTTGTAAAAAGTTTTAGAACTCAATCAGTTTTTTAAAGCAGAAGCAATTTAGATGGATTTGTTGTCTGCGTGTCTAGTTATGTAGTGTTTAAAAATATAACTTCACCTTTCAAGAAAGTTTATGTTGTAGCCTTTATGTGAATTTCTCAGATGGTTTGAAGAAAGCTACTCATCGTAAATTAGTACTTGAGTTAACATGAATAGCCTTATCACTTTATTTTATTTTATTTTACTTTTTATTTTTTGAGACGGAGTTTCACTCTTCTTGCCTGGGCTGGAGTATAATCTCAGCTCACTGCAACCACTGCTTCCCAGGTTCAAACAATTCTCCTGCCTCAGCCTCCCGAGTAGCTGGGATTACAGGTGCCTGCCACCAAGCCCAGCTAATTTTTGTATTTTTAGTAGAAACAGGGTTTTACCATGTTGGCCAGGCTGGTCTCGAACTCCTGACCTCAAGTGATCCACCTGTCTCGGCCTCCTAAAGTGGTGGGATTACAGGTGTGAGCCATCACACCCAGCCAGCTTTATCACTTAACATGCATATTGAAATATATGTTTATGTTCAAATGTAAAATGCTACTTATTTTTAAAATATTTGTTTCTTTGGAATTAGATTGAGCACATATTGCCTTTATTTAAGATTTATAAATTTTATTTAAAACTTATGTATAGAAACCCATACTGCTTATAGTCAAAGTCTTTTCTATTTTTTATTTCTTCCTTGGAGGGTACCAAGCCAGACTGATGGAATTACTGGTATACTATTTCAACTTTTCAACTTGGAAATGTTTAATGTGCGCAAAAGTGCAGTAGTGGACTCCCATATACCTGCTGTCCAGTTTCAGTAATTAATATTTACCAGTCTTTACGTTTAAAGGCTAGCCTATGCTATACTTTCTTACAGCTGTATTAGCCTATTTAAATAGTACCTAGCTGGGCATGGTGGCTCATGCCTATCTAGCTACATGGAAGGCTGAAGGAAGAGGATTGCTTGAGCCCAGGAATTAGAAGCTGCAGGGAGCTATGAATGGGCCACTTTACTCCAGCCAGGGCAACAAAGTGAGACAGACTCCTGTCCCTCCAAAAAAGAAAAGTACCTAACCTGAGAGTGAAAGCTAGGTTTCCTGAACTACTTTAAAGATCTTCATTGGAAGACAAAAAAATTTCTCTATTTCTTGTTGCCTTCACTATTCCTTTGCTTCTTATTCCTCCCCACTGCCCGGATTATTTTACTAATGTGCACACAGTCTCTAGGTAGAAGTTTGTATGACTACATTGCTTGCTGCATATCTCTGATATGGATTTTAATTACAGTTAGCTAACAAATTATTCTTTTTATTTATATTTTTTCAGTTTAAACTAGAGTCTATTAATAGATACTGTGGCTTGGTAGAAAATTAAACTTTTCTGAATGGCCTCTGGGTTTTAGAACACTGGTGGACACTGTAACTAATACTCAATCTGATCTCAACAACTTTCCTCTCCATGGGCAGTGTCATTTTTGCTTTGTCATGTGACCTTTCTAGCCTTTGAATCTCCAGAATCCTCAAAAGCAATTCTAAGATTCTGTGTTTTATCAAATTATACACCTATGTCTAACAGAAAGTTTTCCCCCTCTCCTACTCCACATATGTTGGCCTGTTCAAGATGCTATGTAAGAGAGATAGTAGGAAAATAGTCTCTCAAAGAATGCATTAAAAATTCTTTAGGCTGGGCATGGTGACTCACACCTATAATCCCAGCACTTTGGGAGGCTGAGACAGGAGGATCACTTGAGGCCAGGAACTCAAGACAAGCCTGGACAACATAGCAAGACCCATCTCTATTAAAGAAAAGGTACTTTATTAGATAAACTAGTGAGTATTTCTTTGAAATTTAATCTTCTAGGTTAATTTTGCATCTTACCTACTTCATATAAATATTTTAAGTTTTTTGTCATGATTGGTGATTTGGTGATGTTTGTTTGGAGGTTTATATATATATATATATATATATTTGAAACACACACACACACACACACACACACACACACACACACCCATATTTTTTTAAAGACAAGGGTCTTGCTCTGTCACCCAGGCTGGAGTGCAGTGGTGTGATCATGGCTTACTGCAGCATTCACCTTTTGGGCTCAATTGATCCTCTTGCCTCAGCCTCCCAAGTAGCTGGGACTACAGGTGCATGCCACCACATCTGGCTAATTTTTAAATTTTTTTGTAGAGACAGGGTTTCGCCATGTTGCCCAGGCTGGTCTTGAACTCCTGGGCTGAAGGGATCCTCCTTCCTTGGCCTCCCAAAGTGCTGGGATTATAGGTGTGAGCCACCACGCCTGGCCATGAATATTTTATAGATTCTTAAACTCCGTGTTTTAGAAAAACACATATGCAGACCTTAAAGCACATTTATAGTTTTGTGCTCATTCCATACCTTATTTTCTCCATTCATGATCCTCTTGTTTTGCCTTTCTTCTCAAATTTGTGATCTGAGGAAAGTTCGTAGATCCACTGTATATTTTAAGTTGAGAAATAATCTAGTTCAATTTTATATCTGATATCCAGTCTCAGATACTGCCCTTCAGTTAATTCTGTACTTCTTTTGTTACTTAGAAACAATCAATCTATTGCTTTGGTGGAATGGCAGTTTAAAAAATCTAAGCACATAGAATATAATTATAACATTGCATATCTGTATCTTACAATCTGAACTGTTATGGAAATAATGAAATTATTAATAAAGCCTTTGCTTCAAGCATTTATATGTTTAAATAATACGCCTGTTTTCAAAATGTGACTTTATAAAGATAGTTTATTTTATCTCTTCCCATGGTACCCAAACCAAGATTGCTAGCACAGTAATCTCACTAAAAGCTAGATGTTTCTGGATGGAGATGAAAAGTATCATAAATCAAAAAATGGAATGCGGTCCATTCAGGACTAATCAAATTAAATTTCCTTTATTGATTGCTGTTAATTTTACATTTAACGTTGTCAATTGCTAAAGTTAATGATGGATATAAACACTTCAGTTATGTAAACAAGTACAATTTGAAAAGCAATCTTATTCCTAAGGACCTGTCTTACAGTATCAAAAATTGCATTATTGAAAACAGTTATTTCAGTGAGGAAGGATAGTATAGGACCTAAAGAAGTTGAAACAAGCAATAGCATACTTTTGTTGTTTTGTTTTTGTTTCTGTTTGAGACAGAGTCTTACTCTGTTGCCCAGGTGGAGTGCAGTGGCATGATCTTGGCTCACTGCAACCTCCGCCCCCTGGGTTCCAGCTATTTTCCTGCTTTAGCCTCCCATGTAGCTGAGATTACAGGCGCGTGCCACCACGCCCTGCTAATTTTTGTATTTTGAGTAGAGACAGGGTTTCATCATGTTGGCCAGGCTGGTCTCAAACTCTTGACCTTAAGTGATCCACCTGTCTCAGCCTTCCAAAATGCTGGGATTACAGGCTGAGCCACCATGCCCAGCCTAGCATACTTTTAAGTAAATCTTTTGCTTATTTGTTTTGTTTTTTGTTTGTTTGTTTTGAGATGGGATCTTGCTCTCTTGCCCAATCTGGAGTGCAGTGGCATGATCATGGCTTACTGCAGCCTCATCCTTCCTGGGCTCAGGTGATCCTCCCACCTCAGCCTCCTGAATAGCTGGGACTACAGGTGCACGCCACCTCACTTGACTAATTTTTTTTTTTTTTGTAGAGATGGGATTTCTACCAAAAACTCATGGGCTCAAGCCATCTGCTTCAGCCTCCTGAAGTGCTAGGAGTACAGGCATGAAGCATCATGCCCAGCTCAATACGTCTTTTTTTAAGCTGTTGAATGTATAGTTATATACCTGTTCAGTCCGACATGGCCGAATACAATCTAGTGTTTCATTTGATCTAGCTTTTGCCCAATATTAATAACTTTTCCTAACCAGTCATTTAAAAGCCCTTTCATTCATTTATATGTTTATTGATTTTACCATCTATTATAATAAACAGAAAGCAAAACAAAAAGTGCTGCTGCTTTTCTGGAGAGCAAGGTGCTTGCTTTGGATAGTGGTTGTGTGCCCAGTAGCATTCAGCAAAGTATTATTGTGTATTTGGTCTGTCCTTTGATTCTTTACTTATGTTATGAAATAACAAGCCTTTAGAGAACTATCTGTATAGGAAATCTCATATAAAATTGGTTTTAAAAGGTGAGGAGGGCAGACCTCATTTGTAGTCCTAAGATTTAATCTTGGTCAAGTCATACTTGTATCCAGGTATTTGAGGTGGTCAGGTCTATTATGGCAAACCATTTGTCTGTATAAAAGATAGAAGGGATGAAGAGGTAGAAATAGCAGACATACATCAATCTAGCTCCAATGCAGAGAACTGGAGAGTCTTTCCCAGTCAGTATTTATAAATGGTAGTGTGAATGACAATTGGAAAGACACTGTTAGGATCAAATAGCTTCTATACTGATTGACCTTACTAGATATATATATATATTTAAACTTATTGCTGTGATTTCAAAAGGTGGGATTTTTTTTCTTTTAATTTTTAAATTTTACCCAGCGATTCCTAGGCCTTCCTTAATTTTTTTGAATTTGAGAGTTTCTGGTGTTTCTGTAGTGATTTCTCAAACATCATCTCTTCAGCAGGCAGTCTGGTTTAAAACTTGATTGTGTGCCCCCTTTTTTTTTTATAGCGTTCAAGAGAATAATAAGGCAAATAAACTTAACCAAGTCCCAATTCTAAGGACTCGATTTCAGAAACCAAAGCCAAATATAGGAAGAGGAACTGGAAGGAGAGAAATTTCCTCAAAGGAAGAGGTACTAGAGAAGATTCTTGTCTCTGGGGAAATGGCGGCAGCATTGAGAGAAACTGTAAGACTAGACACCTCACCAAAGGAGATGGTACCAGCAGAGATTAATACTAAAGAAATGCAGTCAGATTTAAAAGAAACTGGAAGAAGAGCCATTTCTCCCAGGGAGAAGATTCTAGATGTGATTGATGACACCATAGAAATGGAGACAGGTCTGAAAGCAATGGGAAGAGAGATTTGTCTAAGGGAGAAGACGCCAGAGGTGATTGATGCCACTGAGGAAATAGACAAAGATTTGGAAGAAGCTGGAAGAAGAGAAATATCCCCACAGAAAAATGGCCCAGAGGAGGTTAAGCCTCTAGGTGAAGTGGAGACAGATTTGAAAGCAACTGGAAATGAGAGTTCCCCAAGGGAGAAGACACCAGAGGTGACTGATGCCACTGAGGAAATAGACAAAAATTTGGAAGAAACTGGAAGAAGAAAAATATCCCCAAGGGAAAATGGCCCAGAGGAGGTCAAGCCTGTAGATGAAATGGAGACAGATTTGAACGCAACTGGAAGAGAGAGTTCTCCAAGGGAGAAGACACCAGAGGTGATTGATGCTACTGAGGAAATAGATTTGGAAGAAACTGAAAGAGAAGTATCCCCACAGGAAAATGGACTAGAGGAGGTCAAGCCTCTAGGTGAAATGGAGACGGATTTGAAAGCAACTGGAAGAGACAGTTTCCCAAGGGGGAAGACACCAGAGGTGATTGATGCCATTGAGGAAATAGAGATAGATTTGGAAGAAACTGAAAGAGAAATATCCCCACAGGAAAATGGCCTAGAGGAGGTTAAGCCTCTAGGTGAAATGCAAACAGATTTGAAAGCAACCGGAAGGGAGATTTCCCCAAGGGAGAAGACACCAGAGGTGATTGATGCCACTGAGGAAATAGACAAAGATCTGGAAGAAACTGGAAGAAGAGAAATATCCCCAGAGGAAAATGGCCCAGAGGAGGTCAAGCCTGTAGATGAAATGGAGACAGACTTGAAAACAACTGGAAGAGAGGGTTCCTCAAGGGAGAAGACACGAGAGGTGATTGATGCTGCTGAGGTAATAGAGACAGATTTGGAAGAAACTGAAAGAGAAATATCGCCACAGGAAAATGGCCCAGAGGAGGTCAAGCCTGTAGGTAAAATGGAGACAGATTTGAAAGAAATTAGAGAAGAAATTTCCCAAAGGGAAAAGGTGCTAGCAGAGTTCAGTGCTATAAGGGAAAAGGAGATTGATTTGAAAGAAACTGGAAAAAGAGACATTCCCATCATGGAGAAAGTATCAGGAAAGATGGCTGTTGTTGAAGAAATGGAGGCAGATTTGAAAGAAACTGGAAAAGAAAATTTTAGAGAGAGAGGATCTGAAGAGATCTGTGTTACTGAGGAAAAGGTGGCAGAATTGAAACAAACTGGAAAAACAGACATTTCTCCAAGGGAAAACGAGCTAGAGGAGACCAGTACCTCAAGACAAACTGACACACATTTAATGCAGAGCGGTAGCAATGACTTCAGTGCTGTGCCTTCACTAGATATTCAGGTATGTATTTTTCTGTCCTTTAAAAGTTTTTTGAATGCTTTTTTCAGAGGAAATAAATAATTCCATGATTATTTTGTCCTTAAGTCCAACAACACTTAAAAATCTCTAAAAGTCTAAAGTCTTTTGTAGCCCTAAGTTTCTATGTTTCAGTGCCTTGAAGAAACTGTATGTTCTTTTTTAAAAAGATAACTTTAGGCTGGGCACACCTTTAAACCCAACACTTTGGGAGGCCAAGGTGGAAGGATTACTTGAGCCCAGGAGTTTGAGACCAGCCTGGGCAACATAGAGAGACCTTGTCTCTACAAAAAATAAGATAAAATAAAAATAAATAAAATAAATAAAAAATAAAATACAATAACAAGGTGTAAGCCTGTAGTCCCAGCTACTTGGGAGGCTGAGGTGAGAGGATCACTTGAACCCTGGAGGTTGAGGCTGCAGTGAGCTGTGATTGTGCCATTGTACTCCACCCTGGGTGACAGAGTGAGACCCTGTCTCAAAAAGAAATAAAAATAATTTCCAACTGTGAAAAAGTCACTGTTATTATTATTATTTTTTTTCTTTAAGTCAGATGGGCAAGGATCAAACTTTTCTTTTGGCTTAGGTTTGAGATCTCAAAAATGTCACTGTTCTTAATATCATTTGAAGTTACTCTTTTAGGTAAAAGAAGAATAGGAAATTAGACTGAATTTGTACTAACCCTAGCGTGAACACACATTATTTCTTTTGGCCACATCTGTATCTGCTTTTGTTTCTTGCCCCACCTGACTTACTTCACTTCTAAAAGTTCTTTTTGTTTTTTCAAGTTACTTTGAAGTTCATGATCTTCTAACATTTTCAAGGACTTTTTTTTTTTTCTAACTTTTAAAAATAGATAATGACATTTGTGGTTTGGGAAAGTAATAATATGCAACATAAAAGGGTTTCCTGAATTCCAAGTTTTAACATTTGGAAATTAAATTTTATTCAAAAATTAAAAACTTCTAAAGTTTTAAAGGAAAGTGTTTAGAATTTAGTAGACTTTTGTTTTAAATATATAAGATGTTTAAATACTCTTTTATTTGTGCTGATTTACTATGACTGTTCCTCTAGAACATTAGCAGTGAAGTACTGTCGATGATGCATACACCTGTAGAAGAAAAAAGAAATTCTGAAAAAGAAGTATCAAGTCACTTCAGTCATTTCAAGATTTCTTCACAGACTCATGAATCTGATAAAACAGAAGTCCAGGGGATTCAATCTCCAGATGTTCCAGAGCAGTTTTCAGATATTAATTTAAGGTACAAGTGTGTTTTTAAAGAAAAAGATATTAAGTTATAGTTGCAGATTACGTTAAACTAAGTGAGGTTTCAAGATATAACATATACAGGATAGTGTTAGAGCTTTTAAGATAGTTTTGGGAAGACTGGGAGAGAGGATTGAGGTCACTCTGACAGTCAATTGTGAAAGTTACTGACATACAAAATTGTATGTAACAGTCTTAAATCAATACAGGTTTGATAGACTCATATTTTCTTTGTGCAGAGATGGTGTAATTCCTAGGCTCATACCTGGATTGTACCACTCATGGTTTTCAGGATCTGCCAGATAGTTCGATTTGTTTTCCTGTTAAGAATTAGAATTAGGCCAAGTATGGTGGCTCACACCTGTAATCCTAGCAATTTGGGAGGCTGAGGTGGGTGGATCCTTTGAGCCTAGGAGTTTGAGACCAGCCTGGGCAACACGCTGTAGAAACCCCATCTCTATAAAATAAAAAAACAAAAACTAGCTGGGTGTGGTGGCACATGCCTGTAGTCCCAGCTACTTGGGAGGCTCAGATGGGAAGATCACTTGAGCCCGCGGAGGTCAAGGCTGCAGTGAGCTATGATTGTGTCATTGCACTCCAGCCTGGGGGATAGAACAAGACCCTGTCTCCAAAAAAAAAAAAAAAAAAAAAAAAATTAAATGTTTACCGCCAGTCTCTAAGGTTGTACTGAGACTCCGTTTCCACTGCCCCTTCAGTTCATTCTAAAGCTTGATAATCCTTGTTCCAAAAGCAAATCTCTTCCTCAAGAACAGAAGCCACTTGAAATTAAACCAGCACCTTTTGTGAGGAGCCGATTCAAAAGACCAAAACCAAACTTAGCAAGAGCAGCTTTGAAGAGAGAGACTACAGAATCAGAAAAATATATATATGAGAAGAAATCAGAAACCAAGAAAATGGAGACTATTGTGATGCAAGAAAATAATGAACAAACTGATACTCTCCCTTCTCAACATGTGAGTGTATTTGAGATGGAAGTTCTGTGTGGGTGTTTTTTTTTTTTTTTAAGTTATTAGGACTACTAAAAGCACCTGGCATTAAAATTCTACAAATATTTCTGTGTAATTTTTGCTGCATGTGATATTGCTCCCATGCTTAATGTGCCTCATTGTTCCACATAATTTGTGTAAGAATCTCAGATATCTGATAATGGGCAAACGTGTTGTGGGAAAGCGTTCAGGTCTGGGCTCTGGTTCCAGTTCCAGCTATGTGACCATTGATTAAACAATTTTCTTCATAGAAAAAATGACAATAATAGTTTTTTATTTTTTTTATTTTTATTTTTTTGAGATGAAGTCTCACTCTGTTCCCAGGCTGGAGTGCAGTGGCGCGATCTCGGCTCACTGCAACTTCCACCTCCCAGGTTCAAGCGATTCTCCTGCCTCAGCCTCCTGAATGCTGGGACTACAGGCGCGTGCTGCCATGTCCGGCTAATTTTTTTTTTTGTATTTTTAGTAGAGATGGGGTTTCACTATGTTAGCCAGGCTGATCTCGAACTCCTAACCTCGTGATCTGCCTGCTTTGGCCTCCCAAAGTGCTGGGATTACGCTGAGCCGTGGCGCCCAGCGAGAATAATCGTTTTTTATTTCACTCTCTTGTGAAGGTGAAATGAAGAGTTAAAAGCTTGATTTGAGTTAAAGGTGATATTTTATTTACTTTATTAACTTGGTCCATAACAGATTAAGATTGTGTGACATACCATCAAAAAAACATTGAAACGAAATGAATAATTATAAACTGAATGTTTTCCACATTCAGTGGAAGTCCTTCTTAGAATTAAAATTCTTATTTGATGTCTTAAAATAGCTCAGTACTTTACTGTGCATCAACATTTGTACTATTTCTCCTAAGCTTATATTCATAAAAGATAAGTTACATTTGTATTATACTTTCTGATTATAGAAATTTTAATTTGGAAAAATATATGTATTCTAAAAAGTGAGAGTCTTTTATAATGTCACGTCCCTTTCCCCCAAGTTAATCATACAGCAATTTTGAATATATCCACTTACACTTTTTCGTCTTACAGTTATAAAATGATAAAATGGGAAGGTATTTTTATTGTTTTCCAAAATGACATTAATTCTTGCTTTCTGATTTTTCCACTTACAGTATTGTGAGCTTCTTTTTAGATCAGTACAAAGAGATATATCTTCTTTTAAATGATTAGGTACTATTGCATTGTAAAGAAATTAAAATTTATTTATTCCATCCCCTAATGATATATCTGTTTTATTTCTGATTTTTTTGTTTGTCTTTTCCGGTGAGGGAGGTGGTGCTTAAATTGTTACAATAAATATTTTTGTGTGTATATTTCTACTTGTTGAGTATTTATAAGATACATTTCTAGAAGTGGAATTGCTGGGAATTTAGAATTTTGGTATAGACTACCCTATTATTCTTCACGAAGATGATATCAGTTTATACTTGTAAAGTTCTTATTTCCTTATACTTTTAGCAACTGTGAATGAAATTTTTTTTCTGTCTTCTAGGATGAAGCTTCCCTAATGATATCAAGAGAAAAAGACACATTAGGTCACAGGAATGAGGAGGCTGTGATATTGCCATGTACACAGACTGAAAGGAACCTTTCACCTTCAAATTCTTGTGAACCTAAAGAGGAGTCTCAGTCAGCACCAGTCCAGAAAAATGACTCAGTTGTTTCTGTGGGGTAAACAGTGATTTTCTTTGACAATATAAAATAAGAGAGATACTTCTTTTAAATATTTCTAATTTTTATTGAGATATGTTAATGCATTTAAAAAGTGAACATAAAGAATATTGGTTTAATTTTATTGATACAGCAGACTGCCTAAAATATAATATCAGATTGAATTCAACACCTTCTAATGGTTGCCTGCTTATCTGCATTGTCAGCTGCGTAAGAGTGTATACAAAGCAATGCATTTAAAAACTACAAGTTGAGCATCCCTAATAAAAAATTCTGAAATGTGCCACAATTTAAAACTTTTTGAGAGCTGACATGATGCTCAAGAAATGCTCAGTGGAGCATTTTGGATTTTCAAAGTAGGGATGCTCAACTGATAAGTATAATGCAAATATTTCCAAATCTAAAAAAATCTGAAATCTGAAACATTTCTGGTCCTAAGCATTTTGGATAGGGCTACTCAGCTTATATGTATATAAGCTATATATATTCATTAACTTTTAAAAATTAGTATACACATAAGATAAAATTTACCATTTTAACTATTTTTTAATATACAGTGGCATTAAGTGTATTCACATTGTTGTCCCGTTGCCACCACCATTCATCTCTAGACTTTCTTTTTCATCTTCATAAAATGAAACTCTCTACCCATTAAATACTAACTCATTCTCCTCCTCTTCCAGCTCCTGGCAACCACCATTCTATCTGTATATTTAGCTACTTTAGGCATATTATATAAGTTTATTACCTTTTAAGAATTGACATAACTGTTTTCTTTTGTAAAATAAGATGTTTATAATCAGAAAGCAATTTCCCTTTAATGGTACAAAGTATTTTTTAGAGTGTTTATTAGAGGAGATCCAAATTTTACATTTTTACATTAGTTTTCAGCTTTTTACAGTCAAGCGCCCTGCCTTTCTCCCTGTCCCCTTGTTTAGGACTAATAATGTAAACACTTTCCAGCAAGAAATGAAGGAAAGTGTTATCCAAACTGCTCGACAAGTAAGGGGCCGACTTCAGAGACCGAGACCAAATATAAGAAAGACAGGACAGAGGCAAATAGTAGACAAAGGTGAAGCCAAAGGCATAATTAAGGAAGGAAGAACGATATTACCAAAAGATGAAACTGAAAAGAAAGTCTTAACTGTGGTGAGTTATTGTTATGTAATTAAATTTAGCCTTTTAATGCATTTAAAATGTCAAGTTATAGCTCAGACATAGCTTAGAAATACAGGCATCTGACACTTATTCTACTCAATGAATACAGTTTCCAGTTTTGTTTCAGATTTGCTCTTCTGGATTTTTTTTTTAAGTGAAAATAGATTTATTTCTTTTCTAATTAATGAAGCTATTCATCGTAAAATGTTCCATTAGGACAAAATAATATAAATACCGCAAATCTTACTCTGAGATAACCACTGAAAACCTTTTGACATATCTTACTGGATTTATTTCCATGCACACATTATGTGCACACTTATGCAAATTTAAACAATAAAGTCATTACGTACTATAACTTTCTGTTATTCACTGAATACTATGTTAAGTGGCTTTCTGGATCAAGAAATATGTTAGTTACATCATTTTTGCTGTATAACATGCTGTTTTGAGTAACAGTTTAATCTCTTATTAATGGGTCTTTTGGTATTAGGGAAAAAGTCTAAGTAGTGTAATGTCTAAAAATGTTCATTTTAGGTAGTTCTTATTTTTCTGTTAAACAATGCAAAGTCTAGATTTAAAATAATCTTTATTTGAACCAAAAAGCTCTTTCTTAAAAAAAAAAATTAAACTTTGTTTATTTTTAATTTCATAGCAGGTGACTATTATAGTTTTCAAAGTATTATGTAAACATATTACTGCAATAATCTTTGAAACTTTTCTCTGAACTAGGCATCCTTGTTTTTGGCAACAGAATGTGAACATTACATATCCAGTTTGAATCTAATTTTAAAGAATTAACCACCCATGGTGGTATCTGCCTGTAATCCCAGTTACTCAGGAGGCTGAGGAAGGAGGATCGTTTGAGCCTAGGACTTTGAGACTAGCCTGGGCAGTATGATGAGACTATCTCAAAATGCATAAATAAAAATTTAAAAAAGAAAAGGGATTTTAAAAAACTAAATATCTTAATGGTGGAAATATTTTAAGAGGTATATTCTGCTATAAAAATAACATACTAATATGATTTTGTCTTTTCAGTCAAATTCTCAAATTGAAACTGAAATTGAAGTTCCATCGTCCGCAGTTCCAGAACACAGAATGTATGAAAATCAAAGTCAGGTGGTTCTTGTAGAAAACCTTCATGTTAACAAAACAAATGAAACAATCAGGTGAGTTTGCTTTTAATGAGAAAAAATAAGACTTTTCAAAGATAAAAGTTATATTTTTGCATAGTTGACTTTATATATTAATAACTTCACATCCTGAAAATGTTAAAAGGATAAAGTAATAAATACTTGTGATACTAGAGTCTTTTAAATCTGCTTCTCGAATACTGTATGAATTGCATGGCTGATATTCTCTTAAGTATATGATATTCCCTTAAGTATATGTAATTTCTCTGAAAAGTTTGACAAGCATCCTACTTTTTGGTACCAAAACTAAATTTTTAATAGTAGACAAAGATTCTTAAGTTCTCTGTATCTTTTTTAGAAATTTAGGCCAGGCGCAGTGGTTCACGCCTGTAATCTCCCAGCACTTTGGGAAGCCAAGACGAGAGGATCGCTTGAGTCCAGGAGTTCAAGACCAGCCTGGGCAACATAGTGAGACCTCGTCTCTATAAAAATAACAAATAAAAAAAAGAAAAGAAGTTTATAACCTACTGACTAAAATTCATTAATAGGTAGTGCTATAAAGTATACTTAACAGTATACTATATTTAGAGGTAACTACATCGAAGCCAAATGGTAAGAATGATATCTTTTAATTGAGATGAGCTAGTAGGGTGAAGAAGTTTTAACATTACCACTTTTATTTATTACTTGCTATCTGCCTTCTTATTATTAAAGCAAGATGTGTTCTTTTCTTTAGTAAAAACGCCTTTCCTTTCTGTATATAGTTCTTGGTCCATCTAACTTACTGTCTTAGTAACTAGAACATGTTTTAGTGAAGTATTTATTAATTTTCCTCCAGGATGTTTTCAGCACTTATGAATATACTTTAAATATTTCAGCTTCCTTTAATTAGGTAGAGTGACTTTGGCTTTCTGGGAAATGCAGAGGAGATGTTATTGTATCCTTTTTTAACCCTCTCTAGTTAGGTGAAGCTAGAATTTGGGCATGTTAGGTCATCTGTCAAAACAGGTGCTATTGATTTATATTTTCTTTTTATTATATTTACTTTTTGAGACAAGGTGTCTCACTGTGTCGCCCAGGATGGAGTGCAGTGGCGCAGTCACAGCTCACTGCAGCCTCAACTTCCTGGGCTCAAGCAATTCTCCCACCTCAACCTCTCGAGTAGCTGGGACCACAGGTGCACACCATCATGCCTGGCTAATATTTTTGTATCTTTTTGTAGAGATGGGGTTTCACCATGTTGCCCAGGCTGGTCCTGAACTCCTGAGCTCAAGTGAACCGCCCATCTCGGCCTCCCAAAATCTTGGGATTACATGGTGAGCCACCGTGCCCGACCTCTGTTAATTTTAGATGCTTGAAGCAGTTTGCTTTCATTTAGACGAGTTTCTAATGTGAAGTTTTTATTTTAGTATGGATTACTTTTTTTTTTTTTTTTTTGGAGACAGAGTCTCAGAGTGCAGTGGCTTGATCGTGGCTCATTGCAACCTTCGCCTCCTGGATTCAAGTGATTCTTGTGCTTCAGCCTCCCGAGTAGTTGGGATTGCAGGCACCCACCACCACACCCTACTAATTTTTGTATTTTTAGTAGAGATGGGGTTTCACCATGTTGGCCAACCTGGTCTCGAACTCCTGACCTCAGGTGATCCACCCACCTCAGCCTCCCAAAGTGCTGGGATTACAGGCATGAGCCACTGCGCCCAACCTGGATTACTTTTGTTTTCAATATTACAGCCCCTCCCCCTGCTTTTTGTCTTAAAAAGCCTTAAATTTTTTTTTGATATATAATAGTTATACATATTTTTGGACTACATGTGATATTTTGATACATTATACACAATATATAATTACCAGATCAGAGTAACTGGGATATCCATCACTTCATACTTTTATCTTTATATTGGCAACATAATTTTCTAGCTATTTTGAAATAATACAATAAATGATTGTTAACTATAATTTTTCCTACTGTACTACTGAATACCAGAACTTATTCCTTCTATCTAACTGTATTTTTATACACACTAACCAGCTTCTCATTACTCCCTTCCCTCTTGCCTTCCTAGCCTCTGGTGAGCACCATTCTAATCCCTACCTCCATGAGATCCACTTTTTAAGCTGCTACATATGAGTGAGAACCAGCAATATTTGTCTTTCTGTGCCTGGCTTATTTCACCTAACATAATGACCTCTAGTTCCATCTATGTCACTGTGAATGACAGGATTTCATTCTTTTTTATGGTTAAATAATATTCCATTGTGTATATATACCACACTTTCTCACTTTCTTTATTCATTTGTTGCTGGACACTTAGGTTGATATTATGTGTTGGCTATTGTGAATACCACTGCAGTAAACATGAGAGTTCAGATATCTCTTTGATACAGTGATTTCCTTTCTTTTGGACATACACCTGGCAGTAGGATGGCTCAATCAAATGGTAGTTCTATTTTTAGTTTTTTGAGGAACTTTCATACTTTTTTCCATAATGGCATTCCTACTTTATATTCCCACGAACAGCCTATGAGTTTTCCCATTTCTCCACATCCTGACCAGTATTTGTAATTTTTTGTCTTTTTAACAGTAGCCATTTTAACGGCAGTAGGATATCTCAGTGCAGTTTTGATTTGCGTTTCCGTGATGATTAATGATGTTGAACATTTTGTCAGACACCTGTTGGCCATTTGTATGTCTTTTGAGAACTGTCTGTTCTCTTTTGCCTATTCTTTAATCAGATTATTTGTTTTTTTGCTATTGAGTTGTTTTTGTTCCTTATATATTCTGGTTATTAACTTTTGTGAGATGGATAGTTGGGAATTTTTTCTCCCATTCTGTAGGTTGTCTCTTCACTTTGTTGATTGTTCCCTGTGCTATGCATTGAAAAGTCTTTCCATATTGCTTTTATTTTAAGATTAAGGCCAATTTTTACTTCACATTAATTTTAGGTTCCCTTAGCCATTTTTTCAGTTTTTAAAACTGGATATTTTATTGAAATGTTTTTTACTAAAATGCATTAGACTTATATTACAAATGCTATATTGGATTAGGTTGATGATTGATCTCAGAGCAATTTAACTCTGATAATGTCTAGGAAACATTACAGATGAATTTGTTTACATCATTCACTTCTCCTAATTACTAATTATGGGATTATTTTCTATGTATAATCCCTTTTTGATCTCAAAGAATTATAGAATTTTACCACTGAAAATAACCTTATATACTCATTTATTCCACAAACATTTTAGTGTCTGCTGTGTGCCAGGCATTGTTCTAAGTGCTGATGATGTAGGAATAAATGAAGAAAAAAATGCTGTCACTGTGGAGTTTATATTCTAATTGAGAAACAGATTATAAATGAGAAATAAGTTGAATAAATAAGTGATAAATCAGTAGAGAAAAATAAAGTTTTGAGTAGGGAGTGTTGTGACTGGGGATTCACTTTTTAATCAGCAGTGACCAGAGAAAGCTTCATTGAAAGGGTGCATTGAAGGCCGGGCATGGTGGCTCACACCTGTAATCCCAGCGCTCTGGGAAACCAAGGCGGGCGAATCACCTGAGTTCGGGAGTTTGAGACCAGCCTGACCAACATAGAGAAACCCCATCTCTACTAAAAATACAAAATTAGCCAGCCGTGGTGGCGCATGCCTGTAATCCCAGCTACTTGAGAGACTGAGGCAGGAGAATCGCTTGAACCTGGAGGCGGAGGTTACAGTGAGCCGAGATCGCACCATTGCACTCCAGCCTGGGTGACAAGAGCGAAACTCCGTCTCAAAAAAAAAAAAAAAGATTAGTTTTTAATGCAGATCTTTCAGAGAACTCAAGATAGGTACTTATATATCCAGTTATTCTTTATAAATATTCAGGTTTATATTAGTTTTTTTTTTTTTTTTTGGAGACAGAGTTTTGCTCTTGTTGCCCAGGCTGGAGTGCAGTGGTGCAACTTCGCCTCACTGTAACCTCCACCTCCCAGGTTCAAGTGATTCTCTTGCCTCAGCCTCCCGAGTAGCTGGGACTTCAGGCATGCACGACCATGCCCAGCTAATTTTTTATTTTTGGTAGAGATGGGGTTTTTCCATGTTGGTTAGGCTGGTCTCAAACTCCCGACCTCAGGTGATCCGCCCACCTCGGCGTCCCAAAGTGCTGGGATTACAGGCGTGAGCCACCGTGCCTGGTCTCTATTAGTTTTTAAGCTTCCTAATTCAGATCTTTGCCAGTTGCTAAAATATTGTCCAGGAAACCATTAGATAGCTATTCAGGTTACCTTGGGAGCTCTGGCTACTCTCTTGAATGCTAAAACGTCTTTTTGTTATTTGGCAGATACAGACGGATTATATTGAGAACCTTATGACATTGGTTGTCAGTAAACCCTTTTTAGTGAGAGTTCAGGCATCTGTTAGGAGAATAGACTCTACCCTTCAAGTCTACTTTAGAACTAGAAGTATCGAGTTGGTTATAACTGTCATATATTTGTTCATGCTTTGGGGGCCCAGTTGAAGGCATGTGTTTAAAGTGCCATTATGAAATCCATCTTCAGCTACTTGCCTTTTTTTTTTTGGTATCCTGTGATTTCTCTGAAAATTAAAGTAGCATGAAATCATATAATAGAATGAATAAATGAAAGTTTAAAAAGATTAATATTATTGTAAAACTTTTTCAGGCTCTATAGAAAATGGAAGCTATAAATGCTTTATAAGTTCTTTTCATATCAGCAATGTGTGGTTTCATTTTACATGCTTGATTTTATTGCCAATTTATATATAGTCCTTTGAACATAGAATTGATTTGTATCCAAAATTGTTTGATGTAACAGCTGTTATATCAACAAGAAATTCTGATTTTTGTTCTTCAACATGATTCATACTTCATTCTAGACATGAAAATAAACCGTATGTTCCTAGTTCAGCACAAATGACAAGAAGGAAATTCCAAAAGGCTAAGCCAAATTTGGGAAGAGCACACAGTAAGAAAGAGGAACCAGTTTTAGAAAAAGTCACAACAGATCAGAGCAAGGAAGGCAAGCCAGAAGATCATTTGCTGCAGAAAGGAGCTTCCAACACCCAGCTCCTTCTAAAAGTAAGTTTGGGCAAAAAAAAAAAAAAAATTTTTTTTCTCAATGAGGTCTGTTTTGTCAAGATCATGAAGAGCATGAGTAAAATACAGTTTTGACTTCTGTACTGTAACCATTTTCATGAAAAGTGACTTTCTAGTGTTGTAAAAGATGAGCAACCAACTGCTTGTAGATATGTGTAAACTTAGAGGTTTAGGCCAAACTACCAAACCAAATTAACATAGAGATTGTTTCTGTAGTAATACTAGCTAATTTCTTCTTAAATTTAAGGAAAAAGCTGAGCTTCTGACATCTCTGGAGGTTTCAGCAAGAAAAGATTGTGTAGGTTCCAAAGAGTCTGCTTTGGCAAAAATAGATGCGGAATTAGAAGAAGTTGGACCATCAAGAAGGGTTGGAGAGGAAACTGTAGGAGATAATTCACCATCTTCAGTTGTTGAAGAGCAATATCTCAATAAACTAACAAGGTAACATTTTATTTAACAAAATGTTTCACAATAAGAAATAAAAATCACTTAACTTTTACCTTAACTTACTGGTAGAACAAAATTTTTGGGTGTTGAGTCCATTAGACATGGGTAGAAACTTGACCAAAGAGGAGTATGTATGTATTAGCTAAGTAATTAAGGTGCTCATTCAAATGGAGTCACAAACACAAATAAAGAATACCCTACTTCTATAGTTTTCAAAGAAAATGGAAAGAAACTTAAGTTCTAGAAACCAGCACTGCTCTAGTGGATTTCTGCTGCCTCCTTTTTCTTTTAACCTATCTGTTTACCCAGTAGGATAAACTAATACCACATTTGATCTCATATTCTGTATTTATTGGTCCTGTGTCTTTTTTTGTTTTTGAGACAGTTTCACTCTTCTCGCGCAGGCTGGAGTACAATTGCGTGACTCGGCTCACTGCAACCTCCACCTCCCAGGTACAAGTGATTCTCCTGCCTCATCCTCCCGAGTAGCTGGGATTACAGGCGTGCACCACCGTGCCCAGCTAATTTTTGTATTTTTAGTGGAGATCAGGTTTCACCATGTTGGCCAGGCTGGTCTTGAACTCCTGACCTCAAGTGATCTGCCTGCCTCGTCCTCCCAAAGTGCTGGGAGTAGAGGCGTGAGCTACTGCGCCCAGCCGGTTCTGTGTCTTTTATCCCTTTTTCTTCTAATAATTTTCAGTTTTGTGTTTATTTTATCTTCACTTTCATATTACAGGAAAGAATGGTCCAGAATTAAAAACTTACTATGAAAAATTTGTAGGTAGATAACTAAGAATTAACTCTGAGTGAGAAACTAGTAGTTAATTCCTTTTTTATTTTCACAGCATAAGATTTTAAAAGAATGGGTGGTGGGAATTTTCATTTTAATGACTGGAACTGGAATTTCACTCTAAAAGTTTGGTTTTCATTAAAATTATCCTTGCATGCATATGACCTTATTGTTGTTTTGATTAAATATCTAGCTGTCCACAACCGTTAAACGAAACAAGTTACTCTAAAATTGCCCTGGATGGGAAAACAACTATCTCTTCTACATCTGAGTATGAGAGAAATCGTGGTGAAAGGAGAAGTCATAAAAAGTTCAAACCAAATGTCACCAGAGGTCGTGGATCAAAACGAGTTCGGGGTAAGACCTCTAAGAAGGAACCTAGAGCTTCCAAGGCCATGCTGGTGACTCTTCGGGCTTCCCAGGAAGAAGATGATGATGCTGACGATTTTGAGTCTGACTATGAGGAAGAAAGCTATCATCTTGCTCCCGAAGAAGTAAACAAAGCTCCAGTATTTGTACCTGTTGGTCTCAGATCTCCTGAACCTGTTTCTGCTCAGATTGAGGAAACAATGGAAGAGGTTCGGTTTTTTTTTAAAACCTTGGTACTTTATCTTACTTGGTTTTCACCTCTTGTTTCTTTTAGGGGATCATTATTTCTTCTCGTAGTGATTATTAGGATTTGAAGAGTTCATTCTCTAAATAACCTCTACCAAATATAATTTGGGGCCTTGTATAACCTTTTGTGATTGCTCAGTCCCTATGGCCCAGGCCCAGCAAGGGAGTCAGTGTAACAACGAGAGAAATCTGCTTACACTTGTACCTGGAAGCTGTTTAGTCTACTTTCTGATAATCTTTCTTTTTTTTTATTTTTTATTTTTTATTTATTTATTTTTTATTTATTTTTTTTTATTGATCATTCTTGGGTGTTTCTCGCAGAGGGGGATTTGGCAGGGTCATAGGACAATAGTGGAGGGAAGGTCAGCAGATAAACAAGTGAACAAAGGTCTCTGGTTTTCCTAGGCAGAGGACCCTGCGGCCTTCCGCAGTGTTTGTGTCCCTGGGTACTTGAGATTAGGGAGTGGCGATGACTCTTAACGAGCATGCTGCCTTCAAGCATCTGTTTAACAAAGCACATCTTGCACCACCCTTAATCCATTCAACCCTGAGTGGACACAGCACATGTTTCAGAGAGCACAGGGTTGGGGGTAAGGTCACAGATCAACAGGATCCCAAGGCAGAAGAATTTTTCTTAGTACAGAACAAAATGAAAAGTCTCCCATGTCTACCTCTTTCTACACAGACACGGCAACCATCCGATTTCTCAATCTTTTCCCCACTGTTCCCCCCTTTCTATTCCACAAAACCGCCATTGTCATCATGGCCTGTTCTCAATGAGCTGTTGAGTACACCTCGCAGACGGGGTGGTGGCCGGGCAGAGGGGCTACTCACTTCCCAGCAGGGGCGGCCGGGCAGAGGCGCCCCTCACCTCCCGGATGGGGTGGCTGGCCAGGCGGGGGGCTGACCCCCCCCACCTCCCTCCCGGACGGGGCGGCTGGCCGGGCAGAGGGGCTCCTCACTTCCCAGTAGGGGCGGCCGGGCAGAGGCACCCCTCACCTCCCGGATGGGGCGGCTGGCCGGGCGGGGGGCTGACCCCCCCACCTCCCTCCCGGACGGGGCGGCTGGCCGGGCGGGGGGCTGACACCCCCCACCTCCCTCCCGGACGGGGCGGCTGGCCGGGCGGGGGGCTGACACCCCTACCTCCCTCCCGGACGGGGCGGCTGGCCGGGCGGGGGGCTGACCTCCCCACCTCCCTCCCGGATGGGGCGGCTGGCCGGGCGGGGGGCTGACCCCCCAACCTCCTTCCCGGACGGGGCGGCTGGCCGGGCGGGGGGCTGACCCCCCCACCTCCCTTCCGGACGGGGTGGCTGGCCGGGCGGGGGGCTGACCCCCCACCTCCCTTCCGGACGGGGCGGCTGGCCAGGCGGGGGGCTGACCCCCACCTCCCTCCCGGACGGGGTGGCTGTTGGGCAGAGACGCTCCTCACTTCCCAGACGGGGTGGCTGCTGGGCGGAGGGGCTCCTCACTTCTCAGACGGTGTGGCTGCCGGGCGGAGGGGCTGCTCACTTCTCAGATGGGGCGGTTGCCAGGCAGAGGGTCTCCTCACTTCTCAGACGGGGCGGCCGGGCAGAGACACTCCTCACTTTCCAGACTGGGCAGCCAGGCTGAGAGGCTCCTCACATCCCAGACGATGGGCGGCCAGGCAGAGACGCTCCTCACTTCCCAGACGGGGTGGCGGCCGGGCAGAGGCTGCAATCTCGGCACTTTGGGGGGCCAAGGCAGGCAGCTGGGAGGTGGGGGTTGTAGCGAGCCGAGATCACGCCACTGCACTCCAGCCTGGGCACCATTGAGCACTGAGTGAACGCAACTCCGTCTGCCATCCCGGCACCTCGGGAGGCCGAGGCTGGCGGATCACTCGCGGTTAGGAGCTGGAGACCAGCCCAGCCAACCTCTGATTAATCTTTCAAACATTTTGGTGTTTTCTGGTTGATAGAGAAGCTAGAAGGGACATACTTTTTTTTTTTTGATTTGGACCAGGCATGGTGGCTCACGCCTATAATCCCAGCACTTTGGGAGGCCGAGGTGGGTGGATCATCTGAGGTCAGGAGTTTGAGACTAGCCTGACCAACAAGGTGAAACCCTGTCTCTACTAAAATACAAAAATTAGCTGGGCGTGGTGTCAGGTGCCTGTAGTCCCAGCTACTGGGGAAGCTGAGACAGGAGAATTGCTTGAACCCGGGAAGCGGAGGTTGCAGTGAGCTGAGATCGTGCCACTGCACTCCAGCCTGGGAGACAGAGCGAGACTCTATCTCAAAAAAAAAAAAAAAAAAAAAGAAGAGTGCTAAAATACATGTAACATAAAATTTACTATCTCTCTCTCTGTTTTTTTTTTTTTTTTTTTAAAGACGGGGTCTCAGTCTGTCACCCAGTCTGGAGTGCAGTGGTGGGATCTTGGCTCATTGCAACCTCCACCTCCCAGGTTTAAGTGATTATCCTGCCTCAGCCTCCTGTAGCTGGGACTACAGGTGTGCACCACCAAGCCTGATTAATTTTTGTATTTTTGGTAGAGGCAGGGTTTTACCATGTTGGCCAGGGTGGTTTTGAACTCTTGACCTCAAGCAATCCACCTGCCTCGGCCTCCCAAAGTGCTGGGATTACAGGCGTGAGCCACCATGCCCAGCCATCTTACTCATTTTTAAGTGTACACTTCAGTGGCATTAAGAACATTCACATGTACGTGTTGTCATGCTACCATCACTACCATCCATCCACAGAACTCTTTTTTAAAATTAATTAATTTAGAGATGGGGTTTCGCTATGTTGCACAGTCTGGTCTCAAACTCCTGAGCTCAGGCAATCCTCCTGCCTCGGCCTCCCAAAGTGCGGGGATTACAGGCACGAGCTACTGCGTTCTTTTTTAAGATGATTAAGACATCCCGCAATGAGTGGTTGTCCCCTAGCCTGGCAAAAAACCAAGATACAAGATACAAACACCCAACACCTGTCCCTTGAGCCCCATCTCTATGCCGTCTGGCCTGGTCACTCTCAGGTCTGCCTTGCACCCCTGGCGAACTCTTTTTATTTTGTTAAAACTGAAATTCTATACCCATTAAACAGTAACTCTCCATTCCTCCCACCCCCTAACCTTTTGGCAACCACTTTTCTACATCTTGTCTCTTTAATTTGACTCCTCATGTAAGTGGAATCATACAGTATTTTTTTGTGTGACCATTTTATTTCATTTAGCATAATGTTTTCACAGTTCATCTATGTTGTAGCTTATGTCAGAGTGTTCTTCATTTTCGAGGTTCAATAATATTCCATTGTGTGTGTGTATCATGTTTTGTTTATTCCTTTATCATCAATGGACACTTGGGTTGCTTCCACCTTTTGGCTGTTAGAAATAATGCTGGTATGAACATAGTTGTATAAATACCTCTTTGAATCTCTGCTTTTACTTTTTGCGGGATATACCCAGAAGTGGAATTGCTGGATCGTATGGTAATTCTTTTAATTCTTTTTTTTTTTTTTTGAGATGGAGTCTCTGTTGCCTAGGCTGGAGTAGAGTACAGTGGCGCAATCTTGGCTCACTGTAACCTCCATCTCCCAGGTTCAAGCAATTCTTCTGCCTCAGCCTCCCAAGAAGCTGGGATTACAGGCACCTGCCACCACACCCAGCTAATTTTTTTGTATTTTTAGTAGAGGTGGGGTTTCACCATGTTGGCCAGGCTGGTCTCAAACTCCTGACCTCAAATGATCCATCTGCCTGGGCCTCCCAAAGTGCTGGGATTACAGGTGTGAGCCACTGCACCCGGCCTCGATCTTATGTTAATTCTATACTTAACTTTTCAAGCAACCTTTATACTGTTTTTCATAGGGCTGTTATCATTTTACATCCCTATCAACAGTGTACAAGCATTGCAGTTTCGCTACATCCTCACCAGTCGTAGCTATGTTGTAACTTTGGCTAGTAATCATCCTAAGGGTTGTGAACTAGAGAAACGTGTTGAACATATTTAGCTTCCTTACACTTTTGCCTGTTAGTCTGCCATTCCAACTTTGTAACTTCAAAGTTTTCTGTTCTGCCTTAATTTTCAGTCACTTCTTTGGCTTACTGAGGAGCATATCTGAGTCAGTTTTGTGTAAGCATTCATGATAGTTTCTGAGTAATTTGAAATGAATCAGAGTTAACTAAGATAGTGGCAACAATAAAAGAAGCAGTAAGAAACAGTAAACAATTCAAGTAATGTTTAAGATAATTAAGGTAAACTTTACATGTTAATGTAATTCCATTAAGAATTAACGGATTATCTGAATCTGTAAAGTCACATTTATGAAGGGAAGTCAAAATCTACTTTTATTCAGTGTTAATAATAACCTGGTAAATGTTTTAGAGTAAATGAACTAATAAAATGGTTGAAGCTAATTTAAATGATGCAAAATGAGGTTGTTTCTTACAATTCAAAGTAAAGATAGTAAATGTAAGCATTATGTGAAACCAAGAAAATGCAGAAGGAAGAGTAATTTTGTGGAAAGATATCTGGTTAATGCTGCATGAGAGTTCATTTAGCTATATATTTTGTATTTTTCTTTAAGTGAAGGCAAATTGCTAGTGAAACTATCAGTAATTAATTTCTGAAAATTAGATTCCAGACTGTATCCCTGAATTAATACAGGCTATCTTTTTTAATAGCATTAATCATAGTAATTGACAAGGCTTTCCTTAGATTCTATTCCTTATGGCCAGCCTACTAAACAGGGAAATTCATATATATGTTAGAAAAAATGTTCTTTAAAAAGCATTGAGGCCAGGCACGGTGGCTCACACCTGTAATCCTAGCACTTTGGGAGGTTGAGGTGGGCGAATCACGAGGTCAGGAGTTCGAGACCAGCCTGGCCAACATGGTGAAACCCCATCTCTACTAAAAATACAAAAATTTGCTGGGCGTGGTGGTGGGCGCCTGTAATCCCAGCTACTTGGGAGGCTGAGGCAGGATAATCGCTTGAAACCAGAAGGCAATGGTTGTGGTGAGCCAAGATCACACCACTGCACTCCAGCCTGGGCGAAAGAGCGAAGCTCTGTCTCAAAAAACAAAAGCATTGAAAGGCCAGGCATGGTGGCTCATGTCTGTAATCCCAGTGCTTTGGGAGGTTGAGGCGGAGGATCAGTTGAGGGCAGGAGTTCAAGACCAGCCTATACAACATAGCAAGACCCTGTCTCTACATTCAGTCAATAAATTAGCAAGGTGTGTTGGTGCGTATCTATAATCCCAGCTACTCAGAAGGCTGAGTGGGGAGGGTTGCTTGAACCCAGGAGTTTGAGGTTACAGTAAGCTACAATCATGCCACTGCATTGTAGCCTGGACAACAGGAGGAGACAAAAGCTTTGAAGCACAATGGAATGTTTTTCAGCCCTAAAGGGATATAAAGTGTTGATATGTGTCACAACATGGATGAATTTTGGAAACCTTAGGCCAAGTGAAAGAAGCTAGTTACAAAGTATCGCATACTGTGTGATTCCATTCATATGAAATGTCCAAAATAAGGAAGTCCACAGAGACAGAAAGTAGATTAATGGTTGCCTAGGTTTTGGCAGATGGGGAAGAGAGGGGTTAAGGGAGAGATAGCTAATGGGTATAAGGTTTATTTTTGAAGTGACAAAAATGTTCCACATTTGAATGTGGTGATGATTGCACATATCTGTGAATATCCCAAAATACATTGAATTGTACACCTTAAGTGGGTTAACTGTATGTTATGTGAATTGCAAGTCTTTTTTAAAATAAACTGTATGATGCTTAAAAAACCAACTTTTACTTTATAGAATATTCCCTTTTCCCATCCAGTCCCAACTCTTCAAGAAGTATTTTTTCTTCTCAAATCATCTGAACTTTAAAATTTTTTTTTGTTACATTTATTTATTTTTCTTTTCTTTATTTTTATTTTTTTGAGATAGGGTCTTACTCCATTGCCCAGGCTGGAGTGCAGTGGCATGATTTCAGCTTGCTGCAACCCCCGCCTCCCAGGCTCAAGCAATCCTCCCACCTCAGCCTCCTGAGTAGCTGGGACTACAGGTGCACAACCACCACACCCGGCTAATTTTTTTTTTATTTTATTTTCAATAGAGATGGGGTTTTACCATGTTGTCCAGGCTGGTCTCAAACTCCTGAGCTCAAACAATCTGCCAACCTCAGCCTCCCAAAGTGCTGGGATTACAGGCATGAGCTACCGTGCCTGGCCTATTGTTTTTAAATTCATTTTTTTGGAGACAAGATCTTGCTGTGTTGTCCAGGCTGGCCTCAAACTCCTAGGCTCAAGCGACCCTCACACCTCAGCCTCCGAGTAGCTAGAACTACAGGCATGTGCCCCCGTGCTCACTTGAATTTTTTGGTTCATCCCAGTCCTGTCAGATATTACCAAAGATTTTTCTCTAAATTTTGTATCTGAGGAAACAGATGTGGTACATACAAATGTAATTATAACAAATATGTTGGCTGGGCACAGGGTCTCATGCCCATAGTCCCAGCACTTTGGGAAGCCAAGGTGGGCAGATCGCTTGAGTGCAGGAGTTCGAGACCAGACTAGGCAACATGGCGAAACCTCATCTTTACAAAAAATACAAAAATTAGGCATGGTGGCACATGCCTGTAGTCCCAGCTACTTGGAGGGCTGAGGCGGGAGGATTGCTTGAGCCTGAGAGGTTGAGGCTGTAGTGAACCCTGATAGTGCCACTGCACCGCAGCTTGGGCGATAGAGTGAGGCTTTGTCTCAAAAAAAAAATAACGTATGTCTTGAAGGCAGATTCTCAGACTTGACTCTTTACTCACAGTTTCTACTCAGCCATACAACGTTTTATACTGTTTTTTTCTGTTAATAAGAGAATAGGCCCAGGTGTTGTGGCCATCATCGCACCACCGCAGCTGGGGTGACATGAGTGAGACCCTGCCTCAGAATAACAAAAGAAAAACAAAAAAATAAGATAATAAGAACCAGACTATATTGTATGTATTCTAGTAGGTAAATACCTTTTTAGTGCTCAGATTACACGGCTCTTTAAGTAATAGGACTCACAAATGAAGAGTAAATATGAGTGAACTTCTTATTTTACATGGCTGTTGCCCTGGGTATCAAGAATCGTGCAGGCTTTGGGGTTTTGGGAGAAGGGAGTTGGTGTGGGGGCAGTGGTATGATAAATATTTTATTTATTTATTTATTTATTTTTGAGAACAACTTGTCACTCTGTTGCCCAAGCTAGAGTGCAGTGGCATAATCTCGGCTCAATGCAACCTCCACCTCCTGGGTTCAAGCGATTCTCCTGCCTCAGCCTCCCCAGTAGCTGGGACTACAGGCAGGCACCACCATGCCCGGCTAATTTTTGTATTTTTAGTAGAGATGGGGCTTCGCTGTGTTGGCCAGGCTGGTCTTGAACTCCTGACCTCAGGTGATCCACCTGCCTCGGCCTCCCAAAGTGCTGGGATTACAGGCGTGAGCCACTGCGCCTGGCCCGATAAATACTTCTAAGGGCTTTCAACTCATTATAGATAGCATTTATGACCGTATATAATTAGTTGATTACATGTCTGCTTTTCTGTTAGATTGTGAATTCATTGAGGATAGGGACTACACTTATCTTATTTGACTTTATATCCCTGTACACCTAGCCTTCTATAAATGTTAACAGACTGAACAGAGAAATTAGGGGGAAAGTGAGGACAAAGTGAAGAAAATGGAAAATGAAATGCCAGGCACTAAGAAGATGAGTCTTAGAAAATTTGCTTACTGGTTTTAATAGTCACAGCCACCTCAAAAATTTTAAATGTTTTACTTTTGCCAAGTTGCTGTCAGTCAATAAAAGAATTACTCCATTCCATTTTTTAAGTTATGTATGAATGTGGATTATTTCTTCATTTTAGCGTTTCATCTTACTTATTCATGTTGAAGATGAGGCTTTGTTTTGCTGTTTATAATATGCCAAAATGAAATGATAAAACTTTATTTTGACAGCTTGAAATAACTGTGAATGTCCCAGATGTAGGATGCATAGCTGTTGTTGAACATGAGCTACCAAACACAGATGTGACTACTGAAGAAATGAAACAAGAAGAAAATTTGAGTGTACCGTTTGTAAGCATCCATTTTAATATGTTTTGGCCTTTTATTCTTTGTTTACTTTGAAAAGACTGGAGGTTCCTTTTGATAGCTTTAGGTTTATAAACACTTTACTTAGCTAATTTCTCTTTGTAAGGAGCTGTTAGTCTGAGTAGTAAAAACTAGTGAAAGCAATGATTTTGTTTGTTTGTGGGCAGAGCTCTTAATATCCTCATAGACTTTTACATTAAAATTCAGTTGCATTAAATTTATACTAAGTATAAACAAGTTAAAATATATTCTGTTGCGTTTTATTTGCACTCTTCCATTATTGGTATTTATTTGCCTTTGCAAGCGGAGGCTTGAAATTGTAACTTTTTAAAAACAGCTTTATTGACATATAATTTACACACCATATGATTTTCTCATTATTTAAAGTGCACAATTAAGTGACTTCTAGTATCGTGCAAACATTATCACAGTCAATTTTAGGACATTTTCATCACCTCAAAAAGAAACCTTATTAGCAGTCACTACTCCTTTCCTCCCAACCCTCACTGGCCTGGGGAACCAATAATTTGCCTTCTGTCTTTATAGATTTGCCTGTTCTAGATGTTTCCTAGACATGAAATTATAAAATCTGATCATTTGTGTCTGGCTTTTTTCACTTAATGTAACATTTTTTACTGTTCATCTATGTTGCAGCATGTAGTGGTACTTCCTTACTTTTTGTAGCCTAATAATATTCCATATGGATATGGTACATTTTGTATATCCATTCATCCATTCATGAACATTTGGATTATTTTCATTTTTTGTGTGTTATACATAATGCTGCTGTAAACATTCATGTAGAAGTGTTTGTGTACAATATGTTTTTATTTCTCTTGGGTACATTTCTAAAAATGTAATTGCTGAGTCATATGGTAACTCTATGTTTCATCAGTTGAGGAACTGCCAAACTGTTTTCCAAAGTAGCTATACCCTTTTACATTCCCACCAGCAGTTTATGAGGGTTCCTGTTCTTCCATGTCCTTGCCGGCACTTGTTATTTCACTTTTTTTTTTGTTCGGTGGATTTTTTTTTTTTTTTTTGAGACGGCCTTGCATTGTCACCCAAACTAGAGTGCAGTAACACAATTGTAGCACACTACAGCTTTGACCTCCTGAGTGTAAATGATCCTCTCCACTCAGCATCCCAAGTAGCTGGGACTGCAGGTGTGTGCCACCATGCCCAGCTAATTTTTTTTTTTTGTAGAGGTGGGGTCTTGCTGTGTTGTTCAGGCTGGTCTCGTACTCCTGTCCTCAAGTGATACTTTTACCTCAGCCTTCCAAAGTGTTGGGATTACAGGCATGAGCCACTGTGTCTGGCTTGACTTTTTGGATCTAGCTGTCCTAGTGAGTGTGAAGTGGTGTCACATTGTGGTTTTGATTTGTATTTCCTTGGTGACTAATGATGTCAGGCACATTTTATGTTCCTATTGGCCATTTGTATATCATCTTTGAGAAATGTCTATTCAAATCTTTTGTCTGTTTTTCTTTTATTGTGCTATTTGTCTTTTTATTATTGAGTTGTAAGGAGTCTTTATATAATCTAGATAAAAGTTGCTTAGCAGGTATATGATTTGCAAATATTTCCTCCCTTTCTGTGGGGTTGTCTTTTCACTTTCTTGATTTCCTTTAAAGCAAAAAGTTTTAAATTTTGATGAAGTTCAGTTAATCTGTTTTTTCATTTGTTGCTCATGCTTCTGTTGTCAGATCTGAGTCCTTTGTCAAACCCAAGGTCATGAAGATTTACCCATTTTTCTTCTAAAAGATGATTTTTGCTTTTACGTTTAAGTCTTTGATCCATTTTGAGTTTATTTTTATACATGGATAACCTCATTATCCAACTTATGTCTTTTGCATGTTGCTATCCATTTGTCCTATCACCATTTATTCGAAAAGACTATTCTTTCCCCATTGAATAGTCTTGGCACCCTTATCAAAAATCAGCTGACCATAGATGTATGGGTTTATTTCTGAATTCTCAATTCTGTTGCATAGATCTATATGTCTGTTCTCATGCTGGTGATGCTATATTGATTACTGTTACTTTGTAGTAAGTTTTTTTTTTGTTGTTGTTGTTGAGATGGAGTCTCGTCTGTCGCCCAGGATGGAGTGCAGTGGCATGATCTCAGCTCACTGCAAGCTCCGCCTCCTGGGTTCACACCATTCTCCTGCCTCAGCTTCCCAAGTAGCTGGGACTACAGGCGCCCACCACATTTTGAGACGGAGTTTTCCTCTTGTTGCCCAGGCTGGAGTGCAATGGCGCGATCTTGGCTCACCACAACCTCTGTCTCCCTGGTTCAAGCAATTCTCCTGTCTCAGCTTCCCGAGTAGCTGGGATTACAGGCATATGCCACCACGCCCTGCTAATTTTGTATTTTTCGTAGACACGGGGTTTCTCCATGTTGGTCAGGCTGGTCTCGAACTCCTGATCTCAGGTGATCCACCCGCCTCTGCCTCCCACAGTGCTGGGATTACAGGCATGAGCCACCGTGCCCGGCCTGGGATTGTTTTCTTAATTTCATTTTTGGATTGTTCGTTGCAAGTGTGTAGAAATAAAAATGATTTTTGTATATTAGCTTTATATCCTGCAACTTCTTTGGTGGATTCCTTAGGATTTTCTATTTGTCAAATCATGTCATCTGCAAATAAAGATAGTTTTACTTCTTTCTGTATTAGTTTCCTAGGATCACTGTAACAAAGTACAGATGCTCCTCGACTTATGAGGAGATTATGTCCTGATAAACCCATCATAAAATAACAATTTTTTTTTTTTTTTTAAAGACAGAGTCTCACTCTGTTGCCCAGGCTGGAGTGCAATGGCGCAATCTTGGAGGCTCACTGCACCCTCCGCCTCCCAGTTTCAAGTGATTCTCCTGCCTCAGCCTCCAGAGTAGCTGGGATTACAAGCGCCCGCCACCACATCCAACTAATTTTTGTATTTTTAGTAGAGATGGGGTTTCACCATGTTGGTCAGGCTGGTCTCGAACTTCTGACCTCAGGTGATCTGCCCACCTTGGCCTCCCAAAATGCTGGGATTACAGGTGTGAGCCACCGTGCCCGGCCTAAAATAAAAAAATTTTAAGTCGGGTACTCTTTGCACCACAAACTTGATAGCTTATAACCACAGAGAATTCTCCAGGCACTTATGGAGATGAGAAAAACAAAACAAAACAAATTTATTCTCTCACAGCTTTAGAGTCTAGAAGTCTAAAATCAAGGTGTCACCAATGTTGGTTCCTTCTGGAGGCTCTGAGGAAGAACCATCCCATGCCTTTCTCCTGCCTTCTGGTGGTAGCCGGCAGTCCTTACCATTTCTCAGCATGCAGCAGCATACTTCCACCCTCTGCCTCCATTACCACATGGCATTTTCCCCTTGTGTATGTGTAACCTCTCATCTTATAAGGAAAGGACACCAGTCATATTGGATTAGCACCAACTCTAATCCAATATGACCTCATCTAAATTTGATTATATCTACAAATACCCTATTTTTAAATAATGTCATATTCACATTATTTGGGTTTAAGACTTTGACATATCTTTCTAGGGGACACAATTCAACCTTTGATACTTTCTGACCTGAATGCCTTTTATTTCTTTTTCTTGCCTAACTGCCCTGGCTAGAACCTATAGTTCAAAGTTTAATAGAAGCGAGAGTGGGCATTTTGGTCTTATTCCTGATCTTAGGGGTAAAGTATCCAGTCTTTCATCATTTATTTTTTTCATAATTGAGATTTTATTGGTTGTGTTGAGGATCAGTACACAATTCTTCACATTTATACCGAAAATCTAAAAAGCCATGTATTGTAATTATTTTTAAGTTACTCTGGTGACTTTCCAGCTTAAAATTTGGAGGCAAGTTTTCATTAAAAGGCTATCAAGTACCAGTATCCTTACATGTTGATAAACTGTTACATACTTCCACAATTTGCAGTTAAATAGCATATATACTGCATACTCAAATTTTCAGTCTTTCACAGCACATTAACAAAATTATTAGGAAAACAGGACTACCACAACCAAAGATTTATAGAGTGCATACAATTCTGACAGGGAGAGCCATGATCAAGGAGTGGTTTTCTTTAGGAAGCAATTCTGCTAAAAAACAACATGGGCCCAGGCGCGGTGGCTCATGCCTATAATCTCAGTAATTTGGGAGGTGGGAGGATCACATGGTAGTTCAAGGCCAGCCTGGGCAACAGAGGGAGACTCTGTCTCTACAAATATGTTTTTTAAAAGTTGGCCAGTCATGGTGGCATGCGCCTGTGGTCCCAGCTACTGTGGAGGCTGAGGCAGGAGGATCGCCTGGGCCCAGGAGGTTGAGGTTGCAGTAAGCTGTCATCGCCGTCACTGCACCCCAGTCTGGGCATCAGAGCAAGACTCTGTCTCAAACAAACCTGAACCAGGTCGAGCGCGTTGGCTCACGCCTATAATCCCAGCACTTTGGGAGGCCGAGGCAGGCAGATCACAAGGTCAGGAGTTTGAGACCAGCCTGGCCAACATGGTGAAACCCCGTCTCTACTAAAAATACAAAAAATCAGCCGGGCATGGTGGCACATGTCTGTAATCCCAGTTACTTGGGAGGCTAAGGCAGGAGAATTGCTTGAACCCAGGAGGCGAAGACTGCAGTGAGTGGAGATTGCACCATTGCACTCCAGCCTAGGCAACAGAGCAAGACTCTGTCTCAAAGCCAAAAAACCAAAAAACCAAAAAAAAAAAAAAAAAAAAAAAGAACCAGAACCAAACCATGGGAATAAAAGTAACTTAAAAATTTCAAGACATCAGATACAGGACTGTGACTCCATATTGCCAGTTAATATAGTGGAATGTTAAGATGATACCCAAGACAGTCAAAGCCTCCCATAATTCAATATCGCACACTGTTTTCTGGTTGTACCAAAAAATAAACAACTGGAAAATGATTTTTACCCTTAAAAGCATGTACACTTAAAAAATGGGATGAGGTGGGATTTCCTTCTTCTTAAAAATGTTTCTAGAGTTACTAAAAAACTTGCATTTGTGAAATAGTTGAGAAAAATATTCCTCTGGAATGTACAAGAAGGGAGACAGGTACTATTGGTAAGACATAGTATATGATATTAATCAGACTTGGCTTTTTTTCTCTCTGGGCTTCATCAGAGGCTGGACTTTCCTTGGTTTTTGTTTCTCTGTTTTCTGTAGGTAAATCTGATTTCTTGGTTAGCCACTTTGGTTTGTTTTCCCTTTGTTCCCCGTTTTTCTCTTGTTTGCACTTTTTTTGTCTGGAGATTTATCCTTTCCTGCTGCCTTTTTTGGCTTTGTTTCCACTTTTGCAGGAGCAGGTTTAGCTGACAGTCATACTAATCTCATCTTGGGCTCTTTCCTTCACCGCCCTTCTGCTGAGCTGATCTTCCTCTTGGGCATCTTGTGGTCAGGAGTGTGCATGCTGGGTGCCTGTGAGCCGCACCATGCTGAGAGCCTTCTCAAAGCTGGGCTGCCTGGCTGCTACCACTCCTCCCATCCTGTCTTATCATTAAGTATGATGTTACCATGGATTTTTCATAAACGTCCTTTACCAGGCTAAAGAAGTTACTTTCTATTCCTAGTTTGTTGAATGTTTCTTTCATTAAAGGGTGTTGGAATTTGTCATATGCTTTTTCTGCATTTATGGAGATGATCATGTGAATTTTGTTTTTCATTGTATTTTTTGGACGTTAAACCAACCTTGCTTCCCCAGGATAAATTCTAGGATCATAATGTCTAATTTTTATTCATTGTTGGATTCAGCTTGCTAGTATTTTATTGGTGATTTTTATGTCCATATTCATAATAGATATTGGTCTGTACTTTTCTTGTGATGTCAGGAGATGAAGTCCTACTCCCCTAGGGAAAAATGCTCTCCAGGTGGGACCTTGGGGACTGGGGGCCTTGTATTTTTGGGTGCAGCAGTTTGAGGTGGAGTCTCTGCCATGCTGAGCTGGGAGGAAGGAGAGAGAAAGAGCAGTGTTAGTTCACATAGACTCTCACCTTTGTTAGCAAATTTTCAGATTTTCTTGAACAGATATTTCTTCATTTGCTTTTTGTCGTTAGGATCAGTTTCAGAGGCTTTTAAATGTTTTGTTTTTAAAATCAGTTTCACTGAGGAGTGGGTCAGTGAAGCTTCTCAAGCTGTCGCTCTGGACATTGGTTCTGTAACTTCTTAATTTATTAAAATGCATTTAAGTTTTAAGCTACGTAGTAGTATAAAAATTTTGCAATACCCTTTAGGCCTTGGTTTCCATTGGGTAAAAATTGGCAGCAGATATGACTAGAGTTGAAGGATTATGAAAATGAAGAAGTAAAGTAAGAATGGTAGACGTACATAACAAAATGATAAGAGTTAAAATTTGCACATAATACAAGAAAAAGATAAAGTCAGGAGCAAGAGACACAAGAATTTTGCCTTTAAATTGTTTATGTTCTTGCTGGTGAAATTTTGTGAATAATTATAAATTAAGACAAACCAGTTTACACTATTGTAGCTAAAAGTATGGAAAGACCTCTGAAAATGTAGTGCATGCTGAGAAACAGAACATGTTTGGGGAAGTATTTTAAGATGTTACTTATTTTTTTCCTTTTTAGGAAATGACCACAAGTGAACATATCCAAGATGAACCAGGTAACTGTTATCAAGGAAACTGCTAAGACTACCTTGATTAACACTAGTACAGTGATTTAATAGTGGGGATAATAAATGAATCAGTTTGCTGGAGAGTTTAACAAAAAGATTCAGCTATTGAATGTGTTGTCTCTGTGAGAAATGTGGATTCTTGGAATGTTATTTTAGAAGGTGAATTAAAAAAATGTTTAAGAAGTATTTGAGCATTTCCTCTGGATCTTCACAAATGGGAGAGCATTTTCCTTGAAGATATTATTTAATGGGAGGGAGGCATGGTCAGTGAGTCAAAACCAACAGTGATGATTTATTTATTTGTAGCATATAACCTGAACAAAAGACTACCTTAGTAAGGGATTAATGGCTCAGAGGATATTGGAATCTGCTCCTAGGAGATAAACACCTTAATTAAAAATCTTTTTTAAGTGAACAGATTTCCGGATTCATTCTTTTTTTTAATGTTGATATATTTCCTCACAAGGTACCAATGATGGAAGCACCGAAGCTGCAATAACTTTACTTACAATGGGAGATCTAGTATTGCAGTCAGAGATCAGTAGTGAACAGGGTGATGGTAAGAATGAAAGCTAAGTCCTATCAAAAATAGAAACTTTTAAAACCTAACTTAAGAAATTATACCCACATTTGAGTAATAACCCTTTTACCTTTGAAGTTGTCTCCATTTTGTTGTTCTTCCATAAAATATGATATGTATGTATTGATCCATCCACTATTTTACTACTGTTTAGGTGTAGTGACAGCTAATTCAAGATCATGCTCTTGGTTTATTAAGAATAATTTGTATTCATGGAATAGTTGTATGCATGGAATAGTTGTATGCATGGTAAAGGTAGTGAATACTACCTTTACCATCATAAATGTCATTGGTTAACTGAGCTCATTGATCACTGATATAGTTTATACATGTGTCTTTTGCAAAGGAGTTGCTGCTTGGGATGGTATTCACAATTAGATGACAAATAGAGCACAAAGAGACAATAGCACTCATTGAAATAATTTAGTTTAAACTGTTCTCAGTTTGGACAGAGCCAAAAGATATATCAACCAAGATTTTTAACTTATTAGATGGAAATCACAGACAAGTGATAAATCTTTACTATCTCAATATCTTTTAATTGCATGAAATGAATAATTATACTATTCCTGGTAATTATTTTGCCTGGTTACCATTCATTTTATTTACTTATTTATTTATTTGAGACGGAGTTTGGTTATGAGTAGCCTACCATTCATCTTATTTATTTATTTGAAGCAGAGTTTCGCTCTTGTCACCCAGGCTGGAGTGCAATGGTGCGATCTTGGCTCACTGCAACCTCTGCCTCCCAGGCTCAAGCAATTCTCCTGCCTTAGCCTCTCAAGTAGTTGGGATTACAATCGCATGCCACCATGCCCAGCTAATTTTTGTATTTTTAGTAGAGTTGGGGTTTCACCATCTTGGCCAGGCTGGTCTCGAACTGCTGACCTCAGGTGATCCACCCGTCTTGGCCTCCCAAAGTGCTGGGATTACAGGCATGAGCCACCGCACCCAGCTTCCATTCATTTTAAGTATTAGACTTTTGGGCCAGATGCAGCAGCTCATGCCAATAATACCAGCACTTTGGGAGGCTGAGGCTGGTGAATGCTTGACTTCAGGAGTTCAAGACCAGCCTGGGCAACATGGTGGAACCCCGTCTCTACAAAAAATACAAAAAATTAGGCAGGCATGGTGGTGTACACTTGTAGTCCTAGCTGCTTGGGAAGCTGAGGTGGGAGGATCGCTTGAGCTCAGGAGGTCAAGGCTGCAGTGAGCTGAGATCGCACCACTGCACTCCAGCCTGGGTGACAAAGTGAGACACTGTCTCAAAAATAGATAAATAAAGACATATTAGACTTTTAGGCTTGGAACCATGTATTTATCAGGAAAGTCTCTGATTTGTGTTCTGTATAGGGCTCCTTTCTTAGTGGCAGAGTATTGCAGTACAGCCTGTCAAAAACATATAGAACATAAAGTACATATAGAACATAAAGGTTTTAAAAATCTTAAATGCTGACAGTGCTGTCTTGAAATCCATCTGAGATTATATAATTACTGAAAGTAACAAAAGAACTCATTTTTACTAATAATCGGATAAAATTCCAGTCTGTAAGGATTATTAAGCTCACAACAGGTCAAATCCCTGGCATGAAATAGGGAGATCATAAATTTACAGCCAACAAGGGCAAAATTTATTTATTTCTAAAATCTTTTTCTATTGCTGCCACACAAATGAAGCAAACTTTAATAATACAGAATTTTACAATTACTAAATGTTGAGGAATTTATTTTGAGCATCTATAATTTGGTCCATTTTAATTTTGTTTTTTTTTTTTTTCTTCAGTAGGAGTATGTATAATTCCTCATGTTCATTCAAAGGATAAAAGCCATATTCCTTCTAGCCTAGATAATGTAAATCACAAAATTGTTCATGAATGTCAGGAACTTTCTTCACCTGTCATTACTACATCTCCTGCATCATTTGAAGAAAACAAGATTGTATTGGAGGAACAAAGTTCCAGAGAAGAAATAAGTTTAATGGAGAAAGTAAAGGAGAATGCTACACCAACCAGGTTTATTTTAGTATTCAATTAATAAATATTACTAAAACCACCATCAAATTAGTTAATAGCTTTGAGTAATGCTTTAAATGTAAAGTAGGCAATGCTAATTTCTTACCCTTTAAAGATAGACTGATTTTGATTTTAGGTTAGTGGTTTGCATGTTTAAATTATAGTAGTAAATGTTGTGTATCTTTGAAGCTTTAATGAAATAGATTTATGTAAATGTCTCTGTTTTACAAATACAGACTAAATTCTCTTCTTAAGACCTCTAGTAAAGTTACTACTTTGTAATTTTAGTATTAAGAAATGAACACTTGTAGACAGTGTGGCACCTAACAGGTCATTCACTCTATCAGTGCTAGACAGACTGTATTAATGTGAGAGAGCAAGATCTAACATGATTCATGAATTTCTCTATCTTCTGTTTTTAGGAATACAATTTCTAAAGTGACCAGTAATTTGAGAATAAGAAGTAGGCTTGCTAAGCCTAAACCAAATCTTGAGAAGACTTTAGGGACCAACAGGCTTGATGATTATCAGGAAGTTTCCAGTTTGTGTGTAACCAAAGGGGCAGAAATGGAAACTCAAAGAGGTAAATTTTATTCTCTTAATATGTTGCAAAATCATTTTGACACAAGAAATTACATTAACATTTCAAAGAAATATTTGGTCATTAAATTGTTTTAACTTACAATAAAATAGTTTCAAATTAAAAAGTAAGACGAGCTATAAAATAAATACCCATAAATCTACCAATTGGTTTTAGTAATTAATACCATTTTGCTACATTTGTTTGATCAATTTTTTGTCCTTTTATTCTCTCTCTGTCTCTCTCTTTCTCTCATTCTCTCTCTCTCATAGTTGACCCTTGAACTAGGGGCACTGACCTCCCCATTCAGTCAGAAATTTGTGTATAGGCTGGGTGCAGTGACTCACACCTGTAATTCCAGCACTTTGGGAGGCTTGAGCCCAAGAGTTCGAGGCCAGCCTGGACAATAGTGACACCCTGTCTCTTATGAATTGAAAACATATATATATATATATTCATGTATAACTTTTGACTCCCCAAAAACTTACCTACTAATGGCTTACTGTTGATCAGAAGCCTTATTGATAAGATAGTTAATTAACACATATTTTGTATTTTATTTGTGTTATATACTGTATTCTTATGATAAAATGGGCTGGAGAAAATTAAAAAAAAATTGTTTTTTCTGTTTTTTCAACTCATGTCCTTGAGCCGTAGAGAAGTGAAAATGTTATGAGCCATAGAGAAATGAAAATGTTATGAGCCATAGAGAAATGAAAATGTTACTAAGAAAGTCAGACTGGGGCTGGGCACAGTGGCTCATGCCTGTAATCCCAGCACTTTGGGAAGCCAAGGTGGGTGGCTCATTTGATGAAACCAGACTGGGCTGGGCCACAAGGCAAAATCCCATCTCTACAAAAGTACAAAAATTAGCCAGGCATGGTGGTGCATGTCTGTAGTCCTAGCTACTCAGGAGGCTGAGGTGGGAGTATCACCTGAGCCTGGGGAGGTTGAGGTCGCAGTGAACTGTGATCATGCCACTGTACTCCGGCCTGGGCAGCAGAGTGAGACTTCATCTCAAAAAAAGAAAAAAGAAAAAAGAAAATCAGGCTGGGCACGGTGGTGGTGCACACCTGAAATCCTAGCCCTTTGGGAGGCAGAGGCAGGAAGATCACGTGAGCCCAGGAGTTTTGAGACCAGCTTGGGCAATATAGGGAGACCTTGTCTCTACAAAATAATTTTTAACAGTTAGCCAGACGTGGTGGCACACACCTGTGGTCCCAGCTACTCAGAGGTTTGAGCTCGCCAGATCAAGGCTGTCGTAAATTGTGATATTGCCACTGCACTCTAGCCTGGGTGACAGAGCAAGACCCTGTCTCAAAGAAAAATAAAAGGAAGAAAATTATAAGGAAGAGAAAATACATTTTCAGTACTGCATTGTATTTATTAGTACCAAAAGTTTATGTCATCTGTTTACAAGATGAAACATCTGTCTGAAATGGTGGGCAACCCCAACTACAGGTGTCAACCTGTAATACATATCAAGCAATTCAGCTTTTTCTTACAATGTTATGACTCTCTCTGCTTCTTGGGAGTGCTTCCAACATCATTAATGATACTTTGTATGGGTCCCATGGGGTTATTCACAATATTGCACTAAACATGATGAAAAATACATGAGAACCATGAGAGGTCACCTTTTCTAAAACCTCTCTCAACGTGCAGTCTCAAATTACCTCTTCTATATAGAAGTCTTTTTTTCCCCGTTTGTGATATTATTCTTTGCAGTGCAGCTCCTTTTCCAAGACTTCCTCTAAAGTGGAACTAGCCCAACCTCGGTGTACCCACCTCGAAGTCTCTTTTATATGTTGAGTTTCTAATTATTGATGCTAGTACCATAAAATGAGGATACAATTATCATGGCAGCCATGAGTGAAATTTTTGTAGAACAGGATTTATTAATCATGTGTTTTACTGTTCAAAAATCTATTAGCTAGGACTTTCTGCCATGTGTATAAGCCTGATTTGTGGAATAAGAGAAGTTTGGAAGAGTCACTATATAGGAATCTTCCTTTTAAGAGGGCATATGTTTCTAATACAGGGATTTTAGCTGTATTATTTTGGTCTATATCGTAAGTGTGCTTTTTGTTTAAGAAACAGAGAAAAATGCTTCCAAAGCAACAGAATTGGAAAATAAAAACCTCGGACCAGTTACAACAGCAGAGAATAAGGATCAGAGCAAATTGGCATGTGTACATGGTATCAAAGGGACCAGTATTTCTTCAGAAGTAAACCTAACTGAAAGGTAAAAGAGTGAAGAGGTTCTGAGATTCAGTTTATATTGTTTCAGCTATAGCCTTAAGTTGTGGCTGTAAGAATTTGAAAAAGAAGTTCTGGCCGGGCACGGTGGCTCACGCCTGTAATCCCGGCACTTTGGGAGGCCAAGACGGGAGGATCACGAGGTCAGGAGATCGAGACCATCCTGGCTAACACGGTGAAACCCCGTCTCTACTAAAAAATACAAAAAATTAGCCGGGCGTGGTGGCGGGCGTCTGTAGTTGTAGCTACTTGGGAGGCCGAGGCAGGAGAATCGTGTGAACCTGGGAGACGGAGCTTGCAGTGAGCCAAGATCGCGCCACTGCACTCCAGCCTGGGCGACAGAGTGAGACTCTGTCTCAAAAAAAAAAAAAAAAAAAAAAAAAAAGTCCTATTGCATTAAATATGTTTTAAAAGTTTGAAAACCATTGAATTAGATGATCTTTTACACACCTAGCTCTAAAAATAATTCCATGATTTGCCTGATTTCAAATGACATGCATGCTAAACTCTCTTTCAGAAACGAAAATCAAGAAGAGAGCTCTCAGGAGGTTCACATGTTGTCAGTTGCTCCAGTTGCTTCCTCTGAGACAGGGCCCTGCACACTTGGTTTGGATAGGGGTCTTGGTGAAAATTCTGTTGAAGAGCCCCAGATAAAGGACTCTAAAGGAGACAGTGTGCTTACACTTCCTGTGCCAGAGGTAAAAGAATGTACAGTATAATAAGGGATAGCAAGGTGTTTTCCTCCATTTAAAAAAAAAAAGGTATAATTTACATACAATAAACTTCACCTCTTTTATCTTCATTTTTCTTTATTTCTTCTTTTTTTTTTGGAGACAGTCTTGTTCTGTTGCCCAGGCAAGAGTGCAGTGGTATGATCTCAGCTCACTGCAACCTCTGCCACCCAGATTCAACAGATTCTCCTGCCTCAGCCTGCCAAGTAGCTGGGACTACAGGCATGTGTCACCACAGCCAGCTAGGTTTTGTATTTTTAGTAGAGACGGGATTCGCCATATTGGCCAGGCTGGTCTTGAACGCCTGGCTTCAAGTGATCCACCTGCGTTGGCCTCCAAAAGTGTTGGGATTACAGGCATGAGCCACTGTGCCTGGCTAACTTCACCCTTTTTAGTGTACAGTTCTTCAGGTTTTTATAACTATGCAGTCATGTAACCAATACATGAACAGTTCCATAAAAAGTTCCCCAAGTGAGAGAAGCCTTGGACTTGAAGAACATGTATACATTATCCAGTTAAAGGGAGAGGAACGTGTGTGTAAAGAACAGGTGTGGACCGGTTGCAGTGGCTCACACTTTTAATGCCATTAAAAAAAAAAAAAGCCAGGCATGGTGGCATTTGCCTGTAGTCCCAGCTACTCAGGAGGCTGAAGTGGGAGGATCGTTTCAGCCTGGGAGGTAGAGGCTGCAGTGAGCTGTGGTCGCCATGCACTCCAGCCTGGGAGACAGAGTGAGACCCTGTTTCCAAGAACAAACCAGTATGAAACAGCATGTAAGCAGTATGAGTGGAATATTAATGAAGAAAGTGATTAGAGATGAACTTAGAAAGATAGCCTGCAGACAGATCATAAAAGGATTTTTATGACTTGCTAAGGAGTTTGGTTACATTTAAAGTTACGAGATTCCTTACCCCACCCTGACTTTTTAATTTTTACTTTTTATTTTGAAAAATTTTAAACTTAGAAGTTACAAAAATCTTACAAAGAATTATCCCATACACTTCACTTTGATTCATTAATTGTCAATATTTTGCCTCATTTGTTTTTTTACTCTGTCTTGCTCTCCATCTGTATAGATAAATACTTGGCTGGGTGGGGTAGCTCACGCCTGTAATCCCAGTACTTTGGGAGGCCGAGGTGGGCAGATCACCTGAGGTCAGGAGTTCAAGAACAGCCTGGCAAACAAGGTGAAACCCCATCACTACAAAAATACAAAAATTAGCCAGTCGTGGTGGCATGCACCTGTAATCCCAGCTACTTGGGAGGCTGAGGTGTGAGAATTGCTTGAACCCAGGAGACAGAGGTTGCAGTGGCCAAAGATCGTGCCATTGTACTCCAGCCTGGGCGACAGAACAAGACTCTGTCTCAAAAAAAAAAAAAAAAAAAAAAAAAAAACCAAAAAACTGAATCATTTGAAAGTAGGTTGAGTCCATAAATACCTCATCTTGTATCTAATAAGGACAAGGAAGTTCTCTTACAGAGAAAGGACAGTACTGTTGTCACACTCAGTATTACTACACTATTTAACATTGTCTCAACAATATGTAATATACAGTTTCATTCCAGTTTCCCTAGTTGTCCCAATCATGTCCATTATAGCTTTTTTTCTTTTTGAGACAGAGTCTTACTCTGTCACCCAGGCTGGAGTGCAGTGGCACGATCTCAGCTCACTGCAACCTCTGCCTCCCAGGCTCAAGTGATTCTTGTGCCTCAGCCTCCCAAGTAGCTGGGATTAAAGGTGTGTCCCACCACACCTGACTAATTTTTTCGTATAATATTTTTAGTAGAGATGGGGTTTCACTATGTTGGCCAGGCTGGTCTTGAGCTCCTGGCCTCAAATGATCTGCCCACCTCAGCCTCCCAAAGTGCTGGGATTACAGGTGTGAGCCACCACGCCTGGCCAGCTTTTTTTTTATTTTTCTTAAATTCAAGATCCAATCAGGGCTCTCACATTGCATTTGATTATCCTTTCTCCTTATTTTCCTTTAATCTAGAGTATTTTTCTTGTCTTTTTGTTCACAAAAGAGAAAAAGCAAGAGAAGTTTAGACCAGTCTAGGCTGGCCTACAGTCTGGATTTCTTTTTTTTAATTGCTTCCTCATTACTAGATTCAACTTACATATTTTAGGGCAAGATTACTATATAGGTAATAATGTGTTCTTCCTTTTATATCACATCGGGAGACACATAATGTCAGTTTGTCCCATTATTGGTGATGCTGACTGATCACTTGGCTAGAATGGTACCTACCAGATTTCTTCATTATAATGGCATCTTTTCCATTCTGTATTAGTAACTTGTCAAATGAGACCAACGCAGCAAGCTGTTACCCTGTAGTTTTAATATCCACTGATGATTCCTGCCTTAATCAGTTACTGACATTGTTGGTTACAAAATGAAAGTTTTAAGATTTTAAGCAGGCCAGGCGCAGTGGCTCACACCTGTATTCCAGCTCTTTGGGAGGCTGAGGCGGGTGGATCATGAGGTCAAGAAATTGAGATCATCCTGGCCAACATGGTGAAACTCTGTCTCTACTAAAAATACAAAAATTAGCTGGGCATGGTGGTGTGTGCCTGTAGTCCCAGCTACTCAGGAGACTGAGGCAGGAGAATTGCTCGGACCCAGGAGGCAGAGGGGCGGAGGTTGCAGTGAGCCGAGATTGTGCCACTGCACTCCAGCCTGGCGACAGAGCGAGACTGTCTCAAAAAAATAAATAAATAAATAAAATAATAAAAGATTTTAAGCAGTAGAAGCCCGGCATAGTGTCTTACACCTATAATCCCAGCACTTTGGGAGGCCTAGGTGGGTGGATCACTTGAGCCCAGGAGTTTGAGACCAGCCTGGGCAACATGGCAAAACCCCATCTCTACCCTTGAAAAATACAAAAAAATTAGCCAGGTGTGGTGGCGTGCATCTGTACTCCCAGCTACTCAGGAGGTTGAGGTGGGAGGATCGCTTGAGCCCAGGAGGCGGAGGTTGTGGTGAGCTGAGAGATTTTAAGCAGTAGAGAATTACAGTCAGGATTGCATTTTAGAAAAACCATGTTTGTGGTTTTTTGGAAAACAGGAGGGAACCATACTGCATGCAGGGAAAGCAGTTTGCCTTCATTCAGATGTCACCTACTAATAGTACAATGGCTGGTGTGATGGGAGTAGAGAAAAAGTTGTGGGGTTTGGGTCTCCCTATCCTGTCACTTCAAAAATCATTTCATAAAATGCACATATTTAACAATGTAGTCAGGATTCTTTGTATTAATATTTATTTAAATGAATCAAAAGTTTATTGGAACAGCCTAAAGCTTCAAACACTTGAAAACTGTATATGGTTAGATGTTGTTGAGTTAATCTCTTCACTATATCATATTGACAGGAATAACTTTTTAAATGTAAGATTTGGCCAACCTGACTCTTTCATTTTAATTTTTTATGGCAGTATACACCAACAAGTATTCCAGAAGTCCAACAAGAGAATATAATCAATCCTCAAGACCTAACAGGTATGATAATATGCTTCAGTGACATGTCATAGAACTTAGTTGTATGATTTTTACCCCTTATTTAACTATGGAAAAACATAAAACAGTTGTATTTTAGTCTATGCTGGCCTTAAATTTAAAACGTTTTATAGAAACACCTTGAAGTATTTTGTGTATCAGTTTTGTTTTTCAGAGTCATAAATCTTCTCCCTAGTATATCACCTTTATCCTTTATGAAATTACTTCTTGGGCCAGTCATGGTGGCTCACTTTGGGAGGCGGAGGTGGGTAGATCACTTGAGGCCAGGAGTTCGAGACCAGCCTGGCCAACATGGTGAAACACCATCTCTACTAAAAATACAAAACTAGCCAGGCACGGTGGCATGCACCTGTAATCCCATCTACTTGGGAGACTGAGGCACAAGAATCGCTTGAACCCAGGAGGCGGAGGTTGCAGTGAGCCGAGATTGTGCCACTGTATTTCAGCCCGGGCGACAGAGCGAGACTCTGTCTCCCCCCCGCAAAAAAGGAGGGAACTTACTTCCTCAGGCTGGGGGGTTGTTGGGGGGAGCATTTATTTATTTAGTCTTGATGATAAGTTGTCCTGAGACTGTCTTTTTAGAAATGAAATAAATTAATGATACTCTGTTATTTCATAGTTGAGCTTTTTTATTACTAACTTTTAAACTTTGATAGTGAATCTAGTTGCTAATGTACCTCAAGATGGAGAAGATGAACAAGCCTTTATTTTAACTCTGGTGGAAATCCCAGCCAATGCAGTAGAAGAATTTACTGATGCCACTGCACAGTTCATGCCAAACCCTTTACTGCCAGCTCCCATATTGGTCAAATCAGTGAATACCGAAGAAAGGGGTGACATGAGGTAACGAATGAGTGAAACTGTTTTTGCTAGGAGGAAAAGTGATTTATGAACTAAGTAGCATTGATTGAACAAACCATTCACCAATGTTAGTTGTTATTGTTGTGGAGATCTTATTTATCATTTATGTGGTAAGTTAGAGAAGAAATGTAATGTGGTAGATTTTATATCTGATAAAGATGCCACTTAAATGTTTCATGTATTAGTTTTGTATGAAACTTGTTTATTAAGTTATTTTGAAAGCTAAAAAAATTAACAGTCTAGATCATAAAATGATACCTGTTAAAAGTGTGGTTACTTTGTATAAACATACACATATGAAACTGTGAAATATGCATTCACAGAAAGTTGTGAAAATAGTACAGTGGTAATAAATACAGTTTTTTTTCTTAAGAGACAGGGACTTGCTTTGGTGCCCAGGCTAGAGTGCCAGGCTGAAGTGTAGTGGTGCCATCATAGTTCACTGCATCCTCGAACTCCTGGGCGCAAGAGATCCTCCTGGCCAGGCGTGGTGGCTTGCGCCTTTAATCCCAGGGCTTTGGGAGGCCAAGGTGGGCAGATCACCTGAGGTCAGGAGTTGAAGACCAGCTTGGCCAACATGGCGAAACTCCATCACTACTACAAATACAAAAATTAGCTGGTCATGGTGGCCTGCGCCTGTAATCCCAGCTACTCAGGAGACGGAGGCAGGAGAACCACTTGAACCCGGGAGGTGGAAGTTGCAGTGAGCTGAGATTGCACCACTGCACTCTAGCCTGGGTGATAGAGTGAGGAAAAAAAAAAAAAGATCCTCATGCCTCAGCCTTTCAAGTAGCTTCTCAGCTACAGGTGCGCACCACTGTGGTTAGCTAATTAAAAAAAAATTTTTTTTTTCTTTTTTCAGAGGTAGAGTCTTGCTCTGGTACCCAGGCTTGTCTTGAACTCCTGGCCTCATGCATTCCTCCCACCTTGGCCTCCCAAAGTGCTGAGATTACAGGCATGAGCCACTGTGCCCAGCTGTTCTTGATACTCTTATTTTAATTCTTTATTTTGGAAGTAAGTTATATCTTAACTACCATTAATTAAGATAATTGTCCATCGTGTAGCATTAGAAATTGAAGACTTTAATATTTTTATTTTTGGAGACAGAATCTTGCTCTGTTGCCCAGGTGGAGTGTAGTGGCGTGATCTCAGCTCACTGCAACCTCCACCTCCCGGGTTCAAGTGATTCTCGTGCCTAAGCCTCCCAAGTAGCTGGGACTATAGGTGCGTGCCACCACACTGGCTAATTTTTTGTATTTTTAGTAGAGATGGGGTTTTACCATGTTGACCAGGCTGGTCTCAAACTCCTGGCCTCAGGTAATACACCTGCCTCGGTCTCCCAAAGTGTTGGGATTACAGACGTGAGCCACTGCGCCTGGACTAGAAGGGACATTTTAGGTTAAACGTTTAACTTTACAATTAGGGAAAATACTATTAAATATTCAGATTTATTTTATTATTATTTTTTAGTTGTTTATTTATTTATTTATTTATTTATTTATTTTTAATTGATCATTCTTGGGTGTTTCTCGCAGAGGGGGATTTGGCAGGGTCATAGGACAATAGTGGAGGGAAGGTCAGCAGATAAACAAGTGAACAAAGGTCTCTGGTTTTCCTAGGCAGAGGACCCTGCGGCCTTCCGCTGTTTTTGTGTCCCTGGGTACTTGAGATTAGGGACTGGTGATGACTCTTAACGAGCATACTGCGTTCAAGCATCTGTTTAACAAGCACATCTTGCACCGCCCTTAATCCATTCAACCCTGAGTGGACACAGCACATGTTTCAGAGAGCACAGGGTTGGGGGTAAGGTCACAGATCAACAGGATCCCAAGGCAGAAGAATTTTTCTTAGTACAGAACCAAATGAAAAGTCTCCCATGTCTACTTCTTTCTACACAGACACGGCAACCATCCGATTTCTCAATCTTTTCCTCACCTTTCCCCCTTTCTATTCCACAAAACCGCCACGTCATCATGGCCCATTCTCAATGAGCCGCTGGGCACACCTCCCAGACGGGGTGGTGGCCGGGCAGAGGGGCTCTTCACTTCCCAGCAGGGGCGGCCGGGCAGAGGCGCCCCTCACTTCCCAGCAGGGGCGGCCGGGCAGAGGTGCCCCTCACCTCCCGGACGGGGCGGCTGGCCGGGAGGGGGGCTGACCCCCCCACCTCCCTCCCAGACGGGGTGGCTGGCCGGGCAGAGGGGCTCCCCACTTCCCAGTAGGGGCAGCCAGACAGAGGCGCCCCTCACCTCCCGGACGGGGCAGCTGGCCAGGCGGGGGGCTGACCCCCCCACCTCCCTCCCGGACGGGGCGGCTGGCCGGGCGGGGGGCTGACCCCCCCACCTCCCTCCCGGACGGGGCGGCTGGCCTGGCGAGGGCTGACCCCCACCTCCCTCCCGGACGGGGTGGCTGCCGGGCGGAGACGCTCCTCACTTCCCAGACGGGGTGGCTGCCGGTAGGAGGGGCTCCTCACTTCTCAGACGGGGCGGCTGCCGGGCGGAGGGGCTCCTCACTTCTCAGATGGGGCAGCCGGGCAGAGACGCTCCTCACCTCCCAGACAGGGTCGCGGCCGGGCAGAGGCGCTCCTCACATCCCAGACGGGGCGGCGGGGCAGAGGCGCCCCCCACATCTCAGATGATGGGCGGCCGGGCAGAGACGCTCCTCACTTCCTAGATGGGATGGTGGCCGGGAAGAGGCGCTCCTCACTTCCTAGATGGGATGGCCGCCGGGCAGAGACGCTCCTCACTTTCCAGACTGGGCAGCCAGGCAGAGGGGCTCCTCACATCCCAGACGATGGGCGGCCAGGCAGAGGCTGCAATCTCGGCACTTTGGGAGGCCAAGGCAGGCGGCTGGGAGGTGGAGGCTGTAGCGAGCCGAGATCACGCCACCGCACTCCAGCCTGGGCACCATTGAGCACTGAGTGAACAAGACTCCGTCTGCAATCCCGGCACGTCGGGAGGCCGAGGCCGGCGGATCACTCGCGGTTAGGAGCTGGAGACCAGCCCCGCCAACACAGCGAAACCCCGTCTCCACCAAAAAAATACGAAAACCAGTCAGGTGTGGTGTCGCGCGCCTGCAATCGCAGGCACTCGGCAGGCTGAGGCAGGAGAACCAGGCAGGGAGGCTGCAGTGAGCCGAGATGGCAGCAGTACAGTCCAGCTTCGGCTCGGCATCAGAGGGAGACCGTGGAAAGAGAGGGAGAGGGAGACCATGGGGAGAGGGAGAGGGAGAGGGTAATATTCAGATTTAATTCAATACTATGGAATTTAAGTTATAAGCCCTGAAGTATGAATGGAGCTCAAAACTATTAATAGCATTTTTGGGGCCATGGCCGTGTATCTCTTAGTTTGGAGTTTTTTGGTTTTATTGGAATTTTCATTGGAATACCTCAGCCTTTAACTTTATTATTGGAAGGATTTCTAGGATCCTTTAAAAAAAAAAGTGTTAAATAACTTCTAATTCAGTAATTTAGTATGTATTTCTTTTCTATGCAGTATTTGTTTACCAGCAACTTCAGTTGGTCAAGATGCCATGGGTTTATCTATTTCTGGAAGAGATAATTCTAAAAAGCCGCCTGATAATTTGGATCTTGTATCTAGGAAGAGATTTCAATGCAGGCTTGATAAAAATGACCACATTCCTCCTGCCAAAAAACGTTCACTCACTTTAAGAGATGACTGTCAAGAATATACCACTGAGGTAAGTGGTATATTAAGTACCACTCAATATGGCCATTAAGTAAGATGGCCATATTGCAACAGATCTGTTCCTATTTTTTCCTTTATTCTCTTTAAACTTTTAGATATATATAAAGATAGTTCTGACATTTATCATCATAAGTTATTCAAGTAAAACTGGTTTTGGATTATCACTTTTAACCAATGGTAAATGAAAATTGATGGAGAGTAATCAAGAAACTTATTCCCAGCTCTGTATTGGTGGCTAAAAATAAGACCAAAAGCATTATATATGTCTGGATCTTGGCTCTACCACCTAGTAGCTGTAACACCTTAGGCAAGATACTTCACCTCTCTCTCTGATCAGGTTTCCTAATATGTAAAATGATAATACTAGTATCATCATCATCATCATCATGCCTAAAGCTACCCATTGCTTTTAGGAGTAAAACCACAGCCTTTAGTGCCCCACATTGTCTTGCTGATTTTTGTCTCTAGTCTCATTTTGTGCCAGCTTCTGCCTCACTTTCTGGCCACACTGGCCATCTTTCAATTCCTTAAATGTCCCAGGACACTTCATTTGATGTACCTTCTGTGTGAAACATTCCCTTGAAAAACATACAGACTTCTTTAGTTCAGTCATCAGTGCCTCAGGGAAGTCCGGCCAGACCATGCGAATTCAGTCACCAACCACTATGTTGTAGGTTTCCTAGTACCCTCTTGTTTTTATACTCATCTAGTACTCATCATAATTTGTAACTACACTATGGAAAAGTCCTTTTAAAACCCGTGTTCTCAAAGAGAAAGTTAAAGACCAATAGTTCTTGAGTAATAGTTGACAAAGAGCAAGTGTGCTTTTATATATTTGGTGAGTAAAAAAATGGCATATCCCAGAACTGTTTTATTTTCTCTTGTTATGGGTAAGATTGAACATCTTTTCATATGCTTAAGAGCCATGTGTATTTCCTTTTCTATGAACTGACTTTTCCTTTACCCACTTTTCAATTAGATTATTGATCTTTTTCTTAGAGAACTGGAAGAACTCTTATATATGTCTGTGGTAATGAGTTGCAAATCTTTTTTCCCAGTTTGTCATTGTCTCTTGACTCTGCTTTCTTTGTTGTTGTTTTCTCATGCAGAACTTTTGGATTAACTTTTTATATGAACATTTCCAGACATATTAAAAGATAGACTAGGTATAATGTGCCCCCATGTACCAGTCACCCAGTTTCAATAATTTATCAGCATTCCATGCAGACATTATTTTGTTTTGTTTTAAAAATATCTTTAATGACATGGACAAAAGACCATAGTACTTTACTAAGTACAAAACTAGGTCACCAGACTATGATACGCCATTTAAAAAATGGTAGTTATACAGTGGTGTGAATATGTAAGAAAAGTATAATGTCCATTTGGCTTATTTGTGATTTTTATTTTCTAAACTTTGTTTTTAGCATTTTAACAATTTTTTAAAAATTGCTTTTACTAGTTGAGTATCCTTTATTCGAAATGCTTAGGACCGGAAGTGTTTCAAATTTCAGATTTTTTTGAATTTTAGAATAATTGCATTATACTTACATTTGTATTATACTTAACAGTTCCACATCCCAAACCTGAAAAGCCAAAATCTGAAATGCTTCAATGAGCATTTCCTTTGAGTGTCATGTCAGCACTCAAAAAGTTTAGAATTTTGGAGCATTTCGGATTTTCAGCTTTGGGATGCTCAGCCTGTACAAAATTGTAGGATACACATACACTGTATTCAGATAGAAGACATTTTTTATTTTCCATAATCAGATTTATCAGTCTTTTTGTGTATGGCTTCTGGAGATTATGTTATACATTGAAAGTCCTTTGAGACTTAAATTTCCTAGTTAATGTTAATATTACTGATTTGTTGCGAATTTGATTTGGTGTAAGGAATAGGGCCAAGTTAATTTTCCTCATATGACTTTTACCGTTTACTGAATAATTCATCTTATTTCCACTGATAGGAAATTCTGCTTTTATCAGTAAGACAGTAAATCTTCATATTTGTTTGGATATATTCCTAAAACTTCCTTTTCTTTTATGTTGATTCACCTATTTGTTCTGGGGCCAGTATCATCATACTGTTTGAATTTTTGTAGTTTTCTTTATTCTTTTTTTTTTTTTTGAGATGGAGTTTCTCTCCTATTGCCCAGGCTGGAGTGCAATAGCGTGATCTCAGCTCACTGCAACCTCCACCTCCCAGATTCAAGTGATTCTCCTGCCTCAGCCTCCCGAGTAGCTGGGATTACAGGCAGCCGCCACCACGCCCAGCTAATTTTGTAATTTTAGTAGAGACGGGGTTTCTCCATGTTGGTTAGGCTGGTCTCGAACTCCGGACCTCAGATGATCCGCCTGCCTCGGCCTTGCAAAGTGATGGGATATTACAGGTGTGGGCCACCACGCCCGGCCGAATTTTTGTAGCTTTATGATGCACTTTGGTATCTTATAGGGACAGTATCTCTCCCAAACCCATACAATTTTCTTCTTTTTTCAAGTTTCTCCTCATTACTTATATGTTCTCAAATTAATATGAATTTTAGAATTAACTTGTTTAGCTCTTTAAAAAAGAGTTCTATTGGTATTTGTATTTGAATCATATTAACTTAGATTAACTTAGGGGAAATTGACAGCATAATTATAATATTGAATCTTCCTATTCAAAAACATGGTATGTCTTTCCATTTGTTTAAGTCTTGTTTTGTGTCTTTCTATTTTGTGTTAAACTCTTCTTCATATAAATCTTACACATTTCTTATAGGTTACCCCTATGAGTTTTATCTTTTTTGTTGCTGTTATCATTAAGTTCTTTTCTATTTAGAGAGCTTACTGAGTTCCCTCATTGTATGCAGTAATTTTTCAGTTGGTTCTCTTGGGTTTTGTAGGTAAACAGACATACCATCTGCAAATATAATTTTAATTCTTCTACTTTTTGTAGTTCTAATTTTTTTGTAATTATAGTGGCTAATATAACTAAAAAATAATATTAAAAAGTGATCCAAATAGTGCACATCTTTTTTTTTAATTTCCGATTTTAATAGGAGAACTTCCAGTGTTTATTATGTGGGATGCTAGCTTCTAGATTGCAATAGTTATATTTTATAGTGTTAAGAAAATATCTGTTCCATTTTATAAGTTTTTTTCAAGAATGAATATCATTGGGTACCTTTTCTATAAATACAGATGATTTTTCTCCTCAGGTCTGTTGGTTTATATTAGATTTCATAGTGTCAGATCATCTTTGCATTCCTGAAACGAGCTCTACTTGATTGTGATGTAGTAGTCTTTTGATGTGCTGCTTGTACTATTTCTTTGATACTTTTGCACTGATATTGAGACTGATTATAAAAGGCAGTTAGCAGCTTTCTCTCTTCCAGTGGGCTCTGGAACATTTTAAAATAGTAGCAATATTTTTGCCATAAATGTTTAGTAGAATTCCTCTAAGAGCTTTTTGGGAGATAACATAGTTTCTTTACTTAAAGAAAAAAAGGAAATAAAATTAATTTCAGTTTTACTTGATAAATTTCTAAATTTTTTTTTAAATTTTCTTAAAATAGGTGCACTCAAAGGAATTAACAAATGTTTTTGAGGAAACAGGTAAGTGAAATACATTTTAACATGATTGCATTTTGCTAAATACTCCTGATTATTTGGGATATACCTTGTTCAAATATGAGATTGAAACTGAGTATTCCTTTTCTCCAAGAGTAATACTTGTATTATCAGCACTTCTTTCCTGCAAAGGCCTTGGATTTGGCAGTTTGGTAGGCAAAAGAAGGTCTTTTCATCCTGTCATCAGTTGAAGACTATGTGGCTACAAGGATTTTCTATGTAAGCTCAATAACTACACTTTAGGAGTTAGCTGAATGTAATGGCTTTTTTTCTCCCCCGCCCCGCCAAGACAGGTTCTCACTCTGTTACCTAGGCTGGAGTGCAGTGGCACAATCACAGCTCACTGCAGCCTCCACCTCCCAGGCTCAAGCAATCCTCCCACCTCAGCCTCCTAACTAGCTGGGACTACAGGCATGCGCCACTATGCCAAGCTAATTTTTTTTTTTTTTTTTTTTTTTTTTTGAGACGGTGTCTCGCTCTGTCACCCAGGCTGGAGTGCAGTGGTGCGATCTCGGCTCACTGCAAGTTCTGCCTCCTGGGCTCACACCATTCTCCTGCCTCAGCCTCCCTAGTAGCTGGGACTACAGGCACCTGCCACCACGCCCAGCTAATTTTTTGTATTTTTAGTAGAGACAGGATTTCACCGTATTAGCCAGGATGGTCTTGATCTCCTGACCTCGTGATCTGCCGGCCTCGAAATTTTTGTGTTTTTTGTAGAGACAGAGTTTGTATTTTTTGTAGAGACCATGTTGTCCAGCCTGGTCTTGAATGTATTTTTGTAGAGATGGGGTTTCGCCATGTTGCCCATGCTGGTCTTGAACTCCTGGCTTCAAGCAGTCTGCCCACCCCAGCCTCCAAAAGTACTGGGATTATAAGCATGAGCCACCACCTGTGGCCTATAATGGCATTCATAATAGGTTCTTTACCCTGAAAATTAGTTTAGTTCTAGAGATTTTTTCAGGCTTAAGCCACCTATGGAAGCTGAAAAGATCTTAGAGTCTTCTATTTTTATAGGAATCTAAAATTTCTGTGGGACATTAAACCACTTAGGATCTATTTCCCTCATGACTAAAGCTGCCAGTCACATTTATCCTGTGTTTATACAACTCTGTTTTTCATTTCTTTTATGACATTATTTCTCTTTTCTCTCAAAGTTAGGCTTATCATTCACACCTATAGCCATTGCTTTACCATGGCAATGGCACTCAAGAATAAAAATGTTGCTGATGGCATCTTACAGAGTTAGAGTTACAAGATAGAGAAGGGTTTGATAACCTATGATGGTTCTGGTTCTTTAAAAACACTTATAATGGGCCAGGCGCAGTGGCTCATGGCCTGTAATCTCAGCACTTTGGGAGGCCGAGGTGAGTGGATCACCTGAGGTCAGCCTGGCCAACATGGCGAAACCCCATCTCTACTAAAAATACAAAAAATTAGCCAGGCGTGGTGGTGGGCGCCTGTAATCCTAGCTATTTGGGAGGCTGAGGCAGGAGATTGCTTGAACCTGGGAGACGGAGGTTGCAGCCAGCTGAGATCACGCCATTGCACGCCAGCCTGGGTGACAGAGCAAATCTCTGTCTCAAAAAACAAACAAAAAATACTTGACTGGGCGTGGTGGCTCACGCCTGTAATCCCAGCACTTTGGGAGGCCAAGGCAGGTGGATCACCTGAGGTCAGGAGTTCGAGACCAGCCTGGCCAACATGGCGAAGCCTCATCTCTACTAAAAATACAAAAATAAGCTGGGCGTGGTGGCGGGCACCTGTAATCCCAGTTACTCGGCAGGCTGAGGCAGGAGAATCACTTGAACCTGGGAGGCAGAGGTTGCGGTGAGCCGAGATTGCGCCATTGCACTCCAGCCTGGGCAACAAGAGCGAAACTCTGTCTCAAAAACAAAAAAAAAAAACAACAAAAAAACCCCACACATATAATGGGCTGAGCACAGTGGCTCACACCTATAATCCCAGCACTTTGGGTTGCCAAAGTTGGTGGGTCACTTGAGGTCAGGAGTTCGGGAGCAGCCTGGACAACATGGTGAAACACTGTCTCTGCTAAAAATACAAAAATTAGTTAGGTGTGGTGGTGCATGCCTGTAATCCCAGCTACTCGGGAGGCTGAGGTGAGTGAATTGCTTGAACCCGGGAGGCAGAGGTTGCAGTGAGCCGAGATCGCGCCTCTGCACTCCAGCCTGGACGACAGAGCGAGACTCTGTCTCAAAAAAACAAAAACAAAAAAACTCTTATAATGTTAATACAGTCTTAGACTTAATTGTCCCAACTTTGACTGTGAAACTGTAATATGGTTACAGTTTACAGCCTCTAGAGATGTTCTAAGATTGCTCCCATCCATCTGCTCTCCAATAAAAGCATTAAGCAAACCACAATACAGTGAAGTGTTAGTGAATTTGTTCTATGCTATCTTTAATTAGGTTGTTTCTTTTAGCAGGTTTACTTATCAACTTCATTCTCCCTTCACAGAGCTAAAACACTCTCTCTGAGAACAAGGCCTTAGCTATACTAAGGGAAAACAGGTTTTTTATTGAGCAAGAAAGCTTTAGTTATTTTGTCCTAATCTTTGGCTACTTTGGCTTTTGTCTACTATTTAGTTAAGGAAAGAGAATTCTTTAGCTAAACTTGAGTATTTGAGAGTCTGTAGGTTTTACTTTTCAGGAGACCACAGGTACTTGAGTTACCACCTATATTTTGGATTGGTTTGGTTTCTAAATTTTAACAAACCTTAGCTTTTTTAGAAAGTAATCACTCTCCCATTTTGATTGCTCAGGAAATATTTCTGGGAAAATATTTTCTAGGCCAAAATATATTGATATAACTATTTTGTTTCTGAATGCAGAAGCTGTTAGCATACCTTATTAACCAATTATAATATTCTTAATAATCCAAGTAACTCCACTAATGATAATTTAGCTTACTCTTATTAGGGTAGGTTTATTATAGAATACCATGGGTTTCTTTTCAAATGCTGGGATTACATGGAGTGTATTAACTTCAGTATCCTTGCTTTCCATTTGCTCTTTTTTTTGAAGGGGAGTCTCACAAGGGACAAGATATTTTTCTTACCTCAGGAAGCACACTGACAACTCCAGAACCTCAAAGACAGCAAGTTGAAGCAGCTTTTCAGAGTAGAGGATCTAGATCTCCTGATGCATGCATGGACAAGAATGTGCCTCAGTTACCTCAGGATGAAATGATTGTGTCTGATAAGGAAGAAAGAACTGATGCTGCTCCTAAGTCTCAGCAAATGGATAGCAGAACATCGTCTTCTAAAGCCTCACTATCCAGGTATCATGAACAAATCTTTAATAAGTGTTTTGCTCTCTGTCTTAATAAATATAACCTATACAGAACAGATTAGATCCAGTACTAAGGATGGTGTTTAATAAACATATTCCTCCATCAGTAATGTAAAGGAAAAAGTTTCAGCCAAGGAAATACAGTAATATTGCAGATACACATTCTGTACAATAAGAGCTTAAGTGCTAAAACTTTTTTAGATAGAAAATCTTTAGAATATTTTGTACACTTATTTTTTTAGATTATCCATGGTTATTTTGATCATTACATAATCTACCATGTTCAGTAGCTACTAATGCACATATGTATGGATGCTGACATCAGAAGTTGTTTTACTGAAGTCCCAAATAATGTGTCATTTTTCTCCCTTGTGACAAACCAAAGAGGTAAACCATGGCTTTCTCCCCATAAGAATAAGTGTTGGAATTTAAGCAAGAGCCAACTTCTCTCACAATTTCCTCATATTCTAGAAGCAATGATTATCAATAATTATTGGCTTGTCAGCAGCATCCAGAAGATTAATGTGGTGTTGCTGAACTGAAAGAGGTGGGGGAACATGCACTAGTCTCCACTAAGGGGAAGGGGTTGGGGAAAGGACACATGTAGCTTAAAAGACATATTTAATAGATCTATTGTTTTTGTTATCTAAATTATAGAAGGTAAAGCTCAGTGGTATCTCTTCTGGCCTTAGATATGTGCTGAAAATAGAATGAGGCCCAGGTACAGTGGCACATGCCTATAATCCCAGCTACTCAGGAGGCTGAGGCCGGAGTTTGAGATTGCAGTGAGCTATGATTGTGCCTGTGAATAGCCACTGCACTCCAGCCTGGGCAACATAGCCAGACCCGTCTCTGAAAAAAGAAAAAAAAAGGCTGGGTGCGGTGGCTCATGCCTGTAATCCCAGCACTTTGGGAGGCTGAGGTGGGTGGATCACCTGAGGTTGGGAGTTCCAGACCAGCCTAACCAACATGGAGAAGCCCCATCTCTACTAAAAATATAAAATTAGCTGGGCATGTTGGCACATGCCTGTAATCCCAGTGACTCAGGAGGCTGAGGCAGGAGAATCGCTTGAACCCAGGAGGCGGAGGGTGCGGTGAGCCGAGATTGTGCCATTGCACTCCAGCCTGGGCAACAAGAGCGAAACTGTCTCAAAAAATAAATTAAAATAAAATAATAACATCATGAGAGTTTGGATTAAAACAGGTTGAGAAGCAGTGTTCTAGAACGGAAGTCAGCATTTTTTGTAAAATGGCATTTGTATATATTTTAGGCTTTGTAAGCCATGTGGTCTCTGTTAACAGCTATTCAGCTCTGCAGTTACAGCACAAAAGCAACCATAGACCATATGTAAACAGATGAACATAGCTGTGTTCCAGTAAAACATACTCACAGAATTGGGTGCGGGGCTGCATGTGGCCTGTAGAGCATACTGTGCTGACCACTGTTCCACAGCTTTGCTACTCAGAGTGTAGTCCTGACAACAGCAGTATGGACATCATTTGAGAACTTGATAAAATGCAGAACTCAGGCCATGCCCGCTACCAACTGTGCGAATCTTCATTTTAATAAGATCCCCAAGTGATTTGAATGCTAGAGATGTTCTAGAGACCGGGGTCCTGCTAATTTTGCCCAGGCTGTTTTTGAGCTCCTGGCCTTAAGTGGTCTTCCCACCTTAGCCTCCCAAAGCAGAAGCAGGTATTAAGGTTGTGTCTTGGCTGGGTGCGGTGGCTCACGCCTGTAATTCCAGCACTTTGGGAGGCTGAGGCAGGCAGATGACGACGTCAGGAGTTCGAGACCAGCCTGACCAACATGGTGAAACCCCGTCTCTACTACAGCTACTTGGGAGGCTGAAGCAGGAGAATCTCTTGAACCTGGGAGGTGGAGGTTGCAGTGAGCCGAGATTGCGCCACTGCACTCCAGCCTGGGTGAGAGTGAGACTGCGTCTCAAAAAAAAAAAAAAAAAAAAAAAAAAAAGAATGTGTCTTCCTGGGTATTCTTGAATATCGTTACATTTGTATTTCTAGACCTGGCAGAAGACCCCTGGGATTTTTATCTTTAATATGCTCAAAGAATAGTTTGGAGTCTGATGAACCTATGCAAGTCCATAGTAAGAAACGCCTAAAACCTCTTATACCTGGATTAAGAAAGAAATTGAAAAGATCTAATCCATTCAATGAAAGCCAGGAAAAAAATCGAGAGTCCTCTGATCTGCTTCCATCTCCAAGTGTTATTACTACTCAATCTGAGAATATTAGCAGCTCAGCAACTCAGGTATGTGATAACTACTGTATTTTATAGTTTGTATGAGATGGGTTGGATATGAGATTCAACTAGGGAAAACATAGTAATTTGTTATTTTTATTTGATGTCAGAAATTATTTTAGAGCAACTCCCATCCTTCTCTCCATCGTGTTCCTCCATAATGGAAGAAGAAAAGGTGTTGAGTCAGGAAGTTACAGTTAGATTAGTACAGAGCCATTGAACTAACCATAAATGGACACTTAATAGCCATTCCTTTAATCTAGAGACCCTTCTGACTTGTGGAAGCAAAAGGAAGCAGTGCTGACACCCACAAGAATTTAAGGAACTGTAAAACTAGAATTTGTTCACATGTTTCATTTCTATGTCTCCTGAAGCTGTCCAATGGCAAGTATTGGGATGGAAAACTCTGTAAACCTGTATCAAAGACTTTGTAAAAATATTGGGGTGACTTAAGATCTTGACAAAGAGAAGGCTGGTGAGCATCTGTTGAACAGCATGAGCCTTTGGAAGGGGTACTTTTGTAAAGAACATCTTTAAACTTTTTAAAAACATTTTGTATTATTTGTTAGAATTATTTTCTGAGATCAAGATATCAGTCTAGCTTATCATTGCCAAAGTCGTGGGTTTTGTTTTTTTTGTGTGTTTGTTTTGAGACAGAGTCTCACTCACTCTGTCACCCAGGCTGTAGTGCAGTGGCGTGATCTTGGTTCACTGCAACCTCCATCCCCTGGGTTCAAGTGATTCTCCTGTCTCAGCTTCTCGATTAGCTGAGCTTACAGATGCATGCCACAACACCCAGCTAATTTTTGTATCTTTAGTAGAGGCGGGATTTCGCCATGTGGGCCATGCTGTTCTCAAATGCCTGGCCTCAAGCCTTGGCCTCCCAAAGTGTTGGAATTACAGGCATGAGCCACTGTGCCTGGCCTGTAGTGTTCTTATTATATTCAGGGAAAAAGGCCCTTTGTGATAAAGATTGCAATTTTTTTTTTCTCTGTATGTCATTTGTCTTTTGATTTTATTTATGGTGGTTTTTGTCAAGCAGACATTTTTTATTTCTGTTTAATTTGTCAATCTTTTATAGCTTTCTGCTTTCAGATAGTTTAAAAAGGTACTCTTCCCAGCTGGGTGCGGTGGCTCACGCCTGTAATCCCAGCACTTTGGGAGGCCAAGGCGGGCAGATCACCTGAGGTGAGGAGTTTGAGACCAGCCTGGCCAACATGGCAAAACCCCATCTCTACCAAAATACAAAATTTAATCAGGCACGGTGGTGTGTGCCTGTAGTCCCAGCTACTTGGGAGGCTGAGATAAGAGAATTGCTTGAACCCGGGAGGTGGAGGTTGCAGTGGGCTGAGATCATGCCATTGCATTCCAGCCTGGCTTTGTCTTAAAATAAATAAATAAATAAAAAGGTACCCTTCCCCACCTACCTCCGTCCAGAATTATAAAAGTGTTTTTCCATGGCATTTTTATAGTAGAGTTTTTTAAAAAATACTTTTACATTTAAATCTTTTGATCCATCTAGAATTTGTTTTGGTAAGGTATTGGTCTGACTTTTTTCCCCCTGAGATGGTTATATAGTTGTCCAACATCATTTATTTAATAATACAATAACTGTTTTTGATATGGCACTTTTATCAGATGCTAAATTTCTATATATATTGGGGTTATTTCTAGTCTTCTGTTTCATTGATATATCTGTCATTCGTGTGCCAATACCATGCTGTCTTAATTTGTTTATAGATTTGTAAGTATGCTAATTTCTGATAAGGTATCTTTGATATGTTTTCTTTAGGTGCTGTTTTGTCATGGGTCTGTCTATTATGCAAATAATTAAAGTATTTTTACTTTATTTAGTGACAGATTTAACCATATTATATTTTTCTTTATTAAAATTTTTCATGGAAATTAGGATGAAGTAATGGATTATGGGTACACTGTAATTTACCTAATTATATCTAGTGTGGTATATTTAGTTGCTTCCTATTTTATTATTATAACTAATGCTACAAAGGTTATCTTAGTCATAAAACTCCTACTATGTTTAGGATTATTTACTTAATGTAACAGCATAGAAGTGAAATTTTTGGGTCAGTGATTGTGAACATATTTAAAGCTCAATATTTATTGCCACGTTGCTTTTCAAACAGATCATATTGGTTTAGACTGCTATATATACACACACATATATATATAAATGTTGTATTACAGTTTTATTTTTACTTTATTTTTATTACCTTTTTAGGTTTCTTGTGATCAGCCCTTACTGAAAGAAGGATATAAAAGTGCCCAAAAGCGGGCCCCTCAAGGGGAGGCAACCACAGTCTCTGAATATTTCTTCAATGATATCTTCATTGAAGTGGATGAAACAGAATAAAACAATCTTTTCTCTTTTTCTTTTTTAAATTAGGTCTAGGATTTCCAGAGTCAATTACATCAACAAAACAGTATTTAGAGCAAAATATCACTGTCTTATTTTTCTTTAGGTTGATTTTGAATACTTAATGAGCTTGATTTGAAGCTTTTATAATCAGTGGAAAACATTTCTGAGGTTCCTTTCATTCTGACTGATTCAGCATTTTGCAAATAGCAAGCAATTAAGACTGCTTTCTCAGACAGAAATAACAACTCTTGTTTACATTTTGACTCTTCCTGTGCTAAGCACACATGGACATTTGGGAATGTTGTGGATATATGTCTCTGTATGAATTGCAGTGCAGACAGATTTGGGGGTTAATTGTATCATATTTAACATTTAGCAACTTCTTTTGTGAAGATTTTTTATTTTTAGGGGGAGATGATGAAGGATGAAGGCTTTTTCATTTGCTTCTAAGTACAGTCATGTATCACATAATGAAGTTTAAGTCAATGATGGACCACATATATTACAGTGGTCCCATGCAATTAAAATGGAGATAAATTCCTATCAACTAGTGACATTATAGCCATCATAACACAGTGCATTGCTTTTTTATGTTTAGATATGTTTAGATACACAAATACTTACTATTGTGTTACAACTGCCTACAGTATTCAGCATAGTAACACATTGTAGAGGTTTGTAGCCGAGGAGCAATAGGCTATACCACATAGCCTCAGTCTGTACGGTGTGTAGCAGCCTGTACCATCTCAGTGTTTGTAAGTACACTCTGCGTTGTTTCACACAAGATCACCTAACAAGGCAATTCTTAGAACATGTAGTTAAGGGACACGTGACTATATGTGAAAACAAATTGTCAAACTTCACTTTAGTATGGCAAATGTTAAAGAACTTTTCTATTATCAGCTGTTTGTCTGACTGAAAAATACATATTTTTCTAATTCATGGTGATGTAACATTAGTCCTAATTGAAAAACTAGTATTTAAACATAATTATTTATAAAGATGACACATCAAAGGGCTTATTTATTTTTAAATTTTTTATTTAAAAGGATATTCAGTTTTAGCTATTTTTACCCCTCAGATTGTAGATAAAGAAGGCATTAAATTTATGTTTGTCTCCTTTTTCTGTTTAATTTTAAAGATATTTAAAATGATATAACTAAAAATGTTTAGCTGGTGTATATGTTTTGAATACCTTTTTCCCCTCAGTTTAGTATATTGACTTTGTACTGTAAATTTTTCTGCTTTTCTTGGATAATCTCAGGATTTTCATGAGGATAGGGGGAACTCAACTTTATTTATGAGACAAAATTTCCATACAAAGCTCAATCTCCTTTATACACCCACAGACATAATATTAGTTTTTAAAAAGCCAATTTCTTCATAGTTTTTTCCCATTAAATTCTCAAGGAACACTTGGATCTTTAAGCACGGAACATAATCATGATGTTAAAAACAGAGAAAATAAGGCTTTATAAAGTTAATGATTATCATCAGTATGAATTTAAGGTTTGTTTTAATTTCAAGATTTGATTTTTTATACGTGTAATTCTATTATCTACCCAAGCAGATCTGTAGTGGTTCCAATTAGACTTCTCAAACAGCAAATTTATCCTGATTTTATTTGAAAAGCCTCTTGGATTGATAGTATAGTAGCTCAGGCATTGGAAACTTTCTGCAAACTGTTTTGGGTTTGCAGGCCAGATGGTCTCTGTGGCAGCTACTCAGCTCTGCAATTTCAGTGTGAAAGAAGCCATAGACAGTACTTGAATGAAGGACTGTGGCTGGATTGGCCTTTTAGTTTGACCCCCTACATTAGGCCCCAAATTTTCTTACCCTGAGGTGCTGATATCTGTATGGATGAGTTATTTGTCACTAAAGTTATGAGTTGTGCCTAAAAGTTAAAACTGTTGACTGTATTATGTAATGATCAGTATTTCAGTTGGGAAGATATTTTAGAGTCTAGATAATTATGTTTGTATATTGAAAAAATGGTGGCCAGTTTTTAAGTTCCTTAATAGAAGAGAATTATGTCTCAGCACATATAACAGTAATGCTAATTTATTGAAACTACTGCTGTTAGAGCACTTCTTATTCATTGTCTTTTAGTGAAATTTATGGCGTAACACTTTGTCAGAGAGGAGGCTATATAATTCGGAGCGGAAATTGTCTATAAGTAGGCATTTATTTCATGATTGATATGTCACAGAAATCATGGTAGTAAATCACATTGCTATTTGAATACCCTGTTTTTGTAAGTTTTTAAAACTCATATTCTGAAAAGATTTCATTCTCTTAGTGTTAGCTTGGGAGTTAGATTGCCATGATTAAACTATTATTTATCCTTGTGTAATATTAGTTTTTAACTTTAACATCTGTTTCTTTTTAATCTATAATGAGCTAGTTTTATGGAAAATGGAATTTCTTACTATATAAAGAATACAGAGACTCATTGTATTAGAGAATCAAGTCAGCCAGCTAAAGTATCCTACTGTTAAATCCTTAAACCTAATTTTGGAAAAGAGAAAGTTAATCAATGTATTTACCTTACATGTTGGAAAGAACTATGTTAGGTCTGATTCATGTGAAGAAGATGTTGCAAAGGATTTATTTCACAAATTTTAAAGGAGATATGAGTAAAAGTTTTTATCTTTTCTTGACTTTTTCTCCTGAACACTTATGTCTTAGCAAGTGGTCAACATGAGGATTTGAACGCCTAATTGTTGGTAAATGGTTGAGGCATGACAAAAATATTAATATCCACTGTTTACCATCATGTTATTTGAAACAAAAGTGACCATGTATACTATCTTGCTTGAAGAAGTCTTTGACAGAAAAAGCAATATCATGTCATTTATAAATTTTCTTGTTCTAAAGAAAGCAGTTATATATATATATAAATTATGTAAATAAAAGTTATTTTATATCATTTCTGTTGTGTCCTTTTAAGATGACTAAATAAAGAATTGGCTGGGTATCGTGGCTTACACCTGTAATCCCAGCACTTTCGGAGGCCGAGGTGGGAGGATTGCTTGAGCCCAGGAGTTCAAGACCAGCCTGGGCAACATAATGAGACCTCATCTCTACAAAAAAATTAAAAATCAGCCAACTGTGGTGGTGTGTGCTTTTGGTCCCAGTTACTCAGGAGGCTGGGATGAGAGGTTCGCTTGAGCCCAGGAGGAGGTTGAGGCTGCAGTGAGCTGTGATTGCCCCACCACACTCCAGCCTGGATGACAGAAGAAGACCCTGTCTTTGTGGGGAGGAGACAAATTTTTGACAGGTGTGCATGTCGTTATTTCAAAGCTGTAGGAGTCTGCAATGTGATTGTCCTAATAGTATTTGGAAGAGACTCCACACAGCATCTCTGTTTGCTGCAGCATCGCATCCTGAATCTGCTGGAGAGCCCTGTCTTACATTGGGTTTCACTAAAAATCGGCAGTCTTACGGGCTACCCAGTAAGTAGGTTGGGGTAGTATTCCCAAATATATTTTATCTCAAACTCAAAGGGCGACTTCAAACATTGTTGCTTCTGTCTTCATGGTGACCAGTGCAAGGTGCAGAATCTTGTCTCCCTCTCCCCACTGCCTTTGTTTAAGAGATGGGGTTTCGCTTTGTTGCCCAGGCTGGAGTGTGGTGGCGTGATCATAGCTCACTGCAGCCTCGAACTTCTGGGTGCGAGCAATCCTCCCAGGTAGGTGAGCCGTCATGCCTGGGTAGCTTGTTTCTTCCCTTCAAAAATAGATCCCATGTCCTCAGACCACTAGACCCTTAGGAGATTCACCTATGTGGCAGGCTCCTGAACTTTAACAGTATTTACCTCCCAACCTCTTATATATGTATGTCTTCCTAAGACATCTAGCTGCTTGCTAATTCGTGCTTTCCAGCTCCAGTTAGCATAATGTTATACATGTCACATTTCATTTTTTTGTCAAAAATCAAGAAAATAAAAGTCTCTCCAGACTATATAATGAAAGAAAATGAGGGTATTCATATCACTCTGAAGTAAGACAGTAAAATCAGTTGTCCCTGCCACAATAATTCAAGTTCTTTTAATTTTTCTTACTGGAATGGAAAATGTTGCATTTTTTTCATGGCACTAGCTTTATTCCAGGTATTAGGAGTTGTGTTGATTTGGTCTAATAAAGGTACCAATCGCCAACTGCAGCTGTGATTGACATCATTTGTTAAATCTGTGATAACTTATTGTCATTCCCCAAGACCAGTGGTTCCCAAACTTTATTGCACATCAGACTCACCTGGGAAGCTTTAAAAAGTTTCTGTGTCCAAGTGGTATCCCTTATTGTTAAATCAGTGTCTGGGTGCAGTGGCTCATGCCTGTAATCCCAGCATTTTGGGAGGCTGAGGCGAGACATAGCGAGACCTTATCTCTACAAACAAAACAAAGCAAAAACTAGCAGAACATGGTGGTGTGTGCCTGTGGTCCCAGCTACTTGAGAGGCTGAGGCAGGAAGATTGCTTGAGCCCAGGAGTTCAGGGTTGCAGTGAGGTATGATCGTGCCAGCCTGGGTCACAGAGTGAGACCCTGTTGCTAAAAAACATTAAAAAATAATAGGGCCAGGCACAGTGGCTCACGCCTGTAATCCTAGCACTTTGGGAGGCCGAGATGGGAGGATCGCTTGAGCCCAGGAGTTTGAGACTAGCCTGGGCAACATGGCAAAACCCCTTGTCTACTAAAATGCAAAAATTAGCCAGGTGTGCTAGCACGCGCCTGTGGTCCCAGCTACTGGAGAGGCTGAGGTGGGAGGATCACTTGAGCCCAGAGGTGGAGGTTGCAGTACGCTGATATTGTGCCACTGTACTCCAGCGTGGGTGAAAGAGGGAGACCCTGTCTCAAAATAATTAGAAAACACACACACTCGCAGTGCCTGGGGGTGGGCGTCAGACATCTCCATTTAAAAAAAAAATCTGCAGGTGATCCTAAGGTGTAACACCAACACCAACACACAAAACAAAAAAATGTGAAACATTGTTCATTCGGACCTGTCTGACTTGAACAGCTGGCCAAGCTGGTGAATCAAATGGAAATGTAGTAGGAATCAACAGATCCCACTCACTATGTGGGTCAGAGAATGGGGGTGGTTTAAACCTTCTACTTGGCCTTTCCTTAATGCCTTATCTCATGGGTTAAGGAAACTGTGTGATGATTCTGCTATATCCTACTTCTGTGTATTCTGGGACTGAGGAAATAATTACAGGATGGGCTCCTGTGAGAAGTCAGACCAAGAATCCATCTTTCACGCAACCTCCATTAGCCTTCACTCTGAAAACTGGATCACAGAGGCTTTTAAGGTCTCTGGAAATCAGTATAATTTCAGAGTCACTATCTTAATAACCGTGAAATAGCTGAGTATTTTTGTTTCCCCAGTGCAAAGACCCTGATGAATAACCATAGTTCTCTCTGCAGAAGGCTTGGGGGAAGATTTATGGTATACCCATGAAGCCACAATTACAAAATCCTTCCTCAGAGGCTCCCATCTGCCCCCTCAGTCAAGGGACTTTGGGTCTATAACCTGATTTATTTAGTCTGGAAACTGGATATGAGGCTCTCTCCACTATGGAGACTTGAGTTTGGTTCTTGCACAACAGACCTAGAATTGTTTTGTCTATAGGTGTCATGCAACACTTTAGAAGGCTGTCAGTCTAACAGGAACCTTGGGATCAATTAGCCATCATCACAGATCCCCACATGTAAAAATACACTATGTCAATCCTTTGCTATGGCTTATTACAGTAATTGTGCCTACCTGGTCTAAAACAGTTCGGCATTGCTGCCTGGCTTCTTCCAGTATTCCCAATGAGGTCAAGGGGCCTAATTCCTTGGCAGTACCTCTCACCATCATCTCCAGTCTGCAAAGGACAACCATCATAGTGGCTGCATCAGCTCTTTAAAGAGGCTGATGCTTCTGTTACCAAGACTTTAAAGAAAAGAGTGTCCTCCAGGCCCTCTTGGGAGTTATGGTTAGGGGGTGTCTGAATAAGATGCACATAAATACAGCCAGTCCCCCTTTATCAGCAGGTTCCATATCCTGAGATTGAGCCCATCAAGGATCAGAAATATTTGAAAAATAAAACATAAAAATAACAATACAACTATAACAAATAATACAAATAAAAAATAAGTATGACAACTATTTATATAGCATTCATATTGTATTAAGTATTATGAGTAACCTAGAGATGATTTAAAGTATATAGAAGAATAGTGCTATGTTATATGCAAATACTATCCCATTTTATTTTATTACTTTTTGAGACAAAGTCTGGCCCTGTTACCTAGGCTGGAGGGCAGTGGCACGATCTCAGCTCACTGCAGCTTCCACATCCTGGGCTCAAGGGATCCTCCCGCCTTTGCCTCCCAAGTAGCTGGGACTATAGGTGCATGCCACCGTGCCTGGCTAATACTTATATTTTTTGTAAAGATGGGTTTTTGCCATATTGCCCAGCTGGTTTTGAATTCCTGAGCTCAAGTGAACCAACCACCCGCCTCGGCCTCCCAAAGTTCTGGGGTTACAGGCCTGTGCCACCGCACCTGGCCCCTGGAACCAGTTTTTCTCAGATACCCAGGGACAACTGTGAATCCATTCCAACATCCTCATTTTCCTGAGTCTTCAGATGGCTTCCTGTACATGGCTTCCTCTGTATAGTAGTGAGCATCAGAATCACCTTGGAGGGCTTATTAAACACGGATTGCTGGGCCCCAATCCTGAAGTTTATTTTAATTAATTATTTATTTATTTTTGAGATGGAGTTTTGCTCTTGTTGCCCAGGCTGGAGGCAATGGCAAGATCTCAACTCACTCCAACCTCCACCTCCTAGGTTCAAGAAATTCTCCTGCCTCAGCCTCCCGAGTAGCTGGAACTACAGGCATGCCCCACTATTTTGTATTTTTAGTAGAGGTGGGGTTTCACCATGTCGGCCAGGTTGGTCTCGAACTCCTGACCTCAGCAGGTCCACCTGCCTCACCCTCCCAAAATGCTGGGAATATGTTGGGAGCCGAAAAGGCCAAAGGGATTGTGACCAACTCAGCATTCCACTGGAGGCTACATGATCAAAGAGCAAACTGTTTATCATGAATACAGAATGTGGGCAAACTCACTTCTGTGCCTGCCCCAGAAAGTTTGCTGAGGGCCATCGCTCCCTGGCCCCGGCTCCTTGAGGTTATCTACTGGGACGTCTAGAGCCTATTGTTCGAGGAATGCAGTCTTGCAAGCCTACTCTGGACTGAGCAGCTGACCTCTTCTTCCACACCCCTTCTCACTATCTCTTTTGCCTAATAAATACAGAGGGCTGTGTAAAGCTCAGGGCCCTTGTTCACTAGAGACAAGGTGTCCCCTGACCCTTCTTCCAAACATATTCTTTTGTCTCTTGTCTTTATTCCCGCATTCATCCCCCTTTGTTCAGTCCACCAGGGATCCTGGCAGGCTGCAAGTGGTGCCTCGAACAGCAACAGAATCTGGTGCTTTACAAGTGGCGTCCAAACACAGGGGCTTCGAGGATGTGAATGAAGAATGTCTGCTAGAGCAGAGGAACTGAAATTGACAAGGCGAATGGGGACCCCGGGATGAGTCTGCTGGCAGCGGATATAAGGTCAGTGCCCTAAAAAGGTACTAGGAGCAGTGCTTTAAAGAAGTACTGGGAATGGGAAGTTTTCTGAATCAGGGTAACATGGAGCAGAATTTGTCTATTGAAGGAAAACATTATGTGCAGTTGCTTAAAGTTTCGTTGAAACAAACTGGTGCTCGGGTTCTCAGACATTCATTAAGATGCTACAGGAGGTTATTACGCATAACCCATGGTTTCCACGGCTTATTAAAACTCTTGATGTGGAAGATTGGGACAGAGCAGGAGAACGATTAAAACAGCCTCATGAAAAAAGGTCTTAAAGTTGATTCTTCTGTTTTTTCCACTTGGAGTTTAATTTGTACTGTACTTCTACCATTAGCTCCTTATTATTCTGTGGGACAGCAGGCTGAGTCTAAAAATCTGAAAGAATCTGTTGTCCCACCCACAGCTCCAGCTGAAAATAAAAAACAGGGCCAGGCATGGTGGCTCACGCCTGTAATCCCAGCACTTTGAGAGGCCAAGGCGGGTGGATCATTTGAGGTTAGGAGTTCAAAACCAGCCTGGGCAACATGGTGAAACCCTGTCTCTACTAAAAATACAAAAATTAGCCGGGCGTGGTGGCATGTGCCTGTAGTCCCAGCTACTCAGGAGGCGGAGGCAGGAGAATGCTTGAACCCGGGAGGCAGAGGTTGCAGTGAGTCAAGATCGTGCCACCGCACTCCAGCCTGGGTGACAGAACGAGACTCTGTTTCAAAAAAAAAAAAAAGAAAGAAAAGAAAAGAAAAAACAGGAGAGGGAGGATGAAAATTGGCCTATACCACCTGCTCCAGTTGCAGAACCATCTGCACCACCTCCTTAGGTAGCAGAAATAGAGACCCCAATACAAATAATTTTACGCTCTGCTGCCATAGCTGGAGAGTCCTTAGGACCTTGTGCTTTTCCTATTTCCATAAGACCTGATCCAAATAATGCACAGCAGCTCATTCATGAACACACTCGACTAGAGTTTAAGTTGTTGAAGGAATTAAAAGTGAGTGTGGTAAGTAAGGGCGTACAGAGCCCATTCACCTTAGGATTACTAGAATCTGTGTTTGGTGCTATGCGTCTTTTACCCTTTGATGTAAAACAATTGGCGTGAACTTGCTTGTCTGCTAGTGCATATCTGACGTGGAATTTAAATTGGCAAGAACTGTGTGCAGACCAGGCTAGACAGAACCGTGTTGCTGGACCCGGAGACATTACAGAGGATTTGCTATTGGGTAAAGGCCCTTATTCAGACCTGGAATGTCAAATGGCACTCCCAGATACTGCTTATCAGCAGTGTGTACAGGCCACTAAACGTTCCTGGGCCACAATTCCTGAAGAGGGAGTCCCAGTACAGTCCTTTTCACATATCATGCAAGGGTTGCAGGAACCCTATGTACAATTTCTTGCAAGATTGCAAGAGGCAGTGAAGCGTCAGATTCCTCATACCGTGGCTGCAGAAATGCTAACTTTAACTCTAGCTTTTGAGAATGTAAATGCGGATTGTAAATGTGCCCTGGCACCAGTGAGGTGTACAAAAACTTGGGAAATTTCCTCAGAGCTTGTCAAGATGTAGGAACTGAGCTTCATCGATCTACAATGTCAGTGCAAGCAATGGCTAATTTAGCTGTTGACAAATCTAAAAGGAGCCAAGGGTCAGACCCTAAAATGGGAAAATATTATAATTGTGGAAAAACTGGACATTTAAAAAAGGAATGCCGCCAGATCTCAGGACAGAAAGGATCTTACAATGCAGTTCCTCCCCCAGCAGAAAAAAATGCCAGGACTTTGTCCTCGCTGTAACAAAGGAAATCACTGGGCTAATCAGTGCCGCTCAAAATTTCATCAGAATGGCACCCCCCTGTCAGGAAACGAGACGGGGCCTGGCCCTGGGCCTCTCAAACAATGAGGGCATTCCCAGTTCAGACCACAACCCCATTTCAGGGATGGGTTCCCGGAGGCACATTGGTTCCTTCACCCCAGGAACACCAGGAAATATAGGATTAGATCTACCCGCTAGAGAAAGAATCATGTTAGTTGGGGGAGACAAACCCATCAAAGTTCCCACTGGTATTTGTGGTCCTTTACCCACAGGATACATGGGACTAATTTTAGGCAAAAGCTGTCTTAACTTACAGGGCATTACTGTAGTCCCAGGAGTGATTGACTCTGATTATGAAGGAGAAATTCAAGTAGTTTTAATGTCACAAGATCTTTGGGTTTTTGAACTGGGAGAATATATTGCTCAATTATTGCTTATTCCCTGCAAATTACACCCTTCTCCACGAAAGGAGAAATGAGGAAATAAAGGGTTTGGGAGCACAACTACATGGGAAGTCTGTCCCAACCAGTAGCCTCTAATAGACCCACCTGTGTAATACAAATTAAAGGAAAGAAATTTTATGGGCTTATGGATATGGGAGCTGATGTGTCAGTAATATCTAAAGACAATTGGCCCCCATCCTGGCCCTTGCAATTAACTTCTGCATACTTACTGGGAGTAGAAACAGCTCAAAGTGTTCAACAAAGTGCTGAGATTTTACCTTGTCTTGGTCCGGATGGACAGTCTTGTACTTTTCAGCCTTATGTCGCAAATACAGCTATCAATTTATGGGGTCGAGACTTACAGCATGGGATATGAAACTTACAAATGAAAACTTTGATAACCCAGGATTTAAAATGTTGAAGAACATGGGATATCACAGTGGAAAAGGTCTGGGGAGGTTCCTACAATGAAACCCTAATCCAATATCAATAACTGGAAAAACAAATAGAAAAGGGCTAGGACCTCAGGATTTCTGATGGAGGTCATTGATATTTCTTCTCCACGCTCTGCCTTACCATTAGAATGGCTCAGTGACAAACCCATATGGGTGGATCAATGGCCGCTATCTTGGGAGAAGCTGACGCAACTTCAGCAGCTAGTAAAAGAACAATTGGATGCAGGACACATAGAGGAGTCAGTTAGCCCCTGGAATTCTCCAGTGTTTGTTATTCCAAAAAAGTCCAGAAGTTGGTGACTGCTGCATGATTTAAGAGCTAGTAATGCAAAAATTCAACTGATGGGCACCTTACAGAAAGGTTTACCATCTCCAGCGGCTATTCCAAGAGACTGGCCTCTTGTAGTAATAGATCTTAAGGACTGTTTCTTTACTATACCCATACATGAGAAGGATAAGCCTCAATTTGCCTTCTCTGTGCCTTCTATTAATCAAAGAGAACCTGTTTCTCATTATCAATGGAGAGTTTTACCCCAAGGCATGCTTAACAGTCCTACGCTATGTCAGCATTTTGTAGGACAGGCATTAAAGGAGCCTCGGAATATGTTTCCTACTGCTTACATCATTCATTTTATGGCTGATACTCTTTTGGCCGCTCCTACAGATCAAATATTGCATCAATTATTCAGAGAAGTAAAGTAAGCTCTTGTTAATTGGAATCTCAACATTGCTCCAGAGAAGGTACAAACAACTTCCCCATACCAATACTTAGGAACTATTGTTACAGAGAGAAGATCGACCAGAGTCACGACGACATCAACCCCCATAACCTGGGACAACTCAAGAAAACTACGCAGGAAGCTGAGAAACTACTGGAGTGTCAAGGCCAGACAAAAACCCCTGATTCCGTGTTCTTGGCCATGTTAGCCATAATATCCTGTGCAGTATGTTTTTCCTGTGCAGAGGCAAAAACATATTGGGCATATGTTCCCAAGTCCCCAGCAGTATGACCCATACTTTGGAGTGACACTCCTCCTAAGATTTATCATGATTAAGGAGCATGGGCTCCAGGACCCCTAACTCCACCTGACATAGAACAGTTAGACTCTCAGAATAATGTCATTAATTATACCGCTCCATTGGAAGGACTTCCTTTGTGTGTCACCACAAAGACATCACTCAGCCATAGCTGTCTTACAGTTCAAGCTCACACATGGTTGAGTCACTATGGGAAAATCATGTACTTATTAAGTCTTGGTTATATTAATGTAACCGGTGTGCTAACCAACCATTCCTGGCCCAATCGCCTTCATTGTGCTGACTATACAGAATGGATTCCCTTCAATAGTTCCTACCCCCCTCCATAGACCCAGTGTCTTGGCCCACTGGCTAGAAAACAATCTATGTTAACTGGAGACATTGTGGATTGGGGACCTAAAGGCCAATTAGATGGAAAAGAAGAAAATCAGAAATCGTGGCACAAACTTTGCTGGCATTGGTGGCAAGCTTTTAATGCTTCTTCTTTATATAACACTGGGATCCAATCCCAGTCGGCCGCCCAGATTGCTTGGCATGGAGCAGGCTTTAGCCCGCCTCTTCCTCAGTGGCATTATCTAGGGAGGAAAGGACCAATTCAAAAGATGATATGGAAGGCAGCATTCCCATTTATGAATGGCAACATCTGGGTTGCCATAATACTATCCAATAATAGCAATAGTAAGCAACACAGTCTTAATGTTACATTTGTAAAGAATATCACCACTCAATTTACAGTTTGTGTTTTTAATCCTTATGTGTTTTTGGCAGCTAAGAAGGACCAGCTCCAGGTAAACAATACCCAATTGACCTGTAAATCTTGCCAGTTATATCACTGCATTAATCATAGCACATTGCAAACACATAATATCTCTACTTTGATGATTTTAGGTTGCATCCCTGGGCTATGGATTCCTGTTAATCTGTCTGAGCCATGGGCTGCCACAATTGCTTTACATTTTGTGAAACTTCTTCTAACTCAGTTTACTCATTGTGTCCGTAGAGGCTTAGGCATGATAATTTTTGCTATTGTTTACTTGGTCACACTAATAATTTCTGTTGTGATGTCCTCTGTAGCTTTGCATAGTTCTATTCAAACAGCTCAGTATGTGGAGAACTGGACACGCACAGTCAACCAAGGGTGGCTACTTGAGAATAAAATTAACACTGAGTTACAAACTGAAGTGGCAGTGTTATAATCCACGATTCTATGGTTAGGGGAACAAGTACAAAGCTTGCAATTGCAGCAGTAATTGTGTTGTCATTTTAATCACACTCATATTTGTGTAACCAACTTAGAATATAACCAAAGTGAGTATCCATGGGATCTTGTGAAAGCCCATTTGCAGGGAGCTTTCACATCCGACATCACCTTTGATATTGGTGAATTACAAAACAAAATTCTTGATTTAAATAAACAAATTCCAGAGTTTCAGCCTTCTTTAGAAGACTGGACTGAATTCCAGCAAGGCCTGGAGAGCGTCAACCCTTGGACCTATCTAAAGCACCACATTAACATCTTATATATAGTTCTTGGAATAATGTTGTTTTGTCTCTGTCTTCTGTTCATAGTCTGTAAAATCGGATGGACTGCCAATCGGAGAATGAAAGCTACCCAGCCTGGCCTTACATTCTTTCACTTAATACATAAACAAGAAGGGGGAAATGTTGGGAGCCAAAAAGGCCAAAGGGATGGTGACCAACTCAGCATTCCACTGGAGGCTACATGATCAAACAGCAAACTGTTTATCATGAATACAGAATGTGGGCAAACTCGCTTCTGTGCCTGCCCAGAAGGTTTGCTGAGGGCCATCGCTCCCTGGCCCCGGCTCCTTGAGGTTATCTACTGGGACATCTAGAGCCTATTGTTCGAGGAATGCAGTCTTGCAAGCCTACTCTGGACCGAGCAGCTGACCTCTTCTTCCACACCCCTTCTCACTATCTCTTTTGCCTAATAAATATGGAGGGCTGTGTAAAGCTCAGGGCCCTTGTCCACTAGAGGCAAGGTGTCCCCTGACCCTTCTTCCAAACATACTCTTTTGTCTCTTGTCTTTATTCCCGCATTCATCCCCCTTTGTTCAGTCCACCATGGATCCTGGCAGACTACAAGTGGCGCCTCGAACAGCGACAGAATTAGGTGCTCTACAGGATTACAGGCATGAGCCACCACTATGGGCCCCAATCCTGAAGTTTATGATTCAGCAGATCAGCCTGGGGCCTAAGAATGAGCATTTCTAACAAGTTCCTGGGTGAGGCTGATGCCACTGGCCTGTGAGCACGATTTGAGAATCACTGTTTTATAGCAGATTCTCAAACTTGGCTGCCTACTGGAATCACCTGAGATGTTTAAAAGAATACTCATTCCTAGGTTCCAACATCAGAAATGATCATTTAACTGGTATGGAGTGCTTGGCTTGGGATTCCTTTAAATAGCTTTATTGGCTATATTTGACACACAAACTGCATATATTTAGAATACAATTAAATTTTAATATATGTGTACACCCATAAACCATCACCACAATAATAATAATATATCCATCATTTCCAAAGTTGCCTCTTCTACCCTGGCCTCCTGCTCCTCCCTCTCTCCTGAACACCTCCCAGATCCCAAGGTAACAATCTGCTTTTGGTCACGATGGATAGCCTGCATTTTCTAGAATTTTATATAAATGAAATCATATATACCCTTTTTCCTTTTTGGTTTCACTTCTTCCCTTTAGCATGATTTTTTGTTTGTTTGTTTGTTTTTGAGACACAGTTTCACTCTTTTTGCCCCGGCTGGAGTGCAGTGGTGCAATATTGGCTCACTGCAGCCTCTGCCTCCTGAGTTCAAGTGATTCTCCTGCCTCAGCCTCCCAAGTAGCTGGGATCACAGGCGCCCGCCATCACGCCCGGCTAATTTTTGTATTTTTAGTAGAGACGGGGTTTTGCCATGTTGGCCAGGCTGTTCTCGAACTCCTGATCTCAGGTGATCCATCTGCCTCGGCCTCCCAAAGTGTTGGGATTACAGGCGTGAGCCACCGCATCCAGCCTTAGCATGATTATTTTGAGATTCATCTACCTTGTTGAATATATTAATAATTTATTCTTTTTTAAAAATATGGTTTAATCTTTATATTTTGTATGGCTTTTCTCATAAAGTGGATATATTGTATTTTTTAAAGGTTAGCCATATAGCATAAGTATATACCAAGTACTCCTTATTTCTAGTCTCTTTGTTTCTTTCCCAATCTCCTCTTCTCCTCTCAACATGTTTCAATTTGACTATAATTCTTTTTTTTTTTTTTTTTTTTTTTTTTTGGAGATGGAGTCTCACTATTTGCCCAGGCTGGCCTCAAACCCTTGGGCTCAAGTGATCCTCTCACTTTGGCCTCCCAAGTAGCTGGGACAATAGGCACAAGCCACTGCACATAGCTTCTTTGAAATAATTTTAGACTCACATAGAAGTTGCAAAAATAATACAAAAAGTTCCCCTTGTATCCTTCACTTTTCCCCCATGATTATGTAAGTGTAAATAAAAATCTAAAAACAATTAAAAATTGAATTTTCCTAGAAAAGAAAGAATCCCCCAGTCTGTCTTCAGAGCGTTTACTTTAGAAAACTTGTAATTGTGAATTCCTTCTCTGCCCTTTGAAGATGTATTTACATCTTCTTTTATGAGGCTCGCTCTTTCGCCAGCCTAGAGTGCAATGGCACAATCTCGGCTCACTGCAACCTCCGACTCCCTGGTTCAAGCTATTCTCCTGTCTCAGCCTCCCAAGTAGCTGAGATTACAGGCACGGGCCACCATGCCCAGCTAATTTTTGTATTTTTAGTAGAGACGGGGTTTCACCATGTTGGCCAGGATGGTCTCAATCTCCTGAGCTCGTGATCCGCCTGCCTCCACCTCCCAAAGTGCTGGGATTACAGGTGTGAGCCACCATGCCCGGCCTACATCTTTTTTTAAATAAGCTTAATAACCCATGAGAAAGGTGTTAGTTTAAAAAAAAAAAGATAAATAAATCTCTTGTCAGTTTTTTTTTTCCCCAACCCCATAATCTTATCCTTAAGGACCTGGAAGCCTTCTCTTTGAAATGAAATCATCGAGGGAAATAGCATTCCTATTTCCTAGTCCTATGGAAGGGTAGGAACCTAACTTCAGCTGGCACCTGTTAAGTTACAAACCTACCATAAAGACATAAGAAATTTAATTTTCCTTTGGATAAAGACAATTAACAAACACAGGTGACTACTCCGATTCGCAGGTGACAGGTGGTGCTGTGAAGTCATCTTATTTGAGGACTAGTTGTTTATCTTGAAAACATGTATGACATGGGTTGCATCTGCCTGGTTATATAAAGGGGTGAGTGTTTTTTATTTTTTTGAGACAGAGTCTCACTCCGTCACCCAAGCTGGAGTGCAGTAGCGCAATCTCGGCTCACTGCAACCTCTGCCTTCCAGGGGTGAGGGTTAGGTTGTCTTTGCAATCTCTTTAGCAGATTGCCTGTAATGCACATCACATTCTGGTTTGATAGGTTTTCAAATACTAAAATTGTTTTTTTCTCTTCTACTTTAATGGAGAGGTTTTTTGTTGTGGCAGGAATTTTTGTCTTAAATTATATTTCCCCAAGAACATCTTATATAATCCTAGTACAATGATGAAAACCAGGAAATTGACATGTGCGCAATACTATTAACTAAAGATTTTATTCAAATTACAGCCAATTCTCAATATCCTCAAGGATTGGTTCCACAACTCTCCTCCTCCACCAAAACCCCAGGATGCTCAAGTCCTTTATATAAAATGGTATGAGCATATGTCTTATGCACGTCCTCCCATGTACTTTAAATTTTCTCTGGATTATTTCTAATAACTAATACAAATGCGAATGCTATGCAAATAGTCATTATACTGCATTTTAAATTTGTATTTTTTTATTGTATTGTTGCGTGGTTTTTTTTTTTTTAAGACAGGGTCTCAACTATTGCCCAGGCTGCAGTACAGTGGTGAGATCGTAGCTCACTATGGCCTCGACCTCCCATGGCTTAGGTGATCCTCCTGCCTCAGCCCCCGAGTAGCTAGAATTACAGGCTCCACCACTCCCAGCTAATTTTTGTATTTTTAATAGAGATGGGTTTTTCGCCATGTTGCCCAGGCTGGTCTCAGACTCCTAGGCTCAAGTGATCCGCCCACCTTGGCCTTCCAAAGTGCTGGGATTATAGGTGTGAGCCACTGCGCCTGGCCTGTATTGTTATTTTTTTATTGTCTCTTCCCACCCAATATTTTCCATCTGTGGTTGGTTGAATTTGCCGATGTGAGATCTGGGGATACAGAAAGCTGGCTACATATCATGCTTACAGGCAGTGCATGTGTATATACAATTCCATGAAATTTTATCCCATGTATAGGTTTATGTAACATCACCACAGTCAGGGTACAGAGCTGTTCCATCACCCCGAAAGTCACTCTCATGCTGTCAATTATAGTCATTCCCTCCTCCAGCTCTAACCCTTGACAACCACTTATCTGTTCTCCACTACAACTTTTTTTTTTTTTTTTTGGTCACCTAGGCTGGAGTGCACAGCTCATGGCAGCCTTGACCTCCCATGCTCAAGCAATCCTCCCATCTCAGCCTCCCAAGCAGCTGGGACCACAGGTGCATGCCACCACGCTCAGCTGTTTTTTTGAAAAAAGTTTCTGTAGAGACTGGGTTTTGCTATGTTGCCCAGGTTAGTCTCCAACTCCTGGGCTCAGGCGATCCCCCACCCCTGCCTTGGCCTCCCAGAGCGCTGAGATTACAGGCATGAGCCACCATGCTGGGCCCACAACTTTTCATTTCATTAAAATGGGATCATACAGTATGTAACTGTGCAATAAAGGGTTAATTCAGCAGGTTTGGGTTGTACACATTCCAAAGAAGGAACTGACACTTGACCAGTTCCTTAACCTATAAGCCCTTGAAATAAATGTCCTGCCTTTTAAGAGTTTTTGTATACCTGGGGCCTTCAGCCATGACAGATAGTTTATGCTAATTTTATGCTGATTTAAAACTGTATCCTTTCACTGTAATAAGCCATAACTGAACATAGCTTTTCTGAGTTCTGTGAGTCTTTCTAGTTAATCATTAAGCTTAAAAGTGGTCTTGGATAACCTTTAGAGATTGTGCTTTACATAAAATCTAACTTTTTTTGTTTTTGTTTTTGTTTTTTAAGAGTTGGGGCCTCGTTCTGTTGCCCAGGCTGGAGTGCAGTGGTGCAATCATAGCTCACTGCAGCCTTGACTTCCTAGGCTCAAGTGATCCTCCCACCTTGGCTTCCGAAGTAGCTGGAACTACAGGTACGCGCCACTATACCAGGCTAATTTTTTAAGAGTGGGGCCTTGCTGTGTTGCCCAGGCTGGTCTTGAACTCCTGGGCTGAAGGGCCTCAGCCTCCCAAGTAGCTGGGATTGTAGGTGTGAGCTACCGTGCCCTACATCATTTTTATTGCAGGCAGTATTGTGTCATATGGATTTACCATAATTTGCTTATTCATTCATCTGTTAATGGACATTTGGGTTGTTTAGAGATTTTGTGTATTACAAATAAAGCTGTTATAAATATTTTTGTTCAAGTTTTTGTATGCACACGTAATTTTATTTACCTTGAGTAGATTCTTATAATAGTGAAAAGTAAAAAAGCCTTTATCACAGCTTGGAGTCTATTATCTTCTGTAGATGCAGGGCAGTTTGGCCGAGAATCAAGCCAGGATTTGACAAGAAGGGAGTTGAAGGGTCAATGAAAGGTACAGTATGATATAAGGACACTACACAGGAAGGAATGGAAAGCTGAGAAATAGGATGGACACATTTGGGCAGATGTGGTCAAGACCCAGACTCTCAAATGCCCAAATCCCCTTGAGCTTTTCTCAGAGTGGAGGCAACCTACCCTCATATCCACTCCCCATTCCTGACCAGCCTTTCCCTGTGTAAAAGGCACTTAGTCGCTTCATCTGGGGCAGTTGCCTTATGAGCTGATGCTAGTTCTTGTAAGGGACTGATCCTACCCTGCCTCCTTGCCTCTGGATCTTAACAGAAGTTAGTTATTCCAGTGCAAACCAAAAAGTACTGAACGTGGCCCAGAAAGAGATAGTTTCTTGCCAGTGTGTATTGGCAAGAGTTAGGGAATATGGAAATGGATTGTTACGCCAAGGAAAACAAATATAAGGTTGGATTGGGATAAATGTATAAACATGAGTGCATGTGCTGGCATGTCAGTCATGTTTTCCAAAGATAGTCACACAATGTCTCTCATCTTTTCTGCCAGTGGCCTTGACACTCCTTCCATTGAGTGGTGGGGTCTATGTCCCCTCCCCTTGAATCCAATAGAGTACAACCAAAGTAATACCATGTGATATCCCAGGTAAGGTCATTAAGTTTCTACAGAAGAGACTTGATAGCAAAGGAGAGCCTGCCAGGTCTAACTGCTCATCCTGACCTCCCAGCTTCTTGCCTGGCCTTTAAATAACCCTCCCTTAGGTGTCCTGGAATGTCTCCTTGCTCTGATTCCAGAGCAGTTATTTTTTATGTATTCATTCAACAAATTTAGCGTCTGTAATATGCCCAGCATAGGCCATAAATGATGACACTGACAAGACCCCAAGTTGGAGAAACTAAATGAGCCCTAACAACAAGTGCTGACCCGAGCCACAATAGAGGCCTGTTGAAGGGAGAAAGAGGTAATGAGGTGGGGTCAGGGAGGGCTTCTGGAGTAGGAGATTCCTGAGCCAAGTCCTAAAGGATGTGTATGGGCTCACCAGGTGGAGAAGATGGAACGGACAAGTCTGGTCGTGGAAAGATGCCCTGGGCAGAGGGAACGGTGCGGATAAAGGAAGGAGAGCAAGTGGAAGATGGCAGCCAATGGGAATGAGCAATGCATGGGAAGGAACTGAGGGTGAGATGAAAGGCAGCGCACCAGGCTGCAGAGATCAGCCCTGGCGGTTACATTTTTCAATTAATTCTCTTATTTTTATTATATAAAACATTATTTTGGCCAGGCGCGGTGGCTCACGCCTGTAATCCCAGCACTTTGGGAGGCCGAGGTGGGTGGATCACGAGGTCAGGAGATCGAGACCATCCTGGCTAACACGGTGAAACCCGGTTTCTACTAAAAATATGAAAAATTAGCCAGGTGTGGTGGCGGGCACCTGTAGTCCCAGCTACTCGGGAGGCTGAGGCAGGAGAATGGCATGAACCCGGGAGGCGGAGCTTGCAGTGAGCCGAGATCGTGCCACTGCACTCCAGCCTGGGCGACAGAGCGAGACTCCCTCTCAGAAAAATAAATAAATAAATAAATAAAATAAAAACATTATTTTACTTTATTTTTATTTTATTTTTATTGTTTTTTTTAGAGACAGGGTCTAGCTCTTGTCACTCAGGCTGAAGTGCTTGGCAAGATCATGGCCCACTGCAGCCTCAAACTCCTGGACTCAAGTGATTCTCTCACCTCACCCTCCAAGTAGCTAGGACTACAAGCACATGCCACTGTGCATGGCTATTTTTATTTTTCAGAGACATGGGCTCACTATGTTGCCTAGGCTAGTTTCAAGTTCCTGGCCTCAATAAAACATTATTTTAAAAAATCAGAGATGGCAAAGATTATGTTCCTTGTAATCTCAATAGTGGGGTAGAGAGACACTGGACACTAACAGATGCTAGGTGACTGCTTTTGGCCTTCTGTGCATTTGCACTTCACCTTTTGCATTTTTCTACTTAGCTGTTCTGGGAACATTATACATTTCCAAAGAGCTTCTTGTAACAAAAGTTACAAGAAATAAGAAACATGTATGACTTTTTTTTTTTTTTTTTTTGAGACAGAGTCTTGCTCTGTCACCCAGGCTGGAGTGCAGTGGTGCCATGTCGGCTCACTGCAGACTCTGCCTCTCGGGTTCCAGCGATTCTCCTGCCTCAGCCTCCCAGGTAGCTGGGATTACAGGCACGTGATACTATGCCTGGCTAATTTTTGTATTCTTAGTAGAGATGAGGTTCCACCATGTTGGCCAGGCTGCTCTCAAACTTCTGACCTCAGATAATCCACCTGCCTTGGCCTTCCAAAGTGCTAGGATGATAGGCATGAGCCACTGCACCCGGCCAAAACAGGTATGACTTTTAAAGAAAGCAAGGAATCATATCCTATTGTGTCTTTTCTGTCTTCGGGTGGTGATTTTAAGTACTTTGCATCATTGAAGAACTATTTAGAGAAAAATAAAGTGTGGCAATTAAAATATCAAACCCTCTCTTCTGATACCCTGATACATATGAAAAGTCAGTTTTTACTGGCCTTTTTTTCTGTTGACCATGGGAGGCAAGCACAGTGTAAATCATACCTTTGCAGTTTAGCTCATGCTCTCCTCCATTTGCACAAAGCCTGGCCATGTTCATTGCTCAGTCCACTCTCAACGCTTCTGCAAGGCTCAGCTGCAACCCTTTCCCAATTGCATTCTGTTCCTTTAATGTCTGTCCTACACAGTTCAGTAAGAAATCATGTGGCCATTTGTATTATTTTCTTATAAGTACCTTGAAGTCTGAACCTAAGTTTACCTCCAGGTGTAGACGCACCCTTTCTCTACCCCATCCTCCCCCTTTACTCTGCCCCACTAAGCAACCAATGGAGTAGAAGTAGTAAGTGCTCAATAAATATGTGAATGAAAAACCTTAAGTTCAAGGCATTTTGTATAGAATGTTTTAATTTTTATGGGTATATTTGGAGTCCTTTATTTAAGACCACAGTGCTGATGTCCACAATCTGTCACTACATAGTGCCTGGTGTGGTGGCTCATGTCTGTAATCCCAGCACTTTGGGAGGCTGTGGCGGGCAGATCGCTTGAGTCCAGGAGTTCAAGACCAGCATAGCCAACATGGTGAAACCCCTACAAAAATAAAAAATTAGCCGGGCTTGGTGGCACAAACCTGTAGTCTCAGCTACTGGAAAGGCTGAGGTGGGAGGTCAAGGATTCAGCGAGCTGTGATCGTGCCACTGCATTGCAGCCTGGGCGACAGAGTGAGGCCCTGTCTCAAAAAATGAAATAAAGTAAAAAATAAAAATAACTACATAGCGAAAATAATCAGAAGAATGTTTAAGGTCTCCAGTGAAAGGACAACAGGCTTGTTGTGCTGTTCGCAAGCACGTGTTAGATGCGATTCACTCATGTTGTTGGTGTGTCACTGGGGGTTGTGACTGCAAGTTGTCCAGGTTCTTGGCATTGTGAACAAAGAATTGGACAAAACGCCCAGCAAAGCAAAGAAAGAACAAGGCAACGAAAGAACGAAAGCAGGGATTTACCGAAAACGAAAGTGCACTCCACAATGTGGGAGCGGACCGAGCAGAGCTCAAGGGCCCGGATATAGAATCTTCTTGGGTCCAAATACCCACTAGAAGTTTCCTATTGGCCATTTTATGCTCACCTCAAACCCGATTGGTTGCAAGAAGCAAGCAGTCAGAGGCTAGGGTGAAATTACAAAGTTATACTTCTATGCAAACGAAGACTGGACCCCCAATCAGTCTGATTGGTTGTGGACAGCAACCATTCAGAGGCTGGAGTTAAGGTTCAAACTTGGCAAAGCAAGCCTCCACCAGCAGTAAGTCTGATTTGTCGGGGACAGCCAATTTCCTATCTGCCCTGCGGAAAAGGTGGGGGGGTTTGCAAAGGGAGTAGCCTTTGGTCCTTTTGTTACTTAGGCATGGAAAGTTAGGGTTTTCCTTTCAGTTTAGCTCTAGGAAGTCAGCGTGAGACAGCCTTAGGTTCCCTGCTTCCAGACTTATTCTCCTGCCTTAGGTACAGTCACTATCGTGATATTATCTATCGCTGTGTCAACACAACACCAATCCAAGCCCAACCGCAGCTCTCTCACTGCCGCACCGCTTCGTGAGGGTCGATCCGCCGGGGAGACCTGCTCTCCTGCGCTCGGGACTAGACGCGACCTCGCGGGGCTGAGGCTCTGTCCCTTATTGGCTGGGTCAGGGGGCGTGGCGCGGCTTGACCAATCGCGGGCGGCGCGCTTAGGCACGTGTGTGGACAGGCCTGAGAATCAGAGAAACCTTCTCTGGGGCTGCAAGGACCTGAGCTCAGCTTCCGCCCCAGCCAGGGAAGCGGCAGGGGAAAGCACCGGCTCCAGGCCAGCGTGGGCCGCTCTCTCGCTCGGTGCCCGCCGCCATGTGGGCCGTCCTGAGGTTAGCCCTGCGGCCGTGTGCCCGCGCCTCTCCCGCCGGGCCGCGCGCCTATCACGGGGACTCGGTGGCCTCGCTGGGCACCCAGCCGGACTTGGGCTCTGCCCTCTACCAGGTAGGCTGAGCGCCCCGGTGGCCTGGCCGCCGGTGCCAGGCTAGGAAGCAAGTGGAGGAGGGGCACGCTTCAACAACTGCTGCTCTCTTGTCCGGAGCCCCAGTTGATTCTGTGACGCACGTGAAGTTTGAAGAAGAAAAGCCTAACAGATACAAGAAAGTTTAGTTCACTTTTAGAGCTGGCACTGTACTTTGTGTCTTTGAAATCAGTGGTTCTTAAAGCCTGGTTTAGAATTGCCACCTGGGGAGCTAGCTGAATAGCTGCCTGAGCCCTACTCTGGACCTTGTGGGTCTCAGGTGGAGTCGCTGTGTTTATATTGTTAGTGAACTCATTAGGGGACTTTTGGCAGCCAGCTTTGGGAACCACTGGCCTAGAGCAGCCCAACGAGGGGCGCTGTGCTTAGGAAATTTGAGTTTAAAAGTTGATTATGATGGCCGAGCCCAGTGGCTCACGCCTGTAATCCCAGCGCTTTGGGAGGCCCTGGCGGGTGGATTACCTGAGATCAGGAGTTCGAGAACAGCCTGGCCAACGTGGTGAAACCCCATCTCTACTAAGAATACAAAAATTAGCCGGGCATGGTGGCGCGCGCCTGTAATCCCAGCTACCTGGGAGGCTGAGGCAGGGGAATCGCTTGAACTTGGGAGGCGGAGGTTGCAGTGAGCTGAGATCGTGCCATTGCACTCCAGCCTTGGCAACAAGAGCGAACTCTGTCTCAAAAAAAAAAAAAAAAAAAAGTTGGTTATGTTAATAGAAAATATCCCACAGTATCTTTGAGTGGCTTTTCTTGGAATTAGGAGGCATCATAAGGCCAAAAAACTCAAAACTTGCGAAATATCAGAGCTGGAAAATTTCACTGTGTTCCCACGATTTCTAAGCCTATACAGATAACATCTAAATAGTGCAAACAACACACAATTGTTTGTCAGTCCAGAATGTTTAATTCAGAATTATTAAGTGGTTATTGTGGTCTAGGCACTATTTTAGATATTTGGCATGGATGCGTAGGAATGGAACTAATAATTTTGTAGGGAAGATGGACAAGAAAGCAGGTAACTGTGGTACAGTGTAAGAAGGGTTGTCTAAAGCTTGAGAAGGTGGTTACAGAAAGCTACCGATAGGAAGTAATGGGTGAGATGAATCTTGGGTAAGAGCTGGCCAAGTTCAGGGTGCAGGATGGAAGGTAAGACTGTATAAACCAAGAGAGTTACAAGAACATAGGTACTGAGTTATGAAAGTGTATATCTGGTGTGAGGACTTGAATTCCATGTCTAGGACATGGAATTCATTGAATAGTGTCTGGTGATGGGATTGATTGATTATGGGGCCAGATAGAGGAGGATCTTCCATGCAAAAGCCACATTTAGATTCCATTTGGCAGGTTGTCCATTAAAATATTTAAGTAGATAAGTGGCATGATCCTATGGATATGGTAGAATCATCAGTGTGGTGGCAATGTGGAGGATGGATTGATATAGGGAAAAGACTAGACCTAGGTGACAGTGGAGAGTTGAGTCTTGAGATGAAGGAGTCAAAGTTAGAGTTGTATGTAGGAGGGGGGCATAAATACCTGAGGAGCAAAGATTATAGAGTTAATAACTGAGTGGAAGGGGAAAATGGATGACTTTGGAGTTTCCAACTGGGCAGAATATTTAGTTAGGTGGAACTGCCATTAATACAAAGAAGGCTTTGGTGATGGGTTTTGTATGAATCACCTTTTGCTAGGTTGCGCTTTGTGTAACAAATAATCAAAAAATCTCAGTAACTCACAACAGTAAATATTAGTCTCTCACTTGATTTTGTTTTGTTTCTTAATCTCTCACTCGTGTTGGTGGCCTTTGGTTAGCTGCTGCTGTGACTGTTCCACTGCAGGGTAGGTTCAGGTCTGCTCCATGTGTCTTCCCATTCCTGGACTGAGGCTGAAGAGCAGCCCTGAATTAAACATGCCCTTCTCATGGCCGAAGGCACAGGAGCAAGAGGCTGAACACAAATTGGATTTAAAATCCTTGCTGGCATGTGATGAAATTAATGTGTGCTCACATTAGACAAAGCAAGTCCATGAGGGTGGGGGAGAATGGGATGAATGATCCAGTTTAGCTGTGTTTCCTGATTACAAATAAAAGCAACTATAATAAGTAATAATAATGGCAGGAATTTTATAGTGTACCCACCATTTTTCTAAAGGCTTTATGTGGTTTTACTCATGTATTTATCATAATGATCCTGTGCAGTAGGTACAATTGTTATTTCTGTTTTATAGATGGGAAAACTGTGGTATATAGGGTCCAAGAAATTTGTCTGAGATAACACAGAGCCTGAATTTGAAGCCAGGTGGTCTGGCTCATAACTCTTGAGTCCAGGGTCTTAACTGTTGCTCTATAATGCTTCTCACTCACCCAGCTCTACCTAGGTGGGTTCTATGGTTGAAAAGATGGGGTGGGAAACTTGTCAGTGGCTCAGCTCCAATTCATTATGACTGTCAGGCACTAACCTCTGTGGTTGCTCAGCTTCACAAGAAAATTACTAGGTTGTAGAATGTTGTTTCGCAGGTGATTAAAACACACACACACACACACACAAACACAAACACCTGGCGTCCTGAGAGATCAAGATTTGCCAAATGCAGTATCAGTAAGTAGGGAAACTGAAAGTTGAACTTGGTTTTGCCACTAAACTACACTGCCTCTTGGTTAGTGAGTCTCATCCTAAGGAGGCTAGGTTGGTTGATAAAGGATTGCCTGGGAGGTGAACTGTAGCCAGTACTGGCTCTTCTGTGATTTAAGTCTGATGGGCTGAGCTTGGCACAGATGTTGCCCAGTCTGTAGAGGCAAATGTCAGCTTCAGTGGGTCAGTGCTTTTCTTCTTTGACCCACTGGTTGCTTAAAAGTACGTTGTTTAATTTCCATATATTTGTGAATTTTCCAGTCATCCTTCTGCCATTGATTTCTAGTTTCATTCCATTGTGATTGAAAGGATACTTTTGGGCCAGGCATGGTGGCTCAGGCCTGTAATCCTAGCGCTTTGGGAGGCCGAGGCTGGTGGATCACCTGAGGTCAGGAGTTCTAGACCAGCCTGGCCAACATGGTGAAACCCTGTCTCCACTAAAAATAAAAAAATTACCTGGGCATGGTGGCGCACGCCTGTAATCCCAGCTACTTGGGAGTGTGAGGCAGGAGAGTCGCTTGAACCCGGGAGGCGGAGGTTGCAGTGAGCTGAGACTGTGCTACTGCACTCCAGCCTGGGCGACACGGCCAGACTCCGTCTCAAAAAAAAAAAAAAGGATACTTTGTATGATTTCAGTCTTTTAAAATTTATTAAGATTTGTTTTGTGGCCTGACATGTAGTCTATCTTGGAGAATGTTGCCTGTGCACTTGAGAAAAGTTACATACTTTTTTCTGCTGTTGTAGGGTGACAAGTTCTGTATATTGTGTTAGCTCCAACTGGTTCTTTCCCTAATACCATGCTGCTTCCTTGTTTTTTATTTTCTGGATTTTGCAGAGCAAGAGAATGTAGCAGAAATCATGACCCTCAGAGCTCTTGGAGCTGTAGAAAATAGGAAATAATGGAGATATACTGTAGACTGAATATTCATCTAAGTTTGAACAGTTAGGAAGTTGCTTAGTGTTCTGTCAAACAGAAGGAACTAAATAACTAGAGATGCTAATCACATGGGGAGCAAAATGTATTAGTGGGCCAAGTCTGAATTTCAAAGATAATTAGCTAGTTAAGTATTGTTCTAAAGTAATATGCTGACCAAACAAAATTTAAAAATACAGAAGGGTGAAAAGTTAGTCCCTCTACCTCTTTTCTACTTCTCACTGTCAATATTTCCTTGTGTATTACTTAATTTGTGTATATATGCCAGCATAGAGTTTTGTTCTGTTTTTTTTTTTTTTTTTTTGAGATGGAGTTTTGCTCTTGTTGCCCAGGCTGGAGTGCAATGATGCAATCTTGGCTCACTGCAACCTCCGCCTCCCGGGTTCGAGGGATTCTCCTGCCTCAGCCTCCCGAGTAGCTGGGATTACAGGCAAGCACCACCTTGCCTGGCTAATTTTGTATTTTTTAGTAGAGACGAGTTTTCTCCATGTTGGTCAGGCTGGTCTCGAACTCCCGACCGTAGGTGATCTGCCCGCCTCGGCCTCCCAAAGTGCTGAGATTACAGGCGTGAGCCACCACGGCTGGCCGAGTTTTGTTCTTTTTACTAATTTATTTATTTATTTGAAACAGTCTTGCTCTGTCACCCAGGCTGGAGTACAATGGCACGATCCTAGTTCACTGCAGCTTCAAACTCCTGGGCTCAAGAGATCCTTCCACCTTAGTTGGTCAAGTCGCTGGGACACACCACCATGCCCAGATAATTTTTAAATTTTTATTCTTTTTATTTTTATTCTTTTTGTAAAGATGGAAGTCTCCCTATGTTACTCAGGCTGGTCTCAAACTCCTGGGCTTAAGCGATGCTCCTGCCTCCGCCTTCCAAAGCTCTGGGATAACAGACATAAGCCACCACACTCAGCCTGTTCTTTTTAAAACATAAAATAGGATCCTTGGCCAGGTGCGGTGGCTCATGCCTGTAATCCCAGCACTTTGGGAGGCCGAGATGGGCAAATCACTTGAGGTAAGGAGTTTGAGATCAGCCTGGCCAACATGGCGAAACCCGGTCTCTATTAAAAATACAATAATTAGCTGGGCATGGTGGCACACACCTGTAGTCCCAGCTACTTAGGAGGCTGAGGCAGGAGAATCGCTTGATCTCGGGAGGCGGAGGTTGCAGTGAGCCGAGATTGCACCATTGCACTCCAGCCGGGGCAACAAAGGGAGACTCTGTCCCAAAAAATAAAAATACAAAATTAAAAATAAAAATAAGATCCTTTTTCTCCCTCTGGGATTTGTTTTTAAGTGTACTTTGTCAGTAAGCAAGCATTGGTTGGAATCTCAGATAGTGACTGATGGGACAGGAAAAATAAGATGGTATTCTAACCTTCAAAAAGCTTATATTCCTTAAAATAGGAAAACAAATAGAGATCAGTTTAAGTTCAGAAGGTGTTTAAGGAAGAAAGATGTTAAATTGAGTAGGAGTGGCCAGAAGTAGAGTTGAAGATGAGATAAAACATGAATTAGGCTTACAGAGGAGTAAGATATGGAGAGATGGACAAGTGGGGTGGTGAAGAAGAGCTTGAACAAGACAGGCAGGGGTGAATCTTTTCCATACGATCCAGTGGCCCAGCGTGGCTGCCACAGATGGGGTGGCCCAGTGTGGCGGCCACACAGAGTTGGCACAGACCACTGTTTTTTTTTTTTTTTTGACCTTTATTTTGGTAAAAAGGAATTGCTTTCTAATATTTCTCTCCCCTGTCTCCTCTATTTCTGTTTTAGGAGAACTACAAGCAGATGAAAGCACTAGTAAATCAGCTCCATGAACGAGTGGAGCATATAAAACTAGGTAAACACAGCATTTATTCCACAGCTTATGCCTTTACTTAAGATGTCCTAAAATAGTTATTGCTTTTAGGAAAAATACTGGAATTAAGCTTTTGATATTTTTTTTTTTTTTTTGAGATGGAGTCTTGCTCTCTTGCCCAGGCTGGAGTGCAGTGGCGCCATCTCAGCTCACTGCAACCTCCGCCTCCTGGGTTCAAGCCATTCTCCTGCCTCAGCCTCCCAAGTTGTTGGGATTACAGGTGCCTGCCTCCATGCCTGTCTAATTTTTGTATTTTTTAAATAGAGACAAGGTTTCACCATGTTGGCCAGGCTGGTCTTGAACTACTGATGTCAAGTGATCCATCTGCCTTGGCCTCCCAAAGTGCTGCAATTATAGGCGTGAGCCACTACTCCTGGCTGAGCTTTTGACTCTTAAGACTATGCATTTGTTGGTATGCAGGCATTTAATTTTATTTTTCCTATTACTTGGCCAGTTTTTCTCTTCATAGAGTACTACCACTTTTGGGGGGAAAAGTAAAGATTCAAATTCATAAATTTTATGAATAAATAATTTATTTTTAATTTTTATTAATTTTTTTTTTAAGAGATGGGTTCTTGCTCTATTGCCAGGCTGGACTGAACCCCTGGCTCAAGCGATCCTCTCATCTTGGCCTCCCAAAGTGCTGGGATTACAGGTATGAGCCACCACACCTGGCCAGTGATTTCTTAGTAGGCATTTAATATTTCCTCCCTAAGTGCTGAATCTCAGATGGAAAGCATTCTTCATATTTGATAGACTGTTTCAGATAACTTTTATCAACAAGTATATAATACTTAAAATTGTATATAATACTTTTAATGTAAAATTTTACATTTAGGTTAGAGTAGTTTAAATACTGGATCTCAGGAGTATAAAAATAGTGAAGAAGACTGGATTTGGAAAGTATGGTCTAGAATTGCTTATTTACTAGTTTATTTAGAGACAGGGTCTCCTCACTCTGTTGCTCGGGCTGGACTCGAAGTCGGGAGCTCAAGTGATCTTCTTGCCTCAGCCTCCCAAGTAGCTGAGACTGTACCTGTGCCCCTGTACGCAGCTATGGAATTCATACTTTTGAAGCCATTTTAGATCAAGGTGTTGTCTCCAGAAAAAGAATTCAAACTCTTGCTGAAATGAAAGTGTTTTGTTAGGGGTGATAACTCAATTGTTATGCCCATTTTGAGAGTTTGATTTGGTGAACTCACTGTCCCCCTTAGACATTAAGATGGTGGGTTTTGGGGCCAGGCACAGTGGCTCACGCCTGTAATCCCAGCACTTTGGGAGGCCGAGGTGGGCGGATCACATGAAGTCAGGAGTTCGAGACCAGACTGAGCAACATGGTGAAACCCTGTCTCTACTAAAAATACAAAATTAGCTGGGTGTGGTGGCGCATGCTTGTAATCCCACCTACTCGGGAGGCTGAGGCAGGAGAATTGTTTGAACCTGGGAGGCGGAGGTTGCAGTGAGCCAAGATGGTGCCATTGCACTCTAGCCTGGGTAACAGAGCGAAATTCCGTCTCAAAAAAAAAAAAAAAAGAGGTGGGTTTGACTCAATGGAGGGTTGAGGAGTCCTGTGGCATCAGGTGCCTGCTGGGGATGGTGGATGCTGAGGAACCGTGGTGCAGGCTGGTGGCCACAGGAGGGTAGAGGACTGAGCCGGACTCCCTGGGGAAGGAGGTAGGGAGAAGGGGGAAAGGACAAACTTGGCTGTCACAGCTTTGCCAAGAATTAAATGTCAGGGGAGCTTAATTATGTGCTCTGTGAGCCTGCATCAAGGATAACCCTCTTTCTGGTTCTTCCTAATAAAACCAGAATTCACCAGCTGCTCCAAATTGTAAGGCCCCACTCTAGACAGAATTGCTAAAGAGTGATGTTGTCTTAAGTCTCTCTCTTTTTTTTTTTTTTTACTGAGACGGAGTCTTGCTCTGTCACTCAGGCTGGGGTGTAGTGGCGCGATCTCAGTTCACTACAACCTTGGCCCCCCGGGTTCAAGCGATTCTCCCGCCTCAGCCTCCCGAATAGCTGGGACTACAGGCATGCACCACCACACCCAGCTAATTTTTCATATTTTTAGTAGAGATGGGGTTTCACCATGTTGTCCAGGCTGGTCTCAAACTCCTGGCCTCAAGTGATCCACCCACCTCAGCCTCCCAAAGTGCTGGGATTACAGGCATGACCCACCTGTCACTTTGGGAGGTCAAGGCAGGAGAATTGCATGAAGCCAGGTGTTTGAAACCAGCCTGGGCAACAGAGTGAGACCTCATCACAAAAATTTAGCTGGAGTGGTGGCACATGCCTGTAGTCCCAGCTGCTGGGAAGCCTGAGGTGAGAGGATCACTTGAATTTAGGAGTTCAAGGCTGTAGTGAGCCATGCTGGCACCACTGCACTCCAGCCTGGGTGACAGAGTAAGATCTTGTCTCAAAAAAAAAAAAAAAAAAGGTCCTACTTGGAAGATCGTTTGAGATTATTTTCTTGCCTAAATAAACAAAGAAATAGCTTTCTGAAATAGCTGAACATTTCATTAGACAAAGACTATATTAAGATGAAATTCTTGGACACCAATAAAAATAAACTAATGTTTTAATTATTAAAGGTACAATTTGATACTTCTGTTCTTGCTCCATTACCTTGGTTTGCCGAGAGTGGGTTATAGATATTCCCAAGAATACTCCAGTGGGCTCTTCAGTTATAATTTTCTTTGTCTGTCATGATGTGAGCAATGTTGAGAAGCACTGAAGACAATCTCTGAGTCAAGGAAGGGGACTTTTAAATTGCTAAAGTGTTCAACTCACCCAGTTGCAAGCCTAAAAAGTTACGGATCACTAATGTCATCTTTAGGTAAATTTACTGCACTTATCATGGAAGTAATTTCTAAAATTTTATTTTTACCTGGTACAAATGAAGATAGGAATTTTCCAGATCTATCATAGCATGTATTTAATAAATGTGGTGGAGATGAGGCATTATTTGCAATATGTGAGCTGCAGAGAAAATACTCTGTAATTTATGTAACTACTAGTGAATTCAGAACATAGACTCTAGGATATACTCTAAAATCAGGGATAGATTGATTTTTTTTTAATACCAGTTTTTACATTTACTTCAGAAAATTGGCAACTTGTAAGTTGAGTGAATGATTATTAGCCTTTTCTCAGAGGATATGTTGAACTTTTAAAAAGTGCTATATTTTGGATTAAGTATTATGTTTTTCTGGCATTGAGACCTTTTTATCGTGTCAATCTAATCTAATCTAATCACATTTCTATCATAGGAGGTGGTGAGAAAGCCCGAGCACTTCACATATCAAGAGGAAAACTATTGCCCAGAGAAAGAATTGACAATCTCATAGACCCAGGGTGCGTACATAGCCAAGTACTGACTCAGAGTGTTCTCTGTTCCATAGTACTTTATTAGACAGTCTTGTAAATCAGTTATTTTGAATTCTAGTTCTCATCGTAAGATTCAGGAACATGTGTTTATTGAGAGCCTACTATGTGTCAAGCACTATGTGTTGACATGTTTATTGAGAGCCTACTATTGGTCAGGTACTAGTGATATATCAGTGACCAAAACAGACACAGATCTTTGCTCTACTAGAGTTTACATCATAGCAAAGGGAGACAGAAAGCAACAGTAAAGACTGTAACTTCTGGCTGGGTGTGGTGGCTCACTCCTGTAATCCCAGCACTTTGGGAGGCCGAGGTGGGCGGATCATGAAGTCAGGAGATTGAGACCATCTGGCTAACATGGTGAAAACCCGTCTCTACTAAAAATACAAAAAATTAGCTGGGCATGGTGGCATGTGCTTGTAGTCCCAGCTACTCGGGAGGCTGAGGCAGGAGAGTCGCTCGAACCCCAGAGGCAGAGGTTGCAGTGAGACGAGATTGTGCCACTGCACTCCAGCCTGGGTGACAGAGCGAGACTCTGTCTCAAAAAAAAAAAAGATTGTAAATTCTGTAGTGTGTTAGTAAGTGACAAATGTCATGAGAAAAAGAAAAGGTGGCCCAGGGTAAAGGAGAGGAAGATATAGGGCAAGTTGCAGTTTTAAGAGGTGGTGCCAAGGTAGGCCGCATTGAGAAGGTGATGTCTGAGCAAAGATTTAAAGGAGGAGAGAGAGAGAGAGAGCCTTGTAACTCTCTGGGGAAAGAGTGTTTCAGGCAGAGGGAATGGCCAGTGCAAAGGCCCTGAGGTGGGAGTGTGCCAGGTAATGCTGGTATGCTCAAGGGGCAGCCAGGAGGCTGGGGTGGTTGTGGTGGAGGGAGTGAGGGGAGAGGAGTAGGAGATGGGTCAGATCCTGTATGGCCTTGTGGGTTATCATAAAGGTTTTGGTTTTCACCATGGGAGAAATGGGGAGCTATTGTAGGGTTTTGAACAGGAGATGATTATGATCTGACATAGCTTAAAAGAGTGCTTCTGGCTGCTGTGTTGTGAGTAGATGGAGCAGCAAGGGTGGAAGCCCTGTGACCAGGTAGAGGGCGATTGCAAGGATTTGAGGGAGACATGATGGGGACTCGGCATAGGGTAGTAGTAGTGGTGGTGGCAGGAGTGCAGGGTTCTGGATGTATTGTGAAGACAGAGCCAACCCAACAGGATTTCCTGAAGGATTGGATATGGAGTGTAAGGGGGAGAAGAGGGGTAAGTGAAAACTCCCAAAGTATTTTTTCTCCTGACACGTGCACACACATCCAACCTGGAGACAGCACTGTTAACACCTAGTATATTATCCTTCTAGGCCATTTGTATGCATATATATATACCAGACACCTACATTTTTTAAAAATGCAAATGAAATCGTACTAAATTTGCTGTTTTGTAGCCAGCTCTCTTTTTTCCCTCCTAATGTATCTTGACCATGTAAGTAAGTGAGAGGCGGACTAGTGGTTAAGAGCCTGGCCCCTGGGGCAAGATTGCTTATGAAGCTCCCGGCTCTGCCCCTTACTTACTGTGTAACCTTAGACAAGTGACTTGATCTCTGTGTGTTTCAGTTTCCTCATCAGTAAATGAGGGTCACAATAAGATCCACCTCAGAAGGTGGTTCTAAGGAGGACATGAGTGAGTGTTTCTTTTTTTTTTTTTTTTTTTTGAGACGGAGTCTCACTCTGTCACCAGGCTGGAGTGCAGTGGCGCGATCTCCGTTCACTTAACCTCCGCCTCCTGGGTTCAAGCGATTCTCCTGCCTCAGCCTCCCGAGTAGCTGGATTACAGGTGTGCACCACCATGCCCAGCTAATTTTTGTATTTTTAGTAGAGACGGGGTTTCACCATGTTGCCCAGGATGGTCTCAATCTCTTGACCTCGTGATCTGCCCACCTTGGCCTCCCAAAGTGCCGGGATTACAGGCATGAGCCACCACACCAGCCGATAAGTGAGTGTTTCTAAAGCCTTTAGAAGAGAGCCTGGTATTTGGAAAGGATTTTTATTTTAATTAATTAATTAATTATTTATTTTTTGAGATGGAGTTTTGCCCTGTTGCCCAGGCTGGGGTGCAGTGGCATGATCTCAGCTCACTGAAACCTCTGCCTTCCGGATTCAGGTGATTCTCCTGCCTCAGCCTCCCGAGTAGCTGGGATTACAGGCACGTGCCTCCACGCCTGGCTAATTTTTTTTTTTTTTTTTTTTTGTATTTTTAGTAGAGATGGGGTTTCACCATGTTATCCAGGCTGGTCTCAAACTCCTGACCTCACGTGATCTACCTGTCTCAGCCTCCCAAAGTGCTGAGATTACAGGCATGAGCCACCGTGCCTGGCCATTAGTTGTTTTTTGAGACAGGGTCTCATTCCATTGCCCAGGCTGGAGTGCAGTGGCACAGTCACAGTTCTCTGCAGCCTTGGCCTCCTGGGCTCAAGTGATTCTTCCACCTCAGCCTCCCAAGTAGCTGGGACCACAGGCATGTGCCATCATGCCCAGCTGTGTTGAAAATTTTTTTTTTTTTGTAAAGATGGGGTTTCCCCGTGTTGCTCAGGCTGGCCTCAAACTCCTGGGCTCAAGCAGTCCACCCACTTGAGCCCCACAAAGTGCTAGGACTACAGGCATGAGCCACCCCACCTACCTCCAAAAGTTTTTAAGAGATGGGGTCTTGGCTGGGCGTGGTGGCTCATGCCTGTAATCCCAGCACTTTGTGAGGCCGAGGTGGGCAGATAACCTTCAGGTAAGGAGTTTGAGACCAGCCTGGCCAACATGGTGAAACCCCGTCTCTACTAAAAATACAAAAAATTAGCTGGTTGTGGTGGCGCATGCCTGTAATCCCAGTTACTCGGGAGGCTGAGGCAGGAGAATCGCTTGAACTCAGGAGGTGGAGGTTGCAGTGAGCTGAGATCGCGCCACTGCACTCCAGCCTGGGTGACAGGGCAAGACTCCATCTCAAAAAACAACAACAACAACAAAAAAGAGATGGGGTCTCACTATGTTGTCCTGGCTGGCCTCCAACTCTTGGGCTCAAACAGTCCTCTTGTCTCAGCCTCCTGAATAACTGGGATTACAGACTTGAGCCACCACACCCATTTTAGATTTTTAAAAATAGATTTTATATACAACATGTGTATTTGAAATATTGTCCCATTGAGGAAAAATCTTTTCCTTTTCCATGTGTAACTGTTTAAATGTGTAGTTTTTAATGACATTAATTCAAACAACATCCTTTCTTCGCTTTAGGTCTCCATTTCTGGAATTATCCCAGTTTGCAGGTTACCAGTTATATGACAATGAGGAGGTGCCAGGAGGTGGCATTATTACAGGCATTGGAAGAGTATCAGGGTGAGTATTCTACTTGTGCTTCATAATGTGGGTTGAGAAGAAGACTTTGATGAGGCACAGGCATCCAGCACTCACTTTGCATATTAGCATGCGATTTGTATGCTATTTATATTATGTAGGACTGGCTGGGTGTGGTGGCTCACGCCTGTAATCCCAGCACTTTGGGAGGCTGAGGTGGGTGGATCACCTGAGGTCAGGAGTTTGAGATCAGGCTGGCCAATGTGGTGAAACCCTGTCTCTACTAAAAATAAAAAAATAAGCCGGCATGGTGGCACACGCCTGTAGTCCCAGCTACTTGGGAGGCTGAGGCAGGAGAATCGCTTGAACCTGGGAGGCAGAAGTTGCAGTGAGCTGAGATGGAGCCACTGCACTCCATCCTGGTGACAGAGCAAGACTCCGTCTCAAAAAAAAAACAAAAAGATGTCTTTCCATGGAGACAAGGGCAAGGAAGGAGACCAGTCTTTATCTTTTAACTAGAGATGCTCTAGTACTGGATATTATGGCTGAAAAAAATTCAGTCATTTAATAGGTATAAAGTAGTACTTAATTATAAATTCTTTCTTTTTTCCTTTTTTGTTTTTTTTAGAGATGGTGTCTCGCTCTGTTGCCTAGGCTAATCTCGAACTTCTGGGCTCAAACGATGTTGAATATAGGCTAGCACATCATTATAATTTTTTTTTTTTGAGTTGGGGTCTTACTCTGTTGCCCAGGCTGGAGTGCAGTGACATGATCATAGCTTACTGTAGCCTCAAACTCCTGGCATCAAATGATCTTCCTGCCTTGGCCTCCCAAAGTGCTGGGATCACAAGCATGAGCCATTGCTCTGGCCTTTATTATAATTCAAATTGACCTTTCTTACATAAAAATTGTTGAATGGTTTATATCATCACTACTCTTTCTCTGACAAATGACAGATGAGCTGAATTTGCTCAAATTAAGCAAAAAAGAGGATATATTGATTCTCTTATCTGGTGAGTCTGGGCATGGCTGTATCTGGGAGCTCAAATGGTCTTAGGTATTACTAGGTCCCAGGCTGTTTTCTACTCCTGGCCCTGACTTGCTGTGTGTCAGCTTTGTTTCTAGGCAGCCTCTCTAAATCCAGAGGCAGTGATGGTCATAGGCAGTTCCTGGTTTATATTCTATAAGTTTAGCAGCTGCAGTGGAAGGCAAGATCTGCTTAGGCTTAGAGCCTGTCCCATTGCCGAGCCTCAGTGGGAACTCTGGGTAGAAAGACCTGGTCCCTGTGCCCCCCTTTAAGGCAGGCTCTGGGGTCAGTCCTACTTGAGCCACCTGGATTAAAGATAAGAGGCAGTTTCTGAAAGAAGGTTTAGTTTTGTTGCCAAAATAATAGATGCTGGGTAGGCAAAACCAATAGAAATGCAATCTAGTATTTTTGTGGGCCAATTTGATTTCTCATTCTGTAACAAGTCTGTGACCTTTAATAGACAAGCAGATATGGCTATGTCCCTTGTCCATGGTCACATAACTAACAAGTTGGCAGAGCCAGAATTTCAGTCTAACTTTGTCTGACTTCACAGCCTGGCCTCTTTCCAGTACCAGAGCTTCTTAAACTTTCTAGCGTAGCACCCCCAGTGGTAGGAAGTATGAGCACACACTCTGGAGTGTGAGGTTATGGCCCAGCAACCTATGAGAAGCCTACATTTCCTTTGAAGTCTAGTTCGTTTAATGTTAAATCATTAAAAGTTTGCATTCTACTCTATAAAATGTTCATTGCAGTGCAGAAAAAGGTTTTATATGACCTAGGGAATAAAATTGATGCTCAAAGAAGAGTCCTGTTTGTCTTGTGGCGAGCCCTGCTGGCCACATATCCTAGTATGAGAAGCTCAACACTACCCTGTGCTGGGTGTTCAGTTGCCGTTCTCTATTTTCAGCAGGGATTTAATGACTCACTCTTTAGAGTTGTAGGCAGCATAAAGTGAGGTAACACAAACATCAGAAACATAAAGAAAATTGAATTTTGTAAAGAGCACACTGTTGTCATCTCAGATTTCAAGGGTACCTCTGACCTTAAGGTTTCCTGCCAGTGCTGTACAGTTTCCCCAACCAGCTGTGGTTGTTGGCCGCCCTGCTCTTTGTGACTCATACCCAATAAACTGGTTTTGGTGAGAAAGGGCACTGTTGATGACTCAGGATACCTTTCATGTGTTTTTAGTATATTAAAGTTTGCATTCATTCTGACTTCAGTTAAGATGAACGTTATATTTTAGACTACATTTAGTTTTGTAGAAAACCATGGGGCTGTAATGTTGAAGAACAAGAATACAAAAAATAAATCTTAGTACTAAAGGTCAGTTTTCATTTTTGCAAAATACCCTCCTAAAAGGAGACTTTGAAGGTTTATTATGAGGGAATTCTTTTCCCTTGAGACTTGGATTTTTTTTTTCATTATTATTTTCATCTTATTAGGACCTTTTCATTCAAAGAACCATTATGACACAAGGCTTAGGTTGTTAGTTTTTTATTACTAATCTAGGACTGATGACTTTTCAAAAACCAAGTGTGAGTTTATAAACTTGTTAGAAGTAATTGTTTTGTATTATATAAATTAATATGTGAACTGTGATTAAAGTTTGCATTTATATCCTAAGACTGCTGTCTGCTAATGGATGTTAATAGTGATACGTACTAGAAGTTGAAGGTTGTATTGGGGTATCTTGTAATGAGTGTAATTAGTTTTGAAGAAATCTCTTAAATTCTCTCTCCAATGAAATTTCTGCCTTTCAGAGTAGAATGCATGATTATTGCCAATGATGCCACCGTCAAAGGAGGTGCCTACTACCCAGTGACTGTGAAAAAACAATTACGGGCCCAAGAAATTGCCATGCAAAACAGGCTCCCCTGCATCTACTTAGGCAAGTCACCAGAGTGGTAAAATAAACTATTATTAGCTGGTAAAATGCAAGATAGTTTGGAAGGCTGTATGTATTACATTTGGGATGGGTATTTTATAAACCTGTTGATTTCTCCTGTAATTATAAAGGAAACACAGGTTCTTTGCTGAAAACTCTGGGGGAAAGTAAACAAGAACTGTTCATAGTACTAGTGCATAATACTCATACATTTTGACGCATGCCAGTTTTTTTCTCTATGTGTTGTGTGGTTTTTTTTTTTTGTTCTCTAGATCCTGTTTTTCTTTTAACTTTATGGATCATACTATGAAAAAAATAGTAGCAAGTATTTATAGATCTCTTGAGTGCCAGGTACTGAGTTAAATGTGCAAGTATTATATAATTTGAGCAGATGTAATTTAAAGTAAATTTAATTTCCAGTGAAAGTAAACTTATATTTGAAATTAAAACACATTTAAATCAAAGAACCTGAAAGCAAAGCAGTTTAAAATGGGCCTTTCCTCCGGGCGCGGTGGCTCACGCCTGTAATCCCAGCACTTTGGGAGGCCGAGGCAGGCGGATCATGAGGTCAGGAGATGGAGACCATCCTGGCTAACACACTGAAACCTCGTCTCTACTAAAAAAAAATACAAAAAATTAGCCGAGCGTGGTGGCAGGCAGCTGTAGTCCCAGCTACTTGGGAGGCTGAGGCAGGAGAATGGTGTGAACCTGGGAGGCGGAGCTTGCAGTGAGCTGAAATCGTGCCACTGTACTCCAGCCTGGGCGACAGAGAGAGAGACTGTCTCAAAAAAAAAAAAAAAAAAAAAAAATGGGCCTTTCCTGATACTGGGTTAGTCTGATAAAATTCCAACATACGTTGTTCATGTATGCAGGTATTTGAACGGGTACTGATGTAGAGGTATTTTTTGTTTTGTGTTTTTCTGTGAAGTTGAATTTACCTGATTAACTCACAATACGAACTGCTCTGCACGTAGAGAAAACAGCAAATGAGGCCCAGCTGCTTGTAGGTGCTGTGCTGGTCTTTATAGGGGATACAGTGAGGAGGATTTTGTTGTCTCTGTCTTCAGCGAGCTCATAATGAATTGGACACAGCATATAATGTGCAACCAACAAAAGACTTAATGGTTGCAGATTCTGAACTAAGTGCTTTCTATACATTTTTCAAGTCATCCTAATATATGATATGGCTCCTTTTTTTATCTTCATTTCGTGGGTAAGGAAACCGGGGCATAGGATGGCTAGGAAACACACCTATAATCACACAGCTGTGAAGTCATGAGCTCTGCTTTGAACGCAACTGACCTGTGTACCCACCACTCCAATCTGCAATGAAAACAGTATCAGAAGGCAATATGTATAAATTATTATATGAATTCTGTGGATGGCTTTTGTATTGGTTTAGAAGAAGGAAAGATACTTTTCCACCTTAACTCTTTAAGAATTTATGATGTTTCTGGGGCTTTAGCTGGTCCTCAAAGGAGAGAAGGTTCTAACCATTTCGAGAAGAATTTTGCACAGAGGTGGGAAAGCCTGATGGGTTTGGGGCAATGAATCCTTTTGGCTGCATTGGGGGTTTGGAGAACGAGGCTCTATAACAGTTTAGAAAGACAGGGCAAGTTTTTTGTGAATGTGATTAAGAACTGATGCTGTCATTGATACAAGTTTCCCTCTGCGTAGCACATTTAGTTCATAGAGATGCTTATGTTTCTCATTTCTTGTCTTCAGTTGATTCGGGAGGAGCATACTTACCTCGACAAGCAGATGTGTTTCCAGATCGAGACCACTTTGGCCGTACATTCTATAATCAGGCAATTATGTCTTCTAAAAATATTGCACAGGTAATTTTTCATGAATAAAGTGTACAGTGGTGCTTTTTACTCTTAAGTATCTTTACGAATTAGGTACTCTGGGATGGCTTGAAAGTAAAACAGAATTTAACACAAAATCTAATCTTTTTTTTTTTTTTATACTTTAGGTTTTAGGGTACATGTGCACATTGTGCAGGTTAGTTACATACGTACACATGTGCCATGCTGGTGCGCTGCACCCACTAAATCGTCATCTAGCATTAGGTATATCTCCCAATGCTATCCCTCCCCGCTCCCCCCACCCCACCACAGTCCCCAGAGTGTGATATTCCCCTTCCTGTGTCCATGTGATCTCATTGTTCAATTCCCACCTATGAGTGAGAATATGCGGTGTTTGGTTTTTTGTTCTTGCGATAGTTTACTGAGAATGATGATTTCCAATTTCATCCATGTCCCTACAAAGGACATGAACTCATCATTTTTTATGGCTGCATAGTATTCCATGGTGTATATGTGCCACATTTTCTTAATCCAGTCTATCATTTTTGGACATTTGGGTTGGTTCCAAGTCTTTGCTATTGTGAATAATGCCGCAATAAACATACGTGTGCATGTGTCTTTATAGCAGCATGATTTATAGTCCTTTGGGTATATACCCAGTAATGGGATGGCTAGGTCAAATGGTATTTCTAGTTCTAGATCCCTGAGGAATCGCCACACTGACTTCGACAATGGTTGAACTAGTTTACAGTCCCACCAACAGTGTAAAAGTGTTCCTATTTCTCCATATCCTCTCCAGCCCCTGTTGTTTCCTGACTTTTTAATGATTGCCATTCTAACTGGTGTGAGATGGTATCTCATTGTGGTTTTGATTTGCATTTCTCTGATGGCCAGTGATGACGAGCATTTTTTCATGTGTTTTTTGGCTGCATAAATGTCTTCTTCTGAGAAGTGTCTGTTCATGTCCTTCACCCACTTTTTGATGGGGTTGTTTGTTTTTTTCTTGTAAATTTGAGTTCATTGTAGATTCTGGATATTAGCCCTTTGTCAGATGAGTAGGTTGTGAAAATTTTCTCCCATTTTGTAGGTTGCCTGTTCACTCTGATGGTAGTTTCTTTTGCTGTGCAGAAGCTCTTTAGTTTAATTAGATCCCATTTGTCAATTTTGGCTTTTGTTGCCATTGCTTTTGGTGTTTCGGACATGAAGTCCTTGCCCATGCCTATGTCCTGAATGGTAATGCCTAGGTTTTCTTCTAGGGTTTTTATGGTTTTTGGTCTAATGTTTAAGTCTTTAATCCATCTTGAATTGATTTTTGTATAAGGTGTAAGGAAGGGATCCAGTTTCAGCTTTCTACATATGGCTAGCCAGTTTTCCCAACACCATTTATTAAATAGGGAATCCTTTCCCCATTGCTTGTTTTTCTCAGGTTTGTCAAAGATAAGATGTAGGTATGCGGCGTTATTTCTGAGGGCTCTGTTCTGTTCCATTGATCTATATCTCTGTTTTGGTACCAATACCATGCTGTTTTGGTTACTGTAGCCTTGTAGTACAGTTTGAAGTCAGGTAGTGTGATGCCTCCAGCTTTGTTCTTTTGGCTTAGGATTGCCTTGGCGATGTGGGCTCTTTTTTGGTTCCATGTGAACTTTAAAGTAGTTTTTTCCAATTCTGTGAAGAAAGTCTTTGGTAGCTTGATGGGGATGGCATTGAATCTGTAAATTACCTTGGGCAGTATGGCCATTTTCACGATATTGATTCTTCCTACCCATGAGCATGGAATGTTCTTCCATTTGTTTGTATCCTCTTTTATTTCCTTGAGCAGTGGTTTGTAGTTCTCCTTGAAGAGGTCCTTCACATCCCTTGTAAGTTGGATTCCTAGGTATTTTATTCTCTTTGAAGCAATTGTGAATGAGAGTTCACTCATGATTTGGCTCTCTGTTTGTCTGTTGTTGGTATTTAAGAATGCTTGTGATTTTTGTACATTGATTTTGTATCCTGAGACTTTGCTGAAGTTGCTTATCAGCTTGAGGAGATTTTGGGCTGAGACAATGGGGTTTTCTAGATATACAATCATGTCGTCTGCAAACAGGGACAATTTGACTTCCTCTTTTCCTAATTGAATACCCTTTATTTCCTTCTCCTGCCTAATTGCCCTGGCCAGAACTTCCAACACTATGTTGAATAGGAGTGGTGAGAGAGGGCATCCCTGTCTTGTGCCAGTTTTCAAAGGGAATGCTTCCAGTTTTTGCCCATTCAGTATGATATTGGCTGTGGGTTTGTCATAGATAGCTCTTATTATTTTGAAATACGTCCCATCAATACCTAATTTATTGAGAGTTTTTAGCATGAAGGGTTGTTGAATTTTGTCAAAGGCTTTTTCTGCATCTATTGAGATAATCATGTGGTTTTTGTCTTTGGCTCTGTTTATATGCTGGATTACATTTACTGATTTGCATATATTGAACCAGCCTTGCATCCCAGGGATGAAGCCCACTTGATCATGGTGGATAAGCTTTTTGATGTGCTGCTGGATGCGTTTTGCCAGTATTTTATTGAGGATTTTTGCATCAATGTTCATCAAGGATATTGGTCTAAAATTCTCTTTTTTGGTTGTGTCTCTGCCCGGCTTTGGTATCAGAATGATGCTGGCCTCATAAAATGAGTTAGGGAGGATTCCCTCTTTTTCTACTGATTGGAATAGTTTCAGAAGGAATGGTACCAGTTCCTTCTTGTACCTCTGGTAGAATTCGGCTGTGAATCCATCTGGTCCTGGACTCTTTTTGGTTGGTAAACTATTGATTATTGCCACAATTTCAGCTCCTGTTATTGGTCTATTCAGAGATTCAACTTCTTCCTGGTTTAGTCTTGGGAGAGTTTGTGTGTCGAGGAATTTATCCATTTCTTCTAGATTTTCTAGTTTATTTGCGTAGAGGTGTTTGTAGTATTCTCTGATGGTAGTTTGTATTTCTGTGGGATCGGTGGTGATATCCCCTTTATCATTTTTTATTGCGTCTATTTGATTCTTCTCTCTTTTTTTCTTTATTAGTCTTGCTAGCGGTCTATCAATTTTGTTGATCCTTTCAAAAAACCAGCTCCTGGATTCATTAATTTTTTGAAGGGTTTTTTGTGTCTCTATTTCCTTCAGTTCTGCTCTGATTTTAGTTATTTCTTGCCTTCTGCTAGCTTTTGAACGTGTTTGCTCTTGCTTTTCTAGTTCTTTTAATTGTGATGTTAGGGTGTCAATTTTGGATCTTTCCTGCTTTCTCTTGTGGGCATTTAGTGCTATAAATTTCCCTCTACACACTGTTTGAATGCGTCCCAGAGATTCTGGTATGTTGTGTCTTTGTTCTTGTTGGTTTCAAAGAACATCTTTATTTCTGCCTTCATTTCGTTATGTACCCAGTGGTCATTCAGGAGCAGGTTGTTCAGTTTCCATGTAGTTGAGCAGTTTTGAGTGAGATTCTTAATCCTGAGTTCTAGTTTGATTGCACTGTGGTCTGAGAGATAGTTTATTATAATCTCTGTTCTTTTACATTTGCTGAGGAGAGCTTTACTTCCAAGTATGTGGTCAATTTTGGAATAGGTGTGGTGTGGTGCTGAAAAAAATGTATATTCTGTTGATTTGGGGTGGAGAGTTCTGTAGATGTCTATTAGGTCCGCTTGGTGCAGAGCTGAGTTCAATTCCTGGGTATCCTTGTTGACTTTCTGTCTCGTTGATCTGTCTAATGTTGACAGTGGGGTGTTAAAGTCTCCCATTATTAATGTGTGGGAGTCTAAGTCTCTTTGTAGGTCACTCAGGACTTGCTTTATGACTCTGGGTGCTCCTGTATTGGGTGCATATATATTTAGGATAGTTAGCTCTTCTTGTTGAATTGATCCCTTTACCATTATGTAATGGCCTTCTTTGTCTCTTTTGATCTTTGTTGGTTTAAAGTCTGTTTTATCAGAGACTAGGATTGCAACCCCTGCCTTTTTTTGTTTTCCATTTGCTTGGTAGATCTTCCTCCATCCTTTTATTTTGAGCCTATGTGTGTCTCTGCACGTGAGATGGGTTTCCTGAATACAGCACACTGATGGGTCTTGACTCTTTATCCAGTTTGCCAGTCTGTGTCTTTTAATTGGAGCATTTAGTCCATTTACATTTAAAGTTAATATTGTTATGTGTGAATTTGATCCTGTCATTATGATGTTAGCTGGTGATTTTGCTTGCTAGTTGATGCAGTTTCTTCCTAGTCTTGAAGGTCTTTACATTTTGGCTTGATTTTTGCAGTGGCTGGTACCGGTTGTTCCTTTCCATGTTTAGCGCTTCCTTTTTTAGGGCAGGCCTGGTGGTGACAGAATCTCTCAGCATTTGCTTGTCTGTAAAGGATTTTATTTCTCCTTCACTTATGAAGCTTAGTTTGGCTGGATATGAAATTCTGGGTTGCAAATTCTTTTCTTTAAGAATGTTGAATATTGGCCCCTAGTCTCTTCTGGCTTGTAGGTTTCTGCCGAGAGATCCGCTGTTAGTCTGATGGGCTTCCCTTTGAGGGTAACCCGACCTTTCTCTCTGGCTGCCCTTAACATTTTTTCCTTCATTTCAACTTTGGTGAATCTGACAATTATGTGTCTTGGAGTTGCTCTTCTCGAGGAGTATCTTTGTGGTGTTCTGTGTATTTCCTGAATCTGAACGTTGGCCTGCCTTGCTAGATTGTGGAAGTTCTCCTGGATAATATCCTGCAGAGTGTTTTCCAACTTGGTTCCATTCTCCCCATCACTTTCAGGTACACCAATCAGACGTAGATTTGGTCTTTTCACATAGTCCCATATTTCTTGGAGGCTTTGCTCATTTCTTTTTATTCTTTTTTCTCTAAACTTCCCTTCTCGCTTCATTTCATTCATTTCATCTTCCATTGCTGATACCCTTTCTTACAGTTGATCGCTTCAGCTCCTGAGGCTTCTGCATTCTTCACGTAGTTCTCGAGCCTTGGTTTTCAGCTCCATCAGCTCCTTTAAGCACTTCTCTGTATTGGTTATTCTAGTTATACATTCTTCTAAATTTTTTTCAAAGTTTTCAACTTCTTTGCCTTTAGTTTGAATGTCCTCCCGTAGCTCAGAGTAATTTGATCGTCTGAAGCCTTCTTCTCTCAGCTCATCAAAGTCATTCCCCATCCAGCTTTGTTCCGTTGCTGGTGAGGAACTGCGTTCCTTTGGAGGAGGAGAGGTGCTCTGCGTTTTAGAGTTTCCAGTTTTTCTGTTCTGTTTTTTCCCCATCTTTGTGGTTTTATCTACTTTTGGTCTTTGATGATAGTGATGTACAGATGGGTTTTTGGTGTGGATGTCCTTTCTGTTTGTTAGTTTTCCTTCTAACAGACAGGACCCTCAGCTGCAGGTCTGTTGGAATACCCTGCCGTGTGAGATGTCAGTGTGCCCCTGCTGGGGGGTGCCTCCCAGTTAGGCTGCTCGGGGGTCAGGGGTCAGGGACCCACTTGAGGAGGCAGTCTGCCCGTTCTCAGATCTCCAGCTGTGTGCTGGGAGAACCACTGCTCTCTTCAAAGCTGTCAGACAGGGACATTTAAGTCTGCAGAGGTTACTGCTGTCTTTTTGTTTGTCTGTGCCCTGCCCCCAGAGGGGAGCCTACAGAGGCAGGCAGGCCTCCTTGAGCTGTGGTGGGCTCCACCCAGTTCGAGCTTCCTGGCTGCTTTGTTTACCTTAAGCAAGCCTGGGCAATGGCGAGCGCCCCTCCCCCAGCCTCGCTGCCGCCTTGCAGTTTGATCTCAGACTGCTGTGCTAGCAATCAGCGAGACTCCGTGGGCGTAGGACCCTCCGAGCCAGGTGCGGGATATAATCTCCTGGTGCGCCGTTTTTTAAGCTGGTCCGAAAAGCGCAATATTCGGGTGGGAGTGACCCGATTTTCCAGGTGCGTCCGTCACCCCTTTCTTTGACTCGGAAAGGGAACTCCCTGACCCCTTGCGCTTCCCAAGTGAGGCAATGCCTCGCCCTGCTTCGGCTCGCACACGGTGCGCGCACCCACTGACCTGCGCCCACTGTCTGGCACTCCTTAGTGAGATGAACCCAGTACCTCAGATGGAAATGCAGAAATCACCCGTCTTCTGCGTCGCTCACGCTGAGAGCTGTAGACCGGAGCTGTTCCTATTCGGCCATCTTGGCTCCTCCCCAAAATCTAATCTTTTTCCACAGAGAGTATCTAAAGGTTGTCTCCAATTAGAGCTTTTTATTAACTATAGGAATACTCCTATACTGTAATAAGATTATTAAAACAGGTTTTAGGCCAGGCGCGGTGGCTCACGCCTGGAATCCCAGCACTTTGGGAGGCCGAGGTGGGGGGATCACGAGGTCAGGAGATCGAGACTATCCTGGCTAACGCGGTGAAACCCCGTCTCTATTAAAAATACAAAAAATTAGCTGGGCGTGGTGGCACATGCCTGTAGTCCCAGCAACTTGGGAGACTGAGGCAGGAGAAATGCTTGAACCTGGGAGGCAGAGGTTGCAGTGAGCTGAGATCATGCCACTGCACTCCAGCCTGGCGACGAAGTGAGACTCCGTCTCAAACAAACAAAGAACAGGTTTTTAAAAGGAAAACAGGGTTTAAAAAGAAAGGGCTCCAGTAATTCCTTTTTTAGGGCTATACCCTAGGGAAACTCTGATATATGTATGAAGAGATACTTAGAAGAATAATTCATGGCCAGGCACTGTGACTTGTGCCTGAAATCCCAGCACTTTGGGAGGCTGAAGTGAGAGGATCACTTGAGTCCAGGAGTGAGAGACCAGCCTGGGCAACATAGGGAGACCCTGTCTCTACAAAAAAATAAAAAATTAGCCGAGTGTGGTGTGGCACATGCCTATGGTTCCAGCTTTCAGGAGGCTGAGGTAGGAGGATCACTTGAGCCTTGGAGTTTGAGGCTACAGCGAGCTGTGGTTGCACCACTGCACTCCAGCCTGAGAAACAGAATGAGACCCTGTCTCACAAAAGAAAAAGAAAAGAAAAGTTCATTATAGCATTGTTTGTTAGAGCAAAAGTTAGAGAATAACCTAACTGTTCATTCATGGGAGATTAATAATACAGTTTTTGTCTGTTAAAAGGAATGAACTAAAATTGCATCTGTCAATATAAGTCTCAAAAAGTAGATTGAGTAAAAAACATAGTAGAATCAATATATGGCTATTTACTATGTATGTAAAGGTTAAATACATCGAATCCTACTGTATATTATTTGTGTATAAACATGCACGTGGGAGCGATACACTCAGCTTTAGAACAGTGGTTGCCTCTGAGGTGGGAAGGAAGAGACAGGGATGAGGTAGGAGGTAGATAGGCGCTTCAACTATATCTCAAATACTTTATTCCTTTTTTTTTCTTTTTTTTTTTTTGAGATGGAGTCTTGCTCTGTTGCCCAGGCTGGAGTGCAGTGGTGCTACCTCGGCTCACTGCAAACTTTGCCTCCCGGGTTCACGCTATTCTCCTGCCTCAGCCTCCTGAGTAGCTGGGACTACAGGCGCCCACCACCATGCCCGGCTAATTTTTTGTATTTTTAGTAGAGACAGGGTTTCACCACATTAGCCAGGATGGTCTCGATCTCCTGACCTCGTGATCTGCCGACCTCGTGATCCGCCCGCCTCGGCCTCCCAAAGTGCTGGGATAACAGGCATGAGCCACCGCGCCTGGTCAAATACTTTATTCCTTAAAAAAATGATCTGAAGTAAATTTTGCTTAATGTCAAGGTTTATTAAGATTAGGTATTAGGCTAATGGATGTTTGTTATTCTGTAATTTTTTTTGCATGGTTGGAATATTTATAATACAGATGCTGCTATTGTGTTTTCATTTCTTTATTGGATTTAAGTTTGTCATATTTTTATTAATATTCTGATTAATCTATACTTGCAATTATTATATATCTTTTTGATTTTTCTATCAACATAGTTGGTTGTAATTGTTTATGGTATATTTTACTGTTACACAGTGACCATGCCTACCTATATGCTTTATTTATCTAAATAGAAACTTCGGCTTTGCTTACTTTTGCACAGATGGCCGTTGCATTATCTATATGAAATTCGTATTGTGGTCTCCATTTAATCTGGTATTATATTTTTTTCTTTTAGAGAAACAGGATCTTGCTATGTTGGCCAGGCTGGTCTCAAATTCTTGGCCTCAAGGATCCTTCTGCCTTAGCCTCCCAATGTGCTGGGATTACAGGCCTGAGCCAACATGCTGGGCCTGGTGTTACAATTTTTATAGCTTACCTTTTATTAGTTTCCTAGGGCTGTTGTAACAAATTATCACAAATTGAGTGGCTTAAAGCAACAGCAATTTATGTATTTATTTAGAGATGAATGTCTTGGTATGTTGCTCCAGCTGGTCTTGAACTCCTGGCCTCAGATCATCCTCCTACCTTTGCCTTGTGGGTAGCTGGGATTATAGGTGTGAGCCACAATGCTTGGCTAACAGAAATTTATTCTGTGAAGTTCTGGAAGCCATAACTCTGCAGTCAAGGCAGCAGCGGGGCTGTGCTTCCAGGGGACATTCTGTTCCTTTCCTAGCCTCTTCCAGCTCCTGGTGGCTCCAGGTATTCCCCTGGCTTATGGCTACCTCCCTCCCATGTCTGCCTCCATCTTCACGTGACCTTCTCTGGGTATCTGGGTCTTCTCCTTCTCTATCTTATAAGAACACTTGTCACTGGATTTAGGGACCACCCAGGTAATCCACAAGATTCTTAATTATATCTGCAAAGATTCCTTTTTCAAATGAGACCATCTTTACAGATTCTGGTGATTAGGATATGGCTATATCTTTTTATCTTTTGTTGGGGGAGGCTACTATTTAAGCACTATAGCCCTCTATCATCTAACATGTTCTTTGCTGTGTCTTTCTGCTGCCAGGTGGAGTCTCTATTCCTGTGGAACTTTGAAGTTTAAAGTGCTTTAAAATCAGATCTTTTAAAAATCAAAAGTGTACTTACTTCTTGGAATAAGCAATACCTGCTTATGATAAAAAACTCAAAATGTCTGAAGGGCATTTGACTGAATGACTGTCTTCCTTTTACTTATTTTATTTTTGTTTTTTAAAAAATATTAGGGCTGGGCGTGGTGGCTCATGCCTGTAATCCCAGTACTTTGAGAGGCCAAGGCAGGAGGATTGCCTGAGCCCAGGTGAGACCAGCCTGGGCACACACCTGTGGTCCTAGCTGTTTGGGAGGCTGAAGCAGAAGGATTACTTGAGCCCAGGAGGTTGAAGCTTCAGTGAGCCATGATTGTACCACTGCACTTCAGCCTGAGTGACAGAATGAGACACTGTCTCAAGAAAATATACATATATTTATAATATATAATATATCAGAGAAGGAAGGTGGAGTAAGTACTAGTGTTTTCAGTATGAAGAAAAGTGCTCACACATAGCCGGACATCTTCAGTGCAGATTTCAGGTTTAGGGCTCATATATTCAGGAAGGGGTCAGAAAAGATACTATGGAGACTCAATATATGATAACAGAAATTTCTTTTTAAATTCCAAGAGGTTCATATTATATATCTAATTCATATTATATAGTTCATATTATATATATATGGTTCATATTATGTATAACGTATATAATACACACACACACACACACACATATATCAGTATTTCTTTGAGCTACTTCTCTTAGCCTTTATTTTTTTCTATTTCCCTTAAATAGGAAAGGAGGTTTAGGGTTAAGGTTTGCCTTCTCATATTTTAATGAACCGTATTTTTAAGTTTCCATAGTATCTGTTCTGAGCCTTTCCTGAATATATGAGCCTAAACCTGATATCTGCACTGAAGATGTCAGGCTATGTTTCTCCTCTTCTCAAAACCTAAACCCGTCATTTATGATTTTAATACTAACCTCTCCTTTTTGCTTCATCATTTATTCCCTTTCTCTTACTCTAATTAATTTTCTTGGGCAAGGCACGGTGGTCCACACCTCTAATCCTAGCACTTTGGGAGGCTAAGGTGGGAGATTGCTTGAGGCCAGGAGTTTAAGATC